>NC_000005.10:100734807-101359807 GCF_000001405.40 Homo sapiens | reverse complement strand
GCTTTGCTTTTGCCTTTGTCTTACCGTCACAAATTATACTAAATGTAAAGCTTTGTGGGTGGTTTTTTTTTTTTTCCAGCATGATTTAGCAACATTAGTTATACCTCACAAGATCTCCACAGGCAAGATTTAGATTGTCAGTGTCACTTTACAGGTGAAGAAATTTAGAAAACAAATAAGTTCACGAGATTGAGATGCAGATAGTATTTTTCTTTTTCCAAACTGTTTCACTCTTTCTCAAAAATCCATGATAGTGTTTTTAATTGCATTGTGTCAAAGTGAAATACATTTTTTTCTGACACCAAAGTGAAATGTTTTCCTAACATTGGTCTGTTCTTCAAAACTGAATACACTGCCTAAAATGATTTCTCCAATGATTGCATTATTACAATAATAACTATCTCTAAATAACTTATAAGGATGCATGATGAGATTTGGCTTTAACAAAATAGATCCAACTGTAGGAGACCATCATAAATAAATGTGGAAGACCTACCAGTGAGGCAAAGCAACAGAGAATATGAAGGAAAGTCTGAGCAATAGGTCAGAGGCAGCAGCTTAGATACAGGATAGTTGTGAAGGATTGATACAGTTGGATATAAGTCCAGAGAAAGGAAGGCAAACCAGAGAATTGGATTTGATTAGTTTCATAGCACAGTAAAGTCCAATTATAGGCATTTTAATGGGGCCTAGAACAGTCGCGGGTAGTGCAGTAAAGCTACTCTTTACAGAAAGAAGAGTTTGGGATGAACTGGAAAAAGTCATTTTAGTTTTCACTTCTTTCTCAGGGTCAAACAGCATGTTTCACTATTAAGCATATGATTAATTCTAATTCATGAGTAGCAATTTATAATATAGCTACCTATGATATAGCTATATAATGGGACCTTTACAGGCCTAACTTGTATGCTTAATTAAGATAATGTTTATGTTGAACCCAGAATGCTGCCATAAATATGTGTCACTGCTATAGCTCTTGTTATGGCAATTCTAAATATGAAATTTCTCCTAATTAAATGAAACTTCCGTTTAATAAAATAAACCTATTTTGAAAGTTCCAAATGTATAAATAACTTTTCCTGTTGTATTACACCAAGAAAAAGATATAGTCATGTAAAAAAAAAAAGTGAAGCCAAAAACAAACAACATGAAAGAAATTATTGATCAATTTGATATGTTATAAAACTAAATTGTATTAAAACAATATAATTACAAATTTCAATTACATTACCTGAGTTATTGCTAAGTTATTTTTTTATTATTATTATTATTATTATTATTTTGAGGTGGAGTCTCGCTCTGTCACCCAGGCTGGAGTACAGTGGTGCGATCTCAGCTCACTGCAACCTCTGCCTCCTGGGTTCAAATGATTCTACTGCCTCAGCCTCCTGAGTAGCTGGGACTACAGGCATGCATCACCACTCATGGCTAATTTTCTTTTTTGTTTCTGTATTTTTAGTAGAGACTGGGTCTTCTCATGTTGGCCAGGCTGGTCTTAAACTCCTGACCTCAAGTGACTGTTCGCCTCGGCCTCCCAAAGTGCTGGGATTACAAGCATGAGCCACCGCTACCGGCCCACTAAGTTATTTCATAAATTTAAAATTATGAATCCATTTTCTCTTATTTGAAAACAGTGCTTCTAACCAATATGTAATTAGGTAGGTTTTCTTAAAACTGAGATAGTATATTCATATTGTGGACATAGTAATATTTATCCTTTTGTAGTTTTGTGACCTATTTATCACTGTGTTTTTAATTACAGTTGGGAAACCTGTGGTTTCCAATAAAATAAATGTTAATATCTACTTTTTGAACTTGTGTTTATAATTGTGAAAGAAGCAAAGATATGTTTTTATGCTCATTCTGCTATTAATTATGTATGTGCATGAAAAAAATTTACTTGATCGTAATGTATCTCTACATTCCTTGTGTTACCATGAGGATAGAGAAGATGGATGGTGAAAACAAAAGTAAAAACACTGAGAAAGTAGGCAAAGTATATAAGCATATCACAAGATTATTGTTACTGTTTGACCATTACTACTTCCTAGTTTGGTTCTGCCAACTGTACATTTCTAAAGTTGTGCTGAGCAATCTTAAAAATGAGAGCAGTCTCTGTGTGTCTTTTCAAATACATTTGAAGATAGTACAGCTGTTATCAAGAATATGATACTTTTATCTCAAAATATTTCAAATGTGGCAACACATCAGCCACTGTAGTTTATAAAAATAGGAATTTAATGAAACACGTTGGGCAAGTCTGTTGGATTTAATTAAGGTGGTAATGAAGATGGTAAAATAAATACAGTATTTGGGGAAATTACTGTTCATATTGTCCACTCTTAAAAGTTAATTGTATGAATGATGCTGGTGAAAAAGAATATTTGCAATATGACTTTAAAGTTACACTAAGGGAGTCCTGCTTAGACTGAAAAGTCATTATCTAGGAAGTATCAGAGGAGAACAAATTTTAAGTTATTATTTAAGTGTTTTTATGACCTAACTATGATATTCTTTCTTTTATAAGCACTGATGTGTATCTTTTTTTTTTTTTGGTGTGAGCAACCCATGTGATAAAACAAAACCATAATACAACTGACTGCTTCAAGAGGGCTTTTTCTGCCTGGACTTAATTAGCTATTCCATACACATATTTACTCAAACTAAATAACAGGAGAGGGTGAAATTTTGTAGTAGACACACGTAGAATAGGACTGGGAACAATTATATTGCATACCAGGTAGTTTTGAATCATATTGCTGTTCTTGTTTTTGTTAATTATACATATCCCTTCATATTCCCAATTCAGGTATTTGGTTAGTCAATTTCTTTTTCCAATCACCAGGCTGTTTCCCCAAATAATTTAAATGTATTCATTAGAATGATGGTAGAGGAGTTCTTTCTTTATTTTTTCCTTCTTTTTATTTTTAATATCTCAGTTGTTAAAGATCAACTTAGTATGCAGTCTTAAAGTATTGGGGAAGCCATTCAATTAAGTTTGACAGCAATAGTAATATGATAGCATGCTCACTGAGGAGTGGAGTTCTGTAATTATAATAACTAAGGTTGGTTTGAATCTTAATGGTGATTGCACTGTATGGGTCTGCTAGTTACTTTAGAAGTAGAAGTTCTCTCAGTTTTCTTGAATCAATAAATTTTGACTTCCAAATGAAAGAAAATCTAATGAATATTTCCTGTGCCAAAATATACATGGCTGCCATAGGATAGAGGCCAGGGTATAAGCGACTCATTTATACAAGGGTGATAGAATGCCTTACTAAGCTTACTGGAAGAACTTTCTGACACTGTGAAAATACAATGTGAGAAAGAAATTTCATTAATTTAAGGTAGGCCTTTTTCAAGTAAACAATGTTTCAGAGTTAAAGAGAGAAACATACTTATGAATTCAACAAATTACTGGCATGAGGTTAGACGTTATACACAGACATAAGTGATATACAAGTTACCTGTTGGTGAGGTCATGGCAGGGCTGAAGATAAGAAGTGTTCATGGGGCAATACCTCTGGATTCAAGTGGGTTTATCTGTCAACTCATATCACTGCTAATGAGGTGAAGATCTTCAGAGATATTGATACTACTGCATTTACCATTAGATAAAGCTGACCAGGTTTTTTATAAATGGAAATAAAAGACAATCAATAATTAGTAAATAAATGTGGTGCTTTTGTAAGCTAAACATCTGTAGGCAGAGGAGGAAGAGGTATTAATTCCTAGGTCTTAGGACAGCTGGTGACCTTGAGATGTCAGTAACCACTGCAAGAGTAACTGCCCATGCAAATATACGTCACTCAGCGAGATGCCTAAATGGAAATTAAAAGAATATTAACCATCTCTACGTATTTGTAAGCCTGCTGGTTTCTCCTAGAAATGTGGAGCAATATGATGACATAGGTATTCTGTTGTACAATAACATCCTTGATATAAATGGATATTCTTCTAAATGAAGGATATTAGTGTCCGAGAAGTTGGGGATACATTGGAGTAAATAAAGTGTTTATTGAAAGATATCTCAGAGTTGTTAACAAGTGAATGTCCAATAAAACATATGGAATATGTGCATAGTTATCAGACTTTTCCTTTTTTGTTATTAATGAACTTTATTTTTAGAATAGTTTTATATTTACAGAAAAATTGAATAGATGGTACAGAGTTCCCATATACAACCTCTGTCCCTCTTGCAGCTTCTGTTTGATTAAAATCTTGCATTAGTGGGGTACATTTGCAACAATTAATGAACCTATCTTAATATATATTATTACCTAACATCCATAGTTTGTGTTAAAAAATCAGTCTTTGTGTTTTACAGTTCTATAGGTTCTGACAAATGGTCAATGTCATATATCCACCATTACAGTATCATAGAGAGTAGTTTCATTGCCCTAAACTTTCCTTGTACTTCACCTATTCATTTCCCTTCCCACCTCACCCCAGATCCCTGGCCTTTATTAAAATGTCACGTAATTGGGATCATTTTGTTAATGATTTGTAATATGTAATATTTTTGCATTGTTTTCTTTCACTTAGAAATATAAATTTAAGGTTTCTTTATATATTTTTGTGGCTTGGTAATTCTTTTTTTTCCACTGAGTAATATGCCACTGAACAGATGTATCACAATATGTTTATACATTTACCTCTTAAGAAACATCTTGATTGCTTCTAATATTTGAAAATCATGAATCAAGATGCTATAAACACCCATGTGCATAAAATGTTTGTGTGTATACATGGTTTTCAGCTCACTTTTTTAAATAACAAGGTGTGGAATTGTTGGGTCATGTAGTAAAACTACATTAGCTCTGTACAAAACCGCCAAACTATCTTATAATGTGGCTGTGCGATTTTTCATTCCATCAACAATGAAAGAGAATTCCTATTGCTCCACATAGTTACCAACATTTGGTGTTAAAAGTGTTTTAGATTTTAGTTATTCTAATAGATACATAGTGGCATCTCACTGTTGTTTTAACTTACATTTCCTGTATTACATATGATGTAAAATATTTTTTCAAATGCCTGTCATCTGTATAGATTTTGGTGAGTTGTCTGTTTAGATATTTTATTCACTTTTTACTTGAGTTGTTTGTTTTCTTATTGTTGAGTTTTGAGATTTTTTAAAATTCATATTTTGGATACAAGTATTTTATCAGATATGTGTTTTGCAAATATTGTCTTCCAGCCTGTGGCTTGTCTTTTTATTCTGTAACACTGTTGTCTCTAGAGCAGAAGTTTTAAATTTTAATAAGGTAAAACTGATCAATTTTTTCTTTCATAGATAATAATTTTGTTGTTGTATCTAAAAACCCATTGCTGCTAAACCTAAGACTGCCTAAATTATTTTCTTATATCTAAAAGTTTCATAGATGTGTGTTTTAAACTTAGGTCTGTGATCCATTTCAAGTTAATTTTTGTGAAGAGTTTAAGCCTTGTGTCTAGCTTAATTTTTATTTTTGGGAAGTGAACATTTATTTGTCCCCAAAATACTGTTGTTCAACAAATTGTTGCAAACACTATCTTTTCTCCATTGTTGCTTTGCTCCTTTGTCAAAAATCAGTTGTCTATATTTGTATGGATCTATTTCTGGATTCTTTATTCTGTTCCATAGATTTGTTTATTTTTGTCAACACTGTGCTTTCTTAATGTAATTTTATAGTAAGTCTTGTAGTTGGGTAACGTCAGTCTTCCAACTTTGTTCTTCTTCAATATTTTGCTCTGGGTCTTCTACCTTTCCATGTAAACTTTAAAATCAGCTTGTCAATATCACAAAATAACTTACTGGGATTTTCATTGGGATTATGTTGAATCTCTATATAAGCTTTAGAAAAACTTCCATCTTAACATATAATCTTCCAATAATTAATATGACATAATTCTCAATATATGTATATCTTATGATATTTTTCCTGAGGCTTTGTAGTGTTAAGTATACATATTCTGTATTTTATTAGATACATAGAAAACATTTACTTTTGTGCTACTATAAATACTTTTTAAATGTTCCTTTCAATTGTGCATTGCTGGTATATAGGAAATAAATTTGCTTATGTGTTTCCTAGACTGTGCTATAATCCCTTTTAGTCCCAAGAGATTTTTTAAAAATTGTATTCTGTTTCAGATTAAGAGGATACATGTGTAGGTTTGTTACATGATTATGTTGAATAATGATAGAGTTTGGGCTTCTTGCATGCAATGTGCCCAACAGGTAACTACTCAACATTTACATCCCTCCCCCCACCTTCCCCCTTTTTGGAGTCCTCAGTGTCTATTATTTCCATCTTTATGTCCATGTGTACACATTGTTTAGCTCCCTATTACAAATGAGAAGATGTGATATTTGATTTTATTTATCTGAGTTATTTACCTCAGGATAATGGCCTGCAGATCCATCCATGTTGCTGTCAATGACATTATTTCATTATTTTTTATGGCTGCATAGTAATTCCATTTCTATGGTACATGTATATATATACATGTATATTTACATACACAGATAACATTTTCTTTAGCCAAACAACCATTGATGAACACAGGTTGATTCTATGACTTTCGTATTGAGAATGTTGCTGCAATAAACATACAAGTTCAAATTTTATATAATTTTATATAATGATTTCTTTTCCTTTGGGTAGATGCACAAAAATGGGATTGCTCTGTCAAAGGTGGTTTCATTTTTGGTTCTTTGAGAAATCTCCATGCTGGTTTCCACAAAAGTTGTACTAATTTATGTTCCCACTAACTATTATAATAGCCATTATGACTGGCTATTATAAGATGGTAACTCATTGTGGTTTAAATTTGTGTTTCTCTGATGATTACTGATGTTGAACATCTTTTCATACATTTGTTGGCCGCTTGTATGTCTTCTTTTGAGGGGATATTTGTTCATGTCCTTTGTAATGAGGTTGTTTGTTTATTGTTGTTGTTGAGTTATTTGTCTTCCTTGTAGTTTCTGGATATTAGTCATCTGTCAGAGGCATAATCAGCAAATTTTCTCCTGTTCTGTAGGTTGTCTATTTATTCTGCTGATTATTTATTTTGGTACGCAGAAGCTTTCCAGTGAATTCAGTCCTATTTGCATATTTTTTATTTTGTTGCATTTGCTTTTGTGGTCTTAGACATAGATTCTCTGCCTATGGCAATATCCAGAAATGACTTTCCTTGGTTTTCTTCTAGTATTTTTATAGTTTTATGTTTTGTTCAGGTCTTTAATCCATCTTGATTTTTGTATAGTACCTAGTGAGAGATATGGGTAGAGTTCCCTTCTTCTGCATACAACAAGCCAATTTTCCCACTACCATTTGTTAAAGAGGGTGTCCTTTGCCCATTTCTTATTTGTGTCAACTTTGATGGAGATTGGTTGTCTGAAGGTATATGGCTTTCTTTTCAGGTTCTGTATTGGGTTATATTTATCTGTGTGTCTGTTTTTGTACCAGTATGAAGCTGTTTGTTTTACTTAGCCTTGATTAACTACAGCCTTGTGGTAGAATCTGAAGTCAGGCAATGTTATTCCTCTATTTTTTCTTAGGATTACTCTGGCTAGTCTGCCTCTAATTTCATTCCATATAAACTTAAGGATTGTTTTTCTAATTCTGTGAAAAATGATGCTGGTAATTTGATAAAAATTGCATTGCATATGCAGATTGCTTTAAGTACTATGGTCATTTGAATAATATCGACATTCCAATCTATGAGCATGGGCTATATTTCCATTTGTCTGTGTCACCTACAATTTTTTTCATCAGTGTTTTGTAGTTCTCCTATAGAGATCTTTTACCTCCTTAGCTACATTTATTCCTAGTTAATTTTGGGGGGCTATCGTAAATGGGATTGGGTTATTAATTTGGTTATCAGCTTGAAAATTATTGGTATATAAAAATGCTACTGATTTTGGGCCAGGCACAGTGGCTCATGCTTGTAATCCCAGCACTTTGGAAGGCCGAGGTGGGTGGATCACTTGGGGTCAGGTGTTTGAGAGAAGCCTGGCCATCATGGTGAAAACTTGTTTCTAGTTAAAATACAAAAATTACCCAGATGTGGTGGTACATGCCTGTAATCCCAGCTACTTGGAAGGCTGAGGAATGAGAATTGCTTGAAACCGGGATGTGGAGGTTGCAGTGAGCCAAGATAGTGCCACTGCACTCCAGCCTGGGTGACAGAGCAAGACTCTGTCTCAAAAAAAAAAAAAATTCTACTGATGTTTGGACCATTGACTTTCTATCCTGAAACTTTACTAATGTTGTTTATTATGTCTAGGTGTGTTTTAGAACAGTCTATGTGGTTTTCTATAACTATGGTTTTCATTATCAGGTATATAATCATGGTATCAGAGAACAGAGATAGTTTGGCTTCATCTTTTCCAATTTGGATGCATTTTATTTCCTTCTCTCACCTGTTTGCTGTCGCCAGTACTATGTTGAATAGGAGTGATAAGAGTAGACATCCTTGTCTTATTCAAGTTCTTAAGGGGAATGTTTTAAACGTCTCCCCATTCAGTATGATGTTGACTGTGGGTTTGTCATAGATGGTTCTTATTATTTCCAGGTATGTTCTTTCAATGCCTAGTTTTTGAGGGTTTTTATTACAAAGGAATGTTAAATTTTATCAAATGTTTTTTTTTGTATCTATTGAAGTGATCATTTTGTTTGTTTGCTTTTAATTCTGTTTTTCTGGTAAATCAAATGTATTGATTTGCATAGGTTGAACCATCCTTACATCCTAGAATAAAACCCTCTTGATTGTGAGAAATTATCTTTTTGAAATGCTATTGGATTTGGTTTGCTAGTATTTTGTTGAGGAATTTTGCACCAATGTTCACCAGGGATATTGGACTATTGTTTTCAATGTTGTGCCTCCTTACTTGATTTTGATTTCAGGGTGATATTGGTGTCACAGAATAAGTTATGGAGGAAACCTAACTCCTCAATATTTTGAAATAGATTCATTAAGATTGGCACTAGCTCTTCTTTGTATGTCTGAAAAAATTCACCTGTGAATCTGTCTGTTCTGGGGCTTTTTTGTTGTTGTTGGAAGATTTTTTTATAACTGATTTAATTTTATTACTTATTCTTGGTCTGTTCAGTATTTGTATTTCTTCCTGCTTTAATATTGGGAGGTATTATGTTTCCAGGAATTTATCTGTTTCCTCTAGATTTTCTAGTCTGTTCATACCAGTTTCTGATAATCATTTGTATTTTTGTGGTGTCAGCTGTAATGTCACCTTTATCATTTCTGATTGTGCTTGTTGGAATCTTCTCTCTTTTTTTCTTGGTTGACCTAGTGAGTTGTCTATCAATTTTGTTTATCCTTACATAGAACCAACGTTATTATTATTATTATTATTATTATTATTAGGGTCTCAATCTTATTCAGTTCCTCTCTGATCCCTGTTATTTATTTTCTTTTTTTAGCTTTGGGTTTGTTTTTTTCTTATTTTTCTGTTTTCTTGAGGTAGGACATCAGGTTATTAAATTTGAGACCATTCTATTTTTTTGACTTAGGCATTTAATGCTACAATCTTTTCTCTTAGCACTGCTTTTGCTGTGTCCCAGAAGTTTTGGTATATTGTGTTTTTATTTTTGTTCATTCAACACAAAAAAATTTCTGCCTTAATTTTATTGTTTACCCAAAAGTCATTCCATAGCAAATTATTTAGTTTCCATTTACTCGTATAGTTTGAAAATTCCTCTTTGTATTTATTTTTTATTTTATTCCACTGTGGCTTGAAACAATACTTTGTACAATTTTGCTTTTTTGAATTTATTGAGACTTGCTTCATGACCATGCATGTGGTCTGTTTTGGACAATGTTGCATGCACATATAATAAAAATGTATATTCTGCAGTTGTTGTCTGTAGTATTCGTAAATATCTATTAGGTCCATTTGGTCTAGAGACCAGTTTAATTCCAGAGTTTCTTTATTGATTATCTTCCTTAATGATCTGTCTAATGTTATAAGTGGGGTGTTGAAGTGCCTATTATTATTGCATTGCTGTCAATTTGTTTTCATATATCCAGTAGTCTTATGAATCTGGGTGCTATGTTGTTGGGTGCCTATACATTTAGGATAGTAACATGTTCTTAAATATTCTTGTTGTATTAAAACCTCTAGCATTATATGATGGCCTTCTTTTTCTCTTTTTACTGTTGTTGGTTTAAAGTTTTTTTTTTTAATCTCATATAAGAATGGCTACTCTTGCATACTTTGTTTTCCATTTTCATGTTATATCTCTTTCCACCCCTTTACTTCTATATGTATCTTTAGCTATTAGGTTGGTCTTTACAGGCAGCAGATGGGTGGGTCTTTTTTTTTTTAAATCCAATTTGCCACTTTGTATCTTTTAATAAAAAACATTAGACCATTTATATTCAAGGTTAATATTACTGTGTGAGATTTTATTCCAATCACAGTATTGTTAGTTGCCATGGAGTTTCAATCATATAATTGCTTTATAAGATCTGTGAGCTTTTATAATGAATAGTACAATCCTACTGCTTTCATATTTAGAAATTCTTTGAGCATTTCTTGTAGGTTTGGTCTAGTGAAGACAATTTCCCTTACTGTTTATTTGTCTGTGAAATACTATTTCTCCTTCATTTATGAAGTCAAGTTTGGTAAGATATAAAATTCATGACTTCCATTTTTTTTTCTTTAAAGAGGCTAAAAATAGCACCCCAATCTCTTCTGTCTTTTAAGATTTCTGCTCAGAAATCCACTGTTAGCCTGCTGGGATTTTCTTTATAGGTGATTTGATGCTTCTGTCTAGCTGCTTTTAAGAATTTTTTCTTTCACGTTGACATTGGATATTCTGATGACTGTATGCCTTGATAATGTTTGTCTTGTATAGTATCTTCCAGGTGTTCTCTGAATTCCTTGTATGTGAATGCCTACATTTTTAGTAAGGTCAGGAAAATTTTCCTGAATTATTCTTTCAAATATGTTTTCCAAATTTCTCATTTTTTTTATATTCTCCCTAAGAAATGCGTATAAGGACCGGGAACGGTGGCTCAAGCCTGTAATCCCAGCACTTTGGGAGGTCAAGGTGAGAAGATCACGAGGTCAGGAGATTGAGATCATCCTGGCTAACACGGTGAAAACCTGTCTCTACTAAAAATACAAAGAAAAAAAAAATTAGCCAGGCATGGTGGCGGGAGCCTGTAGTCCCAGCTACTTGGGAGGCTGAGGCAGGAGAATGGCGTGAACCCAGGAGGCGGAGCTTACAGTGAGCTGAGATGGCGCCTGGACGACAAAGCGAGACTCCATCTCAAAAAAAAAAAAAAAAAAGAAATGCCTATAAGTTGTAAGTTTGGTTACTTTACATAATCCCATATTTGTCAAATACTTTGTTTCTTTTTTTTTTTAAACTCTTTATTCTTAGTGGGTTAATTTGTTAATTTGAAAGACCTGTCTTCAAGCTCTGAAATTATCTTTTTTTTTTAATTTGTGCTCACTCTGTTCTATTGTTAAAGCTTTCAACTATACTTTTAAATTTATTCAGTGTTTTTTTTTTAATTTCCAGAAATTCTATTTGCTTTTTATCTATCTCTTCTTTCATTGCTAGCATTGCTTTTCAGATTTCATTGCATTGGTTTTCAACGGTTTTTTTGACTTCATTGAGCTTCCTTACAAAACACACTCTGAATTCTTTATCTGTCATTTCTGAATTTTCATTTTGGTTAGGGTTCATTACTAGAGAACTCATGAGATCCTTTGTGGCTGTCGCAACATCTTGATTTTTTATTGTGCCAAAATTCTTACACTGATTCTTTCTCATCTGAAGAAACTGACACTTCTTATTCCTGAATTTACTTTTGTTTTGATGGGACCCTCCCCAATCTCTGCCTTTTGAAGATATGACTGTAGAACGTGATAGGTGGCACTGTTTAGCTTTCATTCTAAACTCTGTGGAATTCTGTCAGCAGGTTTTATATTGGTTTGTGTATTTTAAGCTGTAAACCAGTAGATGGAATTCATGGGTAAGAGCCAGCTGCAGCAAAAGCAGATGGGTATGTACTTGATTTCTGTTTACTGAGAGGTGCCCTCTTTTGTTTAGGGTGATGGACTGGACAGTGAAATGCCCAGTGCCCTTAGCTTCCTGTTCCATGGTGGGGGGTTGGGCATACAAAGCTGGGCAGAGCTAGACCACCTGGCTAGTATCCAATGATGAGCATAGGCACCAGCCCTGATGCTTGATGGGAGTGGCTGGGGGATCTTCTGTCGAAATACTCTGATATTTCTGCAGAGGCTGAGGGTGTTTCATGCCCAGCTCCATGCTCCATATCCTAGACAATCAGGAATATGATCCGTTTTTGTATTACCTCCCTCTTTTGGGGCTCGTGACTCTCAGTTCAGGTGCACACTTATGTCTACCTCCAGGCCACAATGTAGCTGAGAGACACAGAAAATGTATCTCACAGCTCTCCACTGGATTTGTTTTAAGGTGGATGCTCTCCTTTCAGCCAAATGTGGGCAGCTTTATTGTTTGACTGTTTTCTGATGTGGTTATGTTGCTGCTTTATGTAGATGGAGAAAGAGCTGTGACTTTTAACAAATGCAAATGGACGTCAGTGTGGTTGTGTCAGTTGGTTGGGTCACCCCAATCTGAGACCCTGGGGAGGGTCATCATGTGTCAGCAGTATTGAACTGAGCTAGGCAATTTCCGAATCTGTAGGTCCCTGGATGGCCCACTGGATGGCATGTATGAGTCCTGAAGGGACTAGACTATGAGCAGGTCAGCAGATTTGGTCTTGAGATCTTAGGATTCAGGTGCTGGCTGTGGTAGGATAAAGTAGGTCATTCCACAGGTCACTGGTAGAACCTTCACATGGGAGTAGGCAGAATATTAAGGTGGTGTGCGCTTAAGGGCGGATCATAGGCCTATGATGGCTGAATTCTCAGCAGGGCTCTGTGCCGCAAATGAAATTGTCAGGCATGAGCAAGGTAGCTATGCTTATGGTCTCTCAGTGGGGAAGGCAGGTCACCCGCAACTGGAGCAGGGGAGGCTGACAGCTGTGGGCCACATGACCCGCTTGCACTTTCCTCCCATGGAAGTGGTCATGGATTTCAATGTTGGGGGTTTGCGAAGGTGCCATTTTTGCTCACTGTCTTCCTGGCCCAGAATGGCAGGAGCAGATGGTGGCGGTGGCAACTGCTGAGCAGCTGAAAGGCAGATTGCCGGTCTCCGTGGGCTGGCTGTTCAGAAGAATTCTCAGTTTCAGTGAAGTGCTCACGTTGCAGTGTGGTGGCTACACGTCACCTGTAGTGGGGTGGTGGTGGGATGCTGAAGACATACCTTGTTTAGCAGGAAGCAGAAGAGGGAAGTAGTCATGCAGTACATAGTCTTCCCATTCCTTCATTTCCACAGCTATGTCTTTGGAGTATGTGAAAGTGCCTGGCCTCTTAGCTATTTTATTAGCTGTGTGGTGGTAGCTGGAACTGGGCTACTCAGGTACCAAAATCCTGTGAGATTCCAGGCATTGAGCAGTGCAGTCTCTGAACAACTCCTGCTGTTACTCTGGAGGTCTAGGGGTGTGAGCTGGGGGAGCTGTCCATGTAGTTCTCCTGTGGTTAGGATCATACGGTCCATGGTGGAATTATGGAACCCCAGGAATCTCATTTACTCACCCTTTCCCTGCATTAGGGAACCTCTCCCAGCTTCATGCTGGTCCTAGCTCAGCAGGCTGTCTGCTTCACTCTCCTCTACCTTCCGTGATTCCTGAATTCCAGCATGCTGTCTTAGAAAATCCACTCAAAGTGTTATATTTACTTGCTATTTTGATTTCCCTTTGTGAGAGATGCACCTAGTAACTGCTTCTAGTCAGCCATCTTTAACTAAAACCCAAGAGACTTTTGATAGATTATTTGAGGTTTCTACATAGACAATTGCTATCTCTGAAAATAAGGCCGTTTTGTTTATTTATATTTTGACCTGTATTCTTTGTTTGTTTGTTTGTTTATTTTTGGTCCCATTGCACTAGCTGGTACTTACAATAAAATGGCAAATAGGAATGGTGAGAGAGAACATTCTTGGCTTGTTTTTGATCTTAAGGAAAAACATCTATTCTCTCAACACTAACAGTTGTGTTAACCCTAGGTGTTTATAGACATTCTTTATCAAGGGAGAGGATTTCTCTTTATTCTTAGTTTGCTAAGAGTTTTAATTACAGATTGGTACTGGATTTTGTCAAATACTTCCTCATCAATTGATGTGATTATATGGTTTTCCTTTCAAGACAATTGACATGATAAATTATATTGATTTTTTTGTTGTTGTTGTGGAATGTGAAGCCTTCCTTGCTTCCCTGGAATAAATGTCAGTTGGTCATGGTGTATTATTCTATTCATACAATTTTGGAATTTTTTGCAAATATTTTATTTAGAATTTTTGGGTCTATGTTTATGAGAATTATCATTTTGTAGTTTGCTTTCCTTGTTAAGTCTTCATCTAGTTTTGTATTATGGTAGAGCTGGCCTCATAGAATAAAGTAGAAAATGTTCCTTCCGTTTCTATTGTTGGTTAATATACTGTAGTCACTTCCTAGGGCTGCCATAACAAATTACCACATACTAGGTGGTTTAAAACAAATTTATTCTATCACAATTTTTGGTAACTCCATCTCTATTTCTGACTTTGCTGAGATGGTTGATTGGCTCCAAGGGTCATATACGTAATGTCTTTAGCTAATGGTTATCCAGCCACACCCTTGGCCTCGTTTCCAAAGCAGATTATCTGGATTTTTCTAAATTAACAAGTGCTGTTTCTTTTTTGCTTACTTATTCACTCTTTCCCTCACATTTTGCTATAAGGAGCCAAGAGAAACCAGGCCATGTCCTCAACACTTTGCCTAGAAATATCCTGAATTGAACATCCAACTTCATTACTTACTATTTCTATTTTCCACCCAACTTAAAAACACAATTCAGCCAAGTTCTGTGGCATTTCTTAACAAGGATCACTTTCCCTCCAATTTCCAATTGCATGTTTCTGCCTCAGACCTCACCAGAAGATCCATAATGTTCATATTTCTAGCAACATTCTGTCACAACAATCTATGTATTCTCTATGACTGGAAGTTTTCTCTGCAGTGCTCCTCAGTTTTTTGAACCCTAACCAGAATCAAGTTTAACATCCGTAATTCTACCTATAGTGTCTGCCTAAATGTAATATTTTTCTAATGTGTGCCTCAAATTTTTTCCAGCTTCTATCCATGACCCAATCCTACAGCCAATTACAGAATTTTAGCTATTTGTTGCAGCAGCAATCCACTTACCAGTATCAAAAACCCATATTCATTTTCTAGGTGTGCAGGATCAAAGTGCACACAAACTGTGTGGCTTAGAAATATGAATATTTATTGTCTCACAATTCTGGAACTAAGGTGTTGGCAGCACTGTGTCCCCACTAATTCATGTAGGGCAGGATGCTTCCTTGTTTCCTTTAGCTATTGTAAGCCTCAAGTGTTCCCCTTGGTTTGTAACAGTGTAACTATAATCTTCCTTTATCTTCATATGCTCATCTTCTCTCTGTTTCTATCAACATGATATTCTATTCTCTGTCTCTGTCCAAATTTCTCTCTTCCTATAAGGATATAAATCTTATTAGGTTAGGGTCCATCTTAATACCCTGTACTAAGTTGCTTATTCATACCTGCAGATGCTATTTCTAAATAAGGTAACATTCACAGGTACTGGGGATTACAACTTCAACATATCTTTTGGAGAATACATTCAACTCATACTAATATTTAACACATTGTTAATTGTTTCTTATTCATTGGAATTGGGTGTTGTTGTTATTATTATTTTCTGCTTTTTTTGGTTTTAATTCAGCATTTTAAATGATTTTATTTATTTATTTGTTTTTTAGTGGTGGCCCTACACTAAATACATTAACAACTAATCTAAATCCATTTTAATAAAATGAAGGTTTTTCAGAGGTAGTTCAGGTAATTTACAATATTTTTAATTCCTCTCTCCTATCACTTCTAATACCACTGTCATTCCTTTTAATTTCTGTAAAAGATAATTAATGCATTGTTGTAATTATTACTTTGAACAGTTACCTATTAGATCAATAAAGAATAAGAAAATAAATAATTTTATCTTCATTTAAACCTACTCTATCATTTTTTCTTTATGTAGATCTGAGGGTTTTTTAAATTAATGTTTCAAAAATAGACAGATAAAAATGGATATTTTATATGTACAACATGTTGTTTCGAAATATTAAATATAAATAATTGTAGAGTGGCTAAATCTAGCTAATTAATATATATGTTACTAAACATTTACCTTTTTTGTCGTGTGTCCTAAAGATGCTTAAAACCTACTCTTAAAAATTTGAAGACTACAGTACATTGTTATTAACTATAGATTTTTTCTCAAGAGAAGTTAAAACATATTCTTATAACACATTTTTAACTGCACAGTACAGTATGGTTAAATATAAACACAATATTTACAAGAGACCTCTAGAACTAAATTCATTTTTCTATGACTGAAAGTTTACACTCATTGAAGAGCAACTCTCCATTTCTCCCTCTCCTTATCTTCTGGCAATTACCATTCAATATTCACTTTCTGTGAGTCTGATTAGATCCTTATACAAGTAGAATCATGAAGTATTTGTCCTTCTGTGAATGTCAAATTTCACATAATAAAATCCTACCATGTTGTTACATAAGGCAGGATTGTCTTTTTTAAATGCTGAATAATAATGTATTGTATATTTGTCATATTTTCTTTGTCCATTAACATGTTTCTTTGTCCATTAATATGTTGTCCATTGTTTCTATATCTTGGCTATAGTGACAATGATTTCACAAACATGGGAATGTTAATTTTGAGATCCTAACAATATTTCAAACATATAATCATAAATGAGAATGCTATTTCACATAGCAGTCTTAATTTTAATACTTTAAGGACTCTCCATACTGTTTATCATAGTGAATGCACCATTTTATATTCCCTCCAATAGTATACAGAAGTTTTATTTTCTCTATATCCTTGCCAGCACTTAAATTTTTTAAAAATAGTAGCCATCCTAACAGATGTGAGGATATATCATTTTGAGGATATCTCAATGCATTTCCCTGGAGATTAGTGATGTTGAAGATATTTTCATATACTTATTAGCTATTTTGGCATTTTCTTCATAGAAATGTCTATTTGCATCTTTTGCTCATTTTAAAATTAGGGTTTTTTTTGTTTTTGATTTTTTTTCTCTTAAGTAGTAGGATTTACTTGTATATTTTGAATATTAACCCCATATAAGATATAGATGTACAGGAATTTTTTTTCCTTATTCCATAGGTTGTCTGTTAACTCTCTTGACTATTTTCTTTGATGTGCAAAGCTTATTTAATTTGATGTAGTCTCATTTGTATATTTTTGCTTTTCTTACTTGTACTTTTGGTGTCATAGTCAAAAAATTATCACCAAGACAAATGCCATGAAGATTTTTCACTGTGTTCTCCTAAGTTATCTAATTTGTTGGTGCATAGTTGTTCTTATGAAGCAGGCTTTTATATCTATGACATCAGTTGTAATGCCTCCTCTTTTATTTCTGATTTTATTTGAGTATTCTCTGTTTTCCTAATTTAGCTTTATATAGAGATTTTCTTATTTTCTTCCTTTGTCTAGGAATTTTATTTGAGTATTCTCTGTTTCCGTAATTTAATTTTATATATAGATTTTGTTATTTTCTTCCTTTGTCTAGTTCTGGGCTTGCCGTATTCTTTTTCTGCTTCCTAGAGCACAGATCTTCAACATTAGAGTTGAGTCATACAATAACCAAAATGAAAAGTTCACTAGGGGGATTCAACACCAGATTTGATAAAAGCTGAAATAAATAAATAAATAAATAAAAAGCACAATTGAAGACAGAAAATTTGAAATTATCCAAAGGAACAAAAAGAATAAAAGAATAAAGATGAGCAAAGAAAGCCTAACAAATTTGTGGGACACCAATAGAAATTGCTCAATTAAACAATGTTTAACTAAACAATGTTTAATTGAGATCTTCCCTTTTTAAAAAATATATGTGTTAATTGCTATCAACTTCTCTCTTAGTACTGCTTTTGCTGCATAACATAAGTTTTGGTATGTTTGTTTTAGTTTGTCTCAAGATAGTTTATAAGTCATCTTTTGGTTTCTTTGATTTATTGTTTGTCCATAAGTGTGTTGTTTACTTTCCATTTATATGTGGATTTTCTAGTTTTAATTTTGTTATTTATTTGTTTGGATATTTTAATCCATTTATGTTTAAAGAAAATATTGATAGTTAAAAATTTGATATTGTTAATTTGTTCATTCTTTTCTGTCTAATAGTTCTTATAGAGGCTCCCTCGTATGTGATAAGTTACTTTTTCCTTGCTGCTTTCAAAATTCATCTACGGTATTTTCTGCCTACCTGGGTTCTGTCTAGATTTTGTGTTCATCTTTGGTTCTCTACAGTTTGAATACGATATTCCTAGTTGTACATTTTTTGATATTTATCCTTCTTGGTGTTCTCTCAGCTCCCTGGTTCTGTAGTAATTTTTTATATTCCTAATTTTTCAAAACCCTCATCAATTATTATTTAAAATATAAATTCTGCACCTTTTTCTCTTTCTTCTCATTCTGGTACTCCCATTACATGCATGTTACATCTTTATTAGTTGATCCACAGTTCTTGGGTATTCTGGGTTTTGTTGTTTGTTTGTTTTCTTTTTGGTTTTCAGTTTGAAAAGTTTTCATTGACATGTCCTCAAGTTCTTTGATTATTTTCTTAGTAGCCATATACTCTACTAATTAGCCAATTAACGCATTTTAATTTATGTTACAGTGTTTTAAAAACGTCTATCATTTTTACATTCTTTCATAGAGTTTCCATCTCCCTTTTTACACTTCCCATCCGTTTTTATCTCTGCCATATTTGACCAACTCTAGTTTTGATGCTTACTTTACATTCTTGGAATGTGATTTTGTTTTTCTTGCCTTTTAGCAAGCCATTTTGTTGTTGTTGTTGTGGAAATTCAGATACGATGTATCACCTAATACTTAGGTAAGTTAGCCACTAGTGTGAGGATTTCTGCTTATCTGTCTGAAGGTAGGCTATGTTTAATGTTTGCTGGAACTATAGGTGGCAGAGATTTCAATTTTCTCTGGCATTCTTATTTTGTCTGAACTTTGGATTTCCCTAGAAACTCCATCTTCACCAGAACCTATGACTTGCAGTCTTTTTCCATTGTAAACCATTGCTATTATATTGAAACCCTGTTGATGTGATGATAAGGTATTTAGGAAGGAAGTAATGTATAATCTTGTCATTACTATTATCATTATACTCTTGTCTGTTTTTGGTGAGCCAGTGTCTTTAGTTGTGGCCTTCAGAAAAGCTTCCTAACTTTTTTTTTTTTTTCCTTCTTCTTCACTTGCTTGGGAAATACAAGAAATCTAGATGAAACTCTATTTGTTTTATTCCTTTTTCCCTAGATTGGATAAGATTCTGGTAAAGTTGCTTTCCTTCAAGGCAAGCCTTTGTTATGATAAACAGAAAGCTATGCCTATATTTTAAAATGGTTACTTTTCTTCTCTCACTGACCTAAGCACAATTCAATCTTTATCATGAAAATATAGTGAGACTTCTCCAGGTAAATCTCATGATAGTGTCAGGGATACCTAGGATTGGGTCCTTAACAGATTTTACCTCTGTGATTAGCTGACAACCAGGTTCCAGCAATTTAGCAATTAACCTTTAAGTGTTCCTAGCAGTGACTTACCCTGGCAGCTTCTACTCCATAAAAAGTATTCAACATGTTCTACTGCCTCTTCAGTTTTCTAAGCTGAAGTTTGCCCTATGATATCAATCTTCTGATGGATGGAAGATGAATTGTTGATTTTGAGTTTGCTCTGATTTTTGTTCTTGTTATGAGATCAAAAATGACACCCAAGCCATTTGTCTGTTTTAGTGTAAACTGTAAATTTCGAATCCTTTGTATTTATTAAGAAAGAAAAATGCACACAAACTATATTCCAGAGGAAGACAACCTGGGAAATGCCAAATTAAATATAATCTCTTTAAAAATACAAAATAATGGCCAAAATGTAATTGGCTAAGGGTCAAGTATCAAAAACAATCAACTCCTAAACCAGTTTCGGTCTTACAAGACTATACTTGTTAACAAACCATGGATCTTCCATTTACTACAGGTAAGAATTTTAGTAATTAAGTTGGACTTTTTTAGTATATTTGTTATATTTAAAATTAAAGTAATTCTCAGCTATCTCAAAGGTCATCATGAGATTCCATTAGCTAACAAACATAATAATAATAACAGCTAATATTTACTGGTAGAGTAAGATATGCTAGTGCTAACATATTTTACTCCCCTTAATCTTACACCAAAGTTGTATTATTTTAAAATTCCTTAAAAAAAAAAAAACAGAAACATATACATTTAGATAATTTATCTTAAGGTACACAGGTATGATAACTGGCTGTTGGTTTGGATGTGGTTTGGACCTTCGTCTCCAATCAAATCTCATGTTCAATTGTAATTCTCAGTGTTGGAGGTGAGACCCGGCAGGAGGTGATTGGATCATGGGGGTGGATCCTTCATGACTGGTTTAGCGCCAACCCCTTGGTGCTGTTCTCTTGATGGTGAGTGAATTCTCACGAGATCTGGTTGTTCAAAAGTGTGTAGCACCTCCTTTCTGCCTCTTTCTTCCTCCTGGTCCAGCCTGCTTCACTTTGGCCTTCCTCCATGAATGCAAGTTTCCTCAGGCCTCACTGGAAGAAGAGCCCCTATGTTTCCTGTACGGCCTGGAGAAAAGTGAGCCAATTAAACCTGTTTTATTTTATCTTTTTAAATAAATTCCTCAGTCTCAGGTATTTCTTCATAGCAATGCAAGAAATATAATAACATTCTACATAATTGTAAGAAATTATCCATTTCTTTACAAGCCAAATCTGACTCACTGAATTTTGTTCTAAGACCAAATGATAATTTCTTGTGAAGTTTATGGATTCATTCAGAATAGGAAAGGGCTGAAAGAGAAGATTGTGCATTTTTGAATGATTAAAATTCAGGTGTATATGAGATCTTTTTTTTTTTTAGTGTAAAGATTGTTTTTCCTTATTGACATTTGTTTAATTTAGCATTTATTATTATATGAGTTAGGCTTTCTAGTAACTACTTTAAAAAAGAGATAAATTGAACAGTCACTGCCTCCAAAAATGCAAATCAGAATATATATATATATATATGCAAATCAGAATATATATGTATATATCCATATATATTATATGGATGCATGTGCACATATGAATGAGTGTCTGTGTTGCAACACAGGCTGTGATCAGTGTCTTGGCAAGCTCATAATGTTTACTGCTAGCTCATTAAGCAGCGACTATAACAGATGCCTCTACTGCATTCACATTGGTTTGTCAGTATTTCTGAGTGAAAATTACTGCCTTGTATGGAGTGCAATAAGAATATTTACACTCCAGAACTGAATTTATATTACACCTGTGTAGAACTACATACATTTAAGTAAATGGTGCGGTCTGGTCATCAGGGGCTCTCTGGCCAGTCAATACAATGTCTCAATGGGTATGCAGTAGGGGACAGTTCAAAGGTGCTACACAGTGTAGGTATTTGCAGGGGTCTCTTAACATTTTGAGAATTTCTCATCCTTGTTGGCTAGAATAAGTTTAGTCTCTCAAGGATAAACGTGTACAGTTGCAGCTACAGCTTAGAAGGCAAACATTTGGCCTCATTATATCTGATGTTTGTTGTTTTTGAAAATTTATTTAATGGTTGTGAAAGATACCAGATTGAGAAAGATACTAAAAAAAGAAATTCTAGTTTCTTTTAAAAACTGTTTATTCACAGTTGGCTCATTAGCAGTTCAGTTTTCTCAAGAGCATTGTTTCCTCTAGGCTTCTTATCAGTCTAATGTAAGGTTCTTGCTGTATTTGTATGTCTATTTAAATTTGTGGCAGAGTGTGAATGGGAAGATAACCATGAATCACCATGAAGCAGATCAGTGATCAGATTCTACTATCTGACTTCCTACAAGCATGTCACTTACTTTCTGTGTGCTTCAGTCTCTTCATCTGTAAAATAAGAATGTATAGCAGTACCCCACTTATTGTGACGTTAAATTAGTGAATATGTGCAGTATTTGCAAAATTAGAATGATACCTTTCACATACTAAGTGCTGTATATGGTGTTAGTTATCTTTTGGGTTTACGTGAACCCATAAAATGTTGCAAAAAGTTCACTAACCTATTTCAATTTTTTAAATCATGTGTCAGTGTTCACTCTCTGATTTTCTATTCTGTTCTGATAGTGATTGCACTGGAATTAGTGAGCAGTGACACTATGAACAGGACAGCTTTGTTCATTAGATATCATCATCTACAGCATTAGTGATAACATGTTATTATTTTTCCTATTACACTTCTGTCTATTCACTGTATTCTATTTAGCTCTTTTATTCTTAGCTTATATCCTTTTCAAAACCATGTTTTCTGTAGTTGCTTTTGAGACAATTCAGCCAGGACTCTCTTTCCCTTTTACTCATGGGAGAGTGAATTCTGCCATTCTTTTCAGCTCAAAATACCCTCTAAAGATTTACTGCTTTGCTCCCACTAATTTAAAGCAGAAGCGTTAGTTTTTTTTTTTTCCAAAAGTAGATGGGTCTTTAAGAAGATCATGCAAAGCTTGGGGGTCAACACAGTGCCATCTCTAATCATTGCAATATGAATATAATTTCTATCATTTTTAGTTAAAGTTTATGATAATTTATCAATGAATATCTTCTGTAGGTTCTCAAAGTCATGAATAAAATTTTCATCTAATACCAATTTTTGCTACATATTTCAAGAGTTGTAGGATTTATCAACTTGCTAGGGCATGTAGGCCTAGAGTTGAGATATAATTAAATGCATGTGATAGAAATCTAGAAGACATGAAACTGTGCTCCTAGAATTAAATATCTGAATAAAAAATGTTGTCTAATCCATGAAAATCAACAAAATTAAATAATTTTTAGAAAAATTGTAGCCTGTACATTAGAGATTAGAGAATACGATGTATATATATGCACAAGTGATTATCATAAACTTTATTTCATATCATATATACCTCCTTCATGTATACTACATGGTTAAATCTTGTTTTTCTCATACTGTCTCTAATATTGCATCATTAAATGTTTTTCTTACCGGTTAACATATAGCAGTACATATCATGTTTATACTCCCAACTGTGGCATCTATAATTATCTGGGCAAATAGTATTATTAACCATAATTTTTACCCCCTTGCCACAATGTGTGTGATCTCGTGTAAAAAAGTTGAGGGAGCAGATTAAAATCATCATCATCATCACTTATTCACTCATTCATTCAATCACTTTTGTTAAATACTTAAAAGGTATCAAGCACTTTTTTGACCACCTTTTTTAAACTAAGTGAATCTTCACATCCTCTATAAAATATTTACAAATGTTACTCCTATTTACATTTGTTGACTGTAAGACATGGGAGAGTAAATAAAGTTGCCCAAGGCCTTTGGGCCATTAAATAGTAAGCCAGGATTTAAATCCAAAGAGTTTGGCTCCAAAGTGAACAATGCCAGATTGCCATAATAGTCAATGGTGGGTAAGAATGTAATTCCTGTCTTGCAGAGCTTATAGATGTGCTACGCTGTGAGGGAAGGCAAGAAGTTTTCCATGTTTCCAGAACTTCCAAAGGACATCATATTCTTCCGAAATCTAATGTAAATTATAGATGCTAAAAGCACAATTTGGAAATTTTGGCTGTATTTTTACTTTGAAAGTATAAAGCATATTTGCATAAATTTGTACCGATTAATTTCTATAGGAAAATATATGTACTTTTCCATGAAATGATATAAAATTTTCTTCTCAGCGATTTAAATGTATAAAATTTACTCAGAAAAATATAACATTTAATATTTAGGTAAATATGCTGTCAGTCACTGTAATAATTAACCTTGCTGAGGAGATGGTTTTATGACAAATTCTACTTTTAAACTGTCTACCTTAAAAAAGGCATCTTGTATTCATAAGTGCTGGTTTTTGTATACTCCGACATCATGTTAATTTAGGGAACACATGTAGGTTGAGGTTGAAAAACATACTCCTTTTTAACTTGGAAAATAATTTAAATTTTATTTTAAACATTGATTACAATATTATGTAGTGCTTAAATTTTTATGTTAACATATAGCAGTTATATATAGGTCTTACTATTATAGGTCTTACTATTCTCTAAGCATTTATCTAGGCCTAGCAGGGCATGATTTTTTTCCTATTATTGAACGTAGGGCACTTGGTGACACACATAAAAATAATATGTTTATAGTCATTACTATGGTCTGAATGTTGGTATTTTCCCAAAATTCGTATATTGAAACTTAACCCACAAGGTGATGGTACTAAGAGTAGTGCATTTGAGTGGTGCTTAGTTTATGAGTATTCTACCCTTATGGATGGGAATAGTGTTTTTGTTAAAAGGCATGAGGGAGCGACTTTGTTCTTTACATTATTTTGTACATGTGATAACTCAGTGTTTGTTCCTTCTCCACCGTGAGGAAGACACAAAAAGCCATGCATGAGGAATGAGCCTTACTAGCATCCAGAAATGTGAGAAATAAATTTCTGTTGTTTATAAATTACCCAGTCTAAGGTATTTTGATATAGCAGCCTGAAGAGACTAAGATAAAAATATGCTGAGTTATTAGGTGACCCCAAATTAGAACTTCTACAGCTTAATTTACAGTTTTTTTATGAAATACCAAATTTTCAGTTTATATACTTTTATTTAATTATTATTGCCTCTCCATGTTCCAGAATGCACACATTTATGTAATATGGTTATATAAATAAAATCTGCATTCTTGAGAGCTTTACTTAAAATATTATTACTTGCTCATAAAATGTATAAGTGGCAATTGAATGGCTCCTGTCTACCTTACTAATTGTTTCTTGTTTTTGTTTTTTCAATTTTAGGTTCAAGGATACATCTGCAGGTTTGTTATATAGGTAAACTTGTGTCATGGGGGTTTGGTGTACAGATTATTTTATCAATCAGGTACTAAGCAAAATACTCAATAGCCATTTTTCTGATCCTCTCCCTCCTCCCACATTCCACCCTCAAGAAGGTCCCAGTGTCTGTTGTTTCCCTCTGTGTGTCCATGTGTTCTCCTCATTTAGCTCCTCCCATTTATAAGTGAGAAATTCAGTGCTTGGTTTTCTGTTCCTGCATTACTTTGCTAAGGATAATGACCTCCAACTCTATCCATGTTTTTGCAAAGAACATGATCTCATTGTTTTTTTATGGTTGTGTAGTATTCTGTGGTGTATATGTATCACATTTTGTGTATCCAGTCTACCATCGATGGGCATTTAGGTTGATTACATGTCTTTACTCTTGTGAATGGTGCTGTGAAGGCCACATGCAAGCAGGTGTCTTTAGGGTAGGACAATTTGTATTCTTTGGCTATGTAATCAATAGTGGGATTGCTGGGTTAAACATATAACTGCTTTTCACAATGGCTGAACAAATTTACATTTCCACTAACAGTGTTTAAGGGTTCCCTTTTCTCTTCAATTTCACCAGCATCTGTTATTTTTTGACTTTTTAATAGCCATTCTGATTGGCGTGAGATGTTGTCTCATATGGTTTTGATTTGCATTTCTCTAATGCTTAGTGATGTTGAGCATATTTTCATATGCTTGTTGGCTGCCTGTATGTCTTGTTTTGAAAAATATCTGTTCATGTCTTTGCCCACTTTTTAATAAGGTTGTTTGTTTTTACTTTGTTAATTTGTGGAGTCTTATAGATGCTGAATATTACACCATTGTCAGATGCATAGTTTACAAACATATTCTCCCATTATGTAGGTTTTCTATTTACTCTGTTGATAGTTTGTTTTTTGCTGTGCAGATGCTCTTTAGTTTAATTAGGTCCCACTTATCAATTGTTGGTTTTATTGCAATTGCTTTTGGTACCTTCATGATGAAATATTTGCCAGGGCCTATATCCAGAGTGGCATTTCCTAGGTTTCCTTCAAGGGTTTTGTAGTTTTCGCTATTACAGCTTTGTCTTTAGTTCATCTTGAGTTAATTTTCTTATATGATATAAGGAAGGGGTCCAGTTTCAATGCTTTGCATATGGCTCGCCAGTTATTCCAGCACCAGTTATTTAGTAGGAATTAATTCCCCATTGCTTTTTTTTGCCAATGTTGTTGAAGATCTGATTGTTGTAGATGTGTAGTTTTATTTCTGTGTTCTTTATTCTGTTCCATTAGTCTGTGTGTCTGTTTTTGTACCATTACCAGCCTGTTTTGGTTTCTGAAGCCTGGTAGTATAGTTTGAATTTGCATAATATGATGCCTCTGGCTTTGTTCTCTTTGCTTAGAATTGCTTTGACTATTCAGGTCCTTTTTTTTTTTTTTTTTTTTTTGGTTTCATGTAAATTTTAGAATACTTTTTCTCATTCTGTGAAGAATGTCTTGGTAATTTAACAGGAATAGAGTTGAATCTGTAAATTGCTTTGGGAGGCATGGCCATTTTAACAGTATTGATTCTTCCTATCTATGAGCATGGAATGTATTTTCGTTTGTTTGTGTCATCTCTAATTTCTTTGAGCACTGTTTTCTAATTCTCACTGTAGAGATCTTTCACCTCCCTGGTTAGCTGTATTCCTTTTAATTTTATTTTTTTTGCGGGTAATCAGAATGGGATTCCATTATTGATTTGGCTCTCAGCCTGAATATTCTTGGTGTATAAAAATGCTACTGATTTTTGTAGAAGGATTTTGTATCCTGAAACTTTGCTGAAGTTGTTTATCAAATCTAGTAGCTTTTGAGCAGAGACTATGGGGTTTTCTGTGTGTAGAATTATATTGCCTGCAAGCAGAGATAATTTCACTATCTTTCTTCTTGTTTGGATACCTTTCACTTATTTCTCTTGCCTAATTACTCCGTCTAGGACTTCCAGTACTATGTTGAATAGGAGTGGTGGCAGAGGATATCCTTGTCTTGTTCTGGTTCTCAAGAGGAATGCTTCCAGCTTTTGCCCATTCAATATGATGTTGGCTATGGGTTTGTCATAGATGGCTTCTATTATTTTGAGGTATGTTCCTTCAATGAGTAGTTTGTTGAGAGTTTTTAACATGAAGGGATGCTAAATTTTCAGGAAAGCTTTTTCTGCATCTATTGAGATGATTGTGAGGTTTTTGTTTATAGTTCTATTTATGTAATGCATCACATTTTTTGATTTGCATATCCTGAACTGACCTTGCATCCTAGGGATAAATCCTAGCCTATTGTGTCGATTTAGCTTTTTAATGTGCTGCTGGATTCAGTTTGCTAGTGTTCGTTGAAGATTTTTGTGTTTATGTTCATCAAGGATATTTACCTGAAGTTTTTTTTGTTTTGTCTCTGCCAGCTTTTGGTACCAGAATGTTGTTTACTTCATAGAATGCAGTAGGGAAGAGTCCCTCCTCCTCAATTTTTTGGAGTAGTTTAACTAAGAACACTGCCATCACTTCTTTAAATGTAGACTAGAATTTGGCTATATGTCTGTATCTATCTGATCCTGGGCTTTTTCTGTTTGGGAGGCTTTTTATTACTTATTTTATTTCAGAACTCATTATTAGTCTATTCAGGGCTTCCATTTATTCCTGGTTCAATCTTCTGAGGTTGTATGTTTCCATGAACTTATCCATTTTTTTTTTTTTTTTGGCAGGTTTTCTAGTTTGTGTGCATAGAGGTGTTTTATTCCTTATTTCTGTCTGGCTGGGTTAGCTCAGAAAACCAGTCTTCAAATTCTGCAATTCTTTCCTCACCTTGGTCTATTCTGTTGTAAATACTTGTGATTACATTCTAAAATTCTTGTAGTGAGTTTTTCAGCTCTGTCAGATTAGTTTGGTTCGTTCTTAAAATGGCCATTTTGTCTTTCAGCTCCTGCATCATTTTACTATATTCCTTAGATCCCTTGAATTGGCTTTTGACTTTCCTCTGAATCTTGATGATCTTTGTTTCTATCCATATTCTGAATTCTGTAATTTTATGCATATCAGCCTTGTTAAGAACCATTGCTGGGGAACTAGTACATTCATTTGGAGGTAAGAAGACAGTCTTGTTTTTTGATTTGCCAGAGTTCTTGCACTGGTTCTTTCTCATGTGTGTGGCTGATGCTCATTTAATCTTGGAGGCTGCTGTCCTTTGGATGGAGTTTTTTGCTCTAACTTCTTTGATGCCCTTGGAGGTTTGATTGTGGTATAAAGTGTGTTCAGTTTACTGGATTTGTTTCTGGAAGATTTTAGGGGGCCATGGCTCAGCTCAGTACACCTGGGCTCCCTGCTGTAACCCTTAGGTGCTTGTACTGGCCTGGCATTGTACTCTGGCCCCACAAGGTTAGAAACATGCTGCATTGGAGGGGCCGAGGTATTCCTGGTCTGCTAACCACAACACTCCAATTGCTCACACTGGCCAGTGTGTTACATTGATATAGTGGCAGCAGGATACATGCTAATGCATGGGTGCCAGCAGCCCTGGTGGTGTGACAGGGTGCAGACGAGTCAGTTGAGGCAGGGCCCCTGTGTGTGCAGATTGGCAACATGACCCTGGCAGGTGCAGAGCTGCAGGTGGGCTGGTGTGCATTAGTGGAGGCCAGTCTGCTGGAGCATTCCAGTGGTCAAGCACTGTCTGCCTGCAAAGTAGCTATAATGAGGGGTTCCAGGAAAGGCTGCACTGCCCATGGGCATGACTAGGGCGCCAGGAGAGGTTGGCAAACAGGGTATGCTCACACTGGACTGGCCCCATCCACAGAAAGACTGCTGTGCTCTGTTCAGATCAGACAGTCACCCAAAGTCTAAAGCCTCCTGGAGGAGCATAACAAGCCTTCAGGGATAGATATTCCTGGCCATGTTCTTCTGTAGCCATTCTGGTGCCAAACACCCTGGTCTTTGCAAAGGCTGGAATCCTTCCCCTACCACCTCTCTTAGCATCTCACCATGGCAGCTCAAGTGCCCATGGGGGTCATGGGTTTTCCTGCTGTTAGAATTCTCAATATCCATGGTAGCAACAGGCCACTCCTTACTTGTTCAACTCATCACTTCCCCAGGAGTCACTGGGTGCCAGCAATAAGTCCCAGTTTTAGGCAGCCCCATGCAGCGTTCCCAGTTTCCTCCTCCTTCAGCCCAGCATCTGTGTTTTCCCTCCATCCACTCTCAATGCCTTCCCTCAAGATCTGCTCAAAGTGTGCCAATCTTCCTGATGTTCCTGTCACTCGGTTGGAGATGTTCCTCCTGGCTGCATCAAGTCAGCCAGTTTCGCTCCCCTCTCCACCTTACTAGTGCTCTCAAAGGGTGATTACCTACACCGTATGATTTTAATGATCCTATTGAGGCTCTGAATCCAACTGACCTCCTCTCATCCATCACTAAAGAGTTATTTCTTTGAGCTTGATGAATAGTCTTTCCATTTACATAAATGCTGTCTATATGAAATGTATGGATTTATATAAATTAAACTTGTGAATTATTTCACTGATTTGAGTCTATTGATTCAAACTAATCTTATGAGAGACATGAAAAAAATAGTTCTTTTTGGTAGCTACTGACTGAGAAGGGGCAGTAGGGAATTTTCAGGGGGTCTGGAGAAGACTACACAAAGATCAAGGCAGAGATTGGGATGGTGTGGCCACAAGCGGAGAAAGTCAAGGAATGCTGACAACTACCAGAAGTGGGAATAGCCAAGGAAGCATCTGTCCCTAGATTCTTCATGAGGAATGAGGGTTAGACTTTAGATTTATGACTTTCAAAATTACGAGAAAAAAAGAAATTTTGTTGTTTTATGCCACCTAGCTTTTGGTGATTCATCATAGAAACCACAGGAAACTAATTCACCCAGTTAAAACTTCTTACCCTCTTCTGGCCTTCCTGACATTCTTGATTATGTTTTTGCTGAGATTATACTGCAGTTCATAAAGACAGTCCTTTTGCTCTTATCTCAAAATCACATGGATTTTCCTAAGTACCATCACACACATCTTTTCTGCTGTCTAGTAATTATGGTGATCTAAATTGTAAATCCATGACCACAGAAACATAAGTAAAACAGAAGTTCAGCATGCAGGGAGATACTGAAAGAAATAGTGAAGGGAAAAGAGAGAGAAGGAGCAGTTAAAAAGGACCTTCAAATAGGCCAGAGTCATGATTTCTTAGAGGGCTAAAAAGGAGAGGAGAGAGAAAATAGTTGGAATTCAGTGCCAAACATGTTAAAGAACATGGAATTAGAGAGACATGGATTCAAATCTCAGCTCTAAATTTTAATATAATAATATTGGGCACCTTTCCCAATTTTTAAACTAAATAAGAAACAAAAGTTAAATAGTCAATACAATTATTGATACAAAGAGTTTTTAATAAAAATTAACATTACTATTTTCTTTTGCTTATTATTATCATTCTTCTGTATTACTTGAATAAAGGAGGTTTCCTCTGGTTCTGTCCATAAACCTCAAAAATAAATACTCATGAAGTAGAATTTAGTATAATAAAGTTCTTATCTAGCATGCTCAAATGAGATTTACTCATAAGTGCTAGTCTGAAAATAGTCCCATGTTCATTAATGAAACCTCCCAAGGCAATTATTTATTTTAATATAATATAATATGAATTTGCATTAAAGATCTAAATTTGAACTCAGGCATATCATGTAGAGTTAAAAGGGAAATACTCTTTTCTGGTTGCTAAGTAACAATTTTTGGGAGAAGTGGTCAAAGGGTAATAGGGCTCATGAAGAACTGCATATTTCAGGGTTCTTGTGTTCTAAAATTTGTGGATCTTATATACTTCTATTAGTCATTTTTCTCAGATTTCCCTATAATTTTATTTTTATAATTTTTTATCCAGTTACGCCTTGATGCACTAGAGTTACTTTGTCCAATTTGTATATACTTTTAAATCTTTTGTTTTATCTGATGAATGATTAAAATATCATGAGAATGTATGAAGAATTATCCTCCATAATTATTTTTATTTCCTAGATATAAAAAAGAAAAACACTATTGTATGTGTGTGTGTATTGGAGATAATTTTTTCCAATTACTTGAAAATGAGCTAAGGCTATTTTAATTGTCAGCTCAGGGTATTTTTTTGATATAACACTAAAAATGCTAAAATGCATAGTTTTACTTTAATGAGAAATAATTTATTTCATACTTGTTCTCATTTGTGTTAATGGGGATTACATGAACAAAACACTGTACATTCAGATAATAATGCATTCTTTATTATTTACTTTAAGAGAGGAAGTTTTCCACAAGCAGTTTCTCAAAACATTTGAGTTAATTAAGTGAAATAGTTGCAATATCACATAAACAACTATATGGCTAGCAAGAAATATTACTTTCCCTTCAAATGACAATCCCAAATACATCCGCATTTTAAGGTGATATTATTGTTTTGTTTTTTGATGTTGCCTGTCATGTCCTGCAGGTGTCTGTTGTCTTATCCTTTCCCTCCAGGTCTTGTGGAAAATGATAGTACATTATTATATTTGTTATGGTAACAATATACACTATAATATATATGTAATAAAATAAATGGCTGAAATCAGTGTTTAAAAAACACAATTTCTTAGGTGACATTCCAAGATAGGCGAGCAGCATTCTGTTCCACATAGTTTTTGGAGTTCCAGAATGCAAAGGATGTGCCATATGGAGAAAAACAACTTCCAAAATTGCCCTGGGTTTTGACATTCAGTCTGAAATGATAAAGTGTGAAGTCACATTTCCTTCTTAAATTCTGGTTTGAAATTTATATATTTCACTCTGCTGCCATTTTATGGGCTAGAATGAGTCACACAGTCCTATTTTGCCAGCTTGGGGAAAGCTGGGAAATGTGATTCCAACTGAGTAAGGCTTCCCCCAAATTTGGTACTGTGAAGGCTAAGCATGAACCTACCACAGCTGTCCTCTAAGGACAAAATATCCATGGACTTATTTTTCCAAACGCACAGAACACAGCTCTGATGGATTTTCATTCTTCTTAACCCTGCTCCATATTCTGCCATTTCAGTCACTAATTTTTTAAAACTATTTTACTTTCATGTTTAAACTTTAATTTTGAGATAACTGTATATTTATATATAAGTGTAAGAAATAATATGGAGGTTCCATGACCACTTTATCAAATTCTCTCCAGTATTATTATTTTTTAATTATTTGTAATTTTTATAGATTACAGGTACATGTGAAGATTTCTTACCTGCATATATTGTGTAGTAATGGATTCTGGGCTTTCAGTGTACCCAGCCCCTGAATAGTAAACATTGTACCCAATAGGTAGTTTTTCAACCCTCACCCTCCTCCCACCCTTTCACCTTTTCTAGTCTCCAATGTCTATTATTCCACTCTATATGTCCATGTGTACTCTTGTTTAGCTCCCACTTATAAGTGAGAACATGAGAACATGCAGTATTTGACTTTCTGTTTCTCAGTTATTTCACTTAGGATAATGGCCTCCAGTTCCATCTTCAATGGTAATATTTTACAAAACATACAGCCAAGATATTGACATTAATACAGTTACAATAAAAAAATTTCCATCATTATAACTTTTCTTTATGCTACTTTTATAAGCTACACCCACTTCTTTACCTCTGTATCTTTTCTTTAAATTCCAGTAACCAGAAATCTGTTCCTCATTGTCTTTTTTTTATTTTATTTTAAGAATGCTGTATAGATGGAATCATACTGATGTAATCTTTTGGCATTGGCTTCTTGTGCTTTTCACTCAGAATTATTCTCTGGTGATTCATCCTGGTTGTTGTATGTATAAAGAGTTTGTTACTTTTTATTGCTGAATAGTATTTCATGGTATGGTGGTATGATGGAAAATATCAGTTACATCAGAACCTTTCATTATGTACTGGTGGGAAAGAAAAATGGTCCAGTCACTTTAAAAAAATAAAATCATTTGCAATTTTTTTCAACCAAGCAAAACATTGTTTTACCTTATGTTTCAGCAGTCATTCTCCTACATATTTACTCAATTGGTTTGAAAGTCATGTCCTCACAAAAACTTGCATGCAAATATTTATAGTAGTTTTATTCATAATTAGGAAAAAGCTGTTATTAACCAAAATGCCCTTCAATAAGTGAATGAATAAATTGTAGTGCATCAATAAATGGAATTATATTCAGAGGTAGAAAGGAATTATCTATAAATCTATGCAAAGACTTGGATGAATCTAAATGCATATTGCTAAGTGAAAGAAGAAGCCAGACTGAAAAGGCTACATACTATACGATTTCAATTATGTGATTTCAATTATGTGACATTCTGGGAAAGCAAAGCAACAGAGATTATAAAGAGGTCAGTTGTTGCAAGGGTTTAGCAGGGGATGGGGGCTGAGTATGTAATGCACAGAAAATTTTTAGGGTAGTTAAACTATTCAGTAAGATTCAATACTGGTTGCTACACGTTAAAACCTATAGAATTTACAGCAGAAAGAGAGAAATGTAATGTGTATTAATTAAACAACAGCAATAACAACAACAACAAACATTTAGGAGGATAGTTGTTCACAGAACAAAAAGTAGAATGTGACAAAACAATTTAATAGCATTAAAATGCACAAAACAATCTTATGTAATTGGGTGGGGGAAAAGTACTGGTCTAAGTAACTTTGGAAAGGAGTGGCATCTATATGATCAAAGAAAAAAAGAGCTGTATTTAAGCACTGGTGTTTAGTTGATAAAGTTGTTTCCCATAGGGGTATAGGTTAATAATTATGAATCTACTATGCATGTATATTGGAAATAAATAATTAAATAAATTATGAATAAACAAGAGAAAAAGGCTAGAATGACCCATGTGGTAATCTATTAGATTTTGAAACAACAGTATGAACTCATGTTTAACTTTATATAGATACAGACAGACACATATAGAATATTTATAAATGTGTATGTGCATGTGTGCATATATGTGTCAGAATACACATGTATATTTTCTTGTTCTGACAACTGAAAGAGCCTAGAAGTAGTAAGCCCTAGTAACAACATAACAACATGCACATTTGGTGTCCAGATTCTATTTCATATACATATATATACTATATATATTTATAGAGATTTTTATATAGAGATATATATGTTCAGCATTCAGGATATATAGAATATATATGTGTATATGTATGTGTATTTTATATTACCTATTATATATTTCTCTATGTATTTTTAGATATTTTTATATTATCCAGGGGAAAAATGAAACAAAACAAGAATCCTAAGGCAAATGGCTGATTCTAGGACTGAAGCAGAAAGGTACTGCTAAAACACACACAGACACAGACACACACACACACATACACACACACATACTCATAATAATGAAAGCATTTCAGAGACAAAGCAGTCAAATAGTATTTTCAGATACTCGTATTCTGAAAATACGAAGGAGGCTATTCATATTTTCTTACTCCTTAAAAATGGGTGGCTTGGAGGTGTTAACAAAAATAATAAACTCTGTAAAATATTTAAAGATGTTTATTCTGAACCAAATACAAGTGACTTTGGCCCAGGGCACCGTCCCAAGAGGTCTTGAGAACACGTTTCCAAGGTGTTACAGCTTTGTTTTACACATTTTAGGGGGATAGAAGTTACAGGCAAAGACATAAATCAACACATATAAGATATACTTTGATTCAGCCTGGAAAGGCAGGGCATCTCAAAGCATGATTTGGGGGCTTATAAGTCATAGGCGGATTTGAAGATTTTCTGATTGACAATTGGTTGAAAGAGTTAAGCTTTGCCTAAAGAGTTGAAGTCAGTAGAAACAAATGTTTGGGTTTAGGTAGAGGGGTTTTTGAAAGCCAAGGTTCTTGTTATGTAGATGAAGACTCTAAGTAGCAGGTATCAGAGGGAATAGAGGGTAAATGTGTCTTTTTGGACCTTAGGAACTTACAAGGTGTCAGACTCTTAGTTACATCTCTCTTGGATCTCGAAAAGACCTAGAATGGGAAGGAGAGTCTCTACAAAATGCAAATTTTTGCTACAAGAGATAACTGTGCAGGGCCATTTCAAAATATGTCAAATAAATATATTTTGGGGTAAAACACCTTGATTTTCTTCAGAGCCTGTTATCTGTCATATGATGCTATACCAAAGTCAGGTTAGAATTTGGTATATTATTGATATGAAGAGTCTGTTTTGTCAGTCTCATGATCTTTATTTTAATGTTAATGCTGGCCAGTTGTGTCTAAACCCCAAAGGGCAAGAGTTAAAATGAGGCAAGTCCAGCCTACCTTTCTGTCATGGCCTCATCTACTTCCTGAAGTTTCTTTGTGACCCCATCTGTCAAGAGGGGCATCCACTCAATCTGTTGGGGGACACAGACTCTTATTTTTGGTTTACATAGGCTACTCTCTAAAGAGTACTGTATGGAATTGAAGAAAAAAATAAACAACACTAATTTTAAAGTGGAGAAATTTGATAAACACTACCTGAGCTAGTGACTGAGATTAACTTCAATAGTAATAAGTCACATTATGGTATGTTTCCTTAATAAGATGTGATGTGTGAGAATGGCACTTTACTTCTGTGGTGTTCTTCCCCAGAACCCTTTACCCTAGTCTAAGAAAATTGTCAAACAAATCAAAATTGAGGAACATTCTACAAAACACCTGACCAGTATGCCTCAAAACTGTTAAGATCATGCAAAACAAGGAAAGTCTGATAAATTGTCATGGCCAAGAGAAGACTAAGGACATGACCGCTAACTGTAATGTGGCTATCTGGATACGATCCTGGAAAAGAAAAGAACATTAGATAACAACTAAGGAAATATGGAGACAATATAAACTTTATTTAACAATAGTATTAATATTGGTTTATGATGAGAAATGTATCATACTAATATAAAACTTTAATGATAGAAAAAACTGAGATTGAGTTCTGTTAGAATGCTAAAATTTTTACTACTTTTATGTAAATCTAAAACTATTCTAAAATTGCTTTTAAAAATTCTTAAAATTGTGTTTCATTTTAATTAGTTCTGAGTGACATCATCTGGAAAATTATTGCTGGCCTGAACTGAATTGCTTTCCAATGAACAATGGGACATTCTTTAATCAAATGTATACAGACCAGTGATTCATTTTGTTCTATCTAAAGTAGTTTAAATTATTAATTAAGACAACGATTATGAACTCCTCCTTTCTAGCATTTAATTTTTCCTGATGTTTCCCCTTCAGAGAATGGTTATGTTTATTTCTTTTTCGGTATTTGTTGTTTTATTTGTAATTGATATACTCTTCTTCATTGTTTTCTTAATTTTTCTCTGTTAGTGTTTATCCTTTGACATCCCTTTGTCTCTTTTATTTAATCAGCCACTATTTACTTTTATTGTGCAATGCAACAAGTGCAGAATGTATTCATATATTGGATTATTATTAAATATTACAATGGAGTAATAACATACCTTTTCTTTTTTTTTTCTTTTTTTTTTGAGACGGAGTTTGCTCTGTTGCCCAGGCTGGAGTGCAGTGGCACGATCTCAGCTCACAGCAAACTCCACCTCCCAGGTTCAAGCGGTTCTCCTGCCTCAGCCTTCCTAGTAGCTGGGATTACAGGCATGAGCCACCACACCCGGCTAATTTTTGTATTTTTAGTAGAGACGGGGTTTTGCCAATGTTGGCCAGGCTGGTCTCAAACTCCTGACCTCAAGTGATCTGCCCACCTCGGCCTCCCAAAGTGCTGGGATTACAGGCGTGAGCCACTGCGCTCAGCCTACCTTTTCTTAATCTGTCTTAAATTCACAAAGAAAATTAATATAAAGTAGGGAATGTTATCTTCAGTGGTCTCTTCGATGGTCAAAATTTGCATGTTTCTTCAATTAGTGCTATGTACTGTGGATTAAATATTATTAATATCTTGTAATAACCTATCTTAAACCCTCATTTGATGTAAATGAACCCAGTTCTGTTGAGGAAGTTCTGACATTGTTTTGAAAGAATTACATTTTCCTGGCAAGTGACAGCTGCCTCTCTTACCAAACACCCTACAATCTCTTTTATTTCTGAAGCCTATCAAGATTAGAACATTTTACAGTTCTTTTTCAGTAATGATCTATATCTTGGCTTCAGCTAACATCCTAGTAGGAGAGAAATGACCTTAGGTAAAATTGTGTTGTGAGCCATTTACTTTGCTGCTGTCCTATTTTTCTGTGCACAGGTATCAAAGTGGTTCCAAGTATACATTTTAAAGACAGATAAAATAAGGCTAAAATCCTGACCATGACAAAAATAAATTATTGAATATTGTATTTGTGGAAGCTACTTCTCTGTCCCTCAAATATGTAACTATAAAATAGGAAAAATAATTTCTATCTAATAGCTTCTCATGTGAGCATTAAATTTGATAATTTGTGTAAAGCATCAGAAGAGTGCCTCTGGACATCACAGACACTCAAAAAATAGCAGCAATCTTAGCTACAGGAATCTTCAATATAATGCCATACAAATGTTCTGATGAAATCTCCTACTAAGCCATTATAGGCTATTCACACTCTTAAATTCATTCACTTGTTCCTATGGCACAGGTAGTGAGAAATAGAGTTATATATAAAACTTTAACAAGTTTCACATGTAAAGCAAGACCTTGGTAAAGGGCTGCTTTGTAATGGGGATCATCAATGACTTACAGCATACAAATTCAGGAGAGAATAATGAGGATATGTCATATAACGTTCATAGAGTACAACACTGTAGACTTGACTGTGCTAACTTACCTATAATTGGATTCAGATATTCTAGGGCATATTTAACATGTGTTGGGGAGAGGTGAGAGGTGGAAGCAGAGAAGTCATGTATGTTTAACATCAGACTTGGCTGAGGCTGAGAATAAAAACTAAAGAAATGATAAAAGTTTTAATAATATATAAATTATAGGTCCAAAATAATATAACATCAATTTTGAATAATAGGCAACAGTGTTCTTGCTCAAAATTTTGTCTGTGTCACTTGACATTATTTTGGTTAGTATTCACATTTTTATATGTCATTTCATTTTATTATCAGTTATTAGAAACAAGGTCTTAACATGCTAAATCCTAATAACTTTTCAGCTCTCTACAAACATCTTTGCCTGAATGTATAAGCAATATTTTTCTTTCTTTGCTTATCCTTGTTCTTATTATATTACCTCACAATTTTTGTGTGTTAGATCATTATTTAAAATAATTATAACTAAGCTTTCTCCTGTTTAAATCTAGTCAAATAATTCAATATATTCTATTTTTACTTTTTTATGGACTTACCAGTAGCCTGAATTTCCTATTAATTGCATATTTTGTTATCTCGTGTCATATTCCTTGTCCTCAGTCATTAACGGTTAAATTGTCTAAATTTAGATCACTATCTGAGTAACCTCTCTCTCAGATGCTATCCATTTTAAAGCATATTTTCTGCCTGAAGCCCTTTACCATCTCAACTTTTCCTAGATTGTTTTCAGTGCTCATTCTATGATGTACACTTCCTGATCCTGTGAATTAGGCTTTTGTGTGCTGTACCGTGTTCAAAGTGTTCTCAATCCAAAGGCAGATTAGTCCTTAGATTTCTCCTGCTGATTCTTTATGCTCTGTCTTCAAAAGTTGTCAGATTTATTAGGCTCTGTACATGCCTTTTGAGATTCCAAACTGTGACTATATTTAATCAGCCTTTTTTCTTATTAAGAGCTCTGTGACTGTGGCTATAACTGGCATTTCTACAATTCTCTCCTTCAAAAATTCCTTTACATTTTAAATGACCTATCAGTGATAAATTGTTATAGCATAATGGATTCTAATTTTCCCTTCTCCAATATGAAAATGGTGGGTTTGGTCAAGGGTGATTATCCTGAAGGGAAAAAAACTGAGGAGAGAAATGTGGACTTATCATGAGTGACGAGAGAGAGAATCCTGGGAAGATCGATGTTGTCCTGAATCCACTTCTTAGGGCAACAAGACATCTGGGAGAGATTTGAAGCTGTGTCCTCAAGAGAGGCAAGACAAGATTCGCAAATAAGGCAGAGCTGAAGCTTGGACAACTGGCCAAAGATTCATAAGCACTTAAGAAAGTGGGTTTCCAGACTCTTTCAAGAATATTTTCTAGCTCCTAGTTTCACTCGTGTCTGTGTGAAGAGACTACTAAACAGGCTTTGTGTGAGCAATAAAGCTGTTTATTTCACCTGGGTGCAAGTGGGCTAGTCCGAAAAGAGAGTCAGCGAAGGGAGATAGGGGTGGGGCTATTTTATAGGATTTGGGTAGGTAAAGGAAAATTACAGTCAAAAGGGGGTTGTTCTCTGGCAGGCAGAGTGGGGGTCACAAGGTGCTCAGTAGGGGAGCTTTTGAGCCAGGACGAGCCAGGAGAAGGAATTTCACAAGACAACATCATCAGTTAAGGCAGGAACAGGCCATTTTCACTTCTTTTGTGGTGGAATGTCATCAGTTAAGGCAGGAACCGGCCATCTGGATGTGTACATGCAGGTCACAGGGGATATGATGGCTTAGCTTGGGCTCAGAGGCCTGACATTCCATCTTCTTATATTAATAAGAAAAATAAAATGAAATAGTGGTAAAGTGTTGGGACGGTGAAATTTTTTGGGGGTGATATGGAGAGATAATGGGCGATGTTTCTCAGGGCTGCTTTGAGCGGGATTAGAGGGGGGTGGGAACTTAGAGTGGTAGAGATTAAGCTGAAGGGAGATTTTGTGGTAAGGGGTGACATTGTGGGACTGTTAGAAGAAACATTTGTCATTTAGAATTATTGGTGATGGCCTGGATACGGTTTTGTATGAATTGAAAAACTAAACGGAATAAGAGAAGGAGAAAAACAGGTATTAAAGGTCTAAGAATTGGGAGGACCTAGGACATCTAATTAGAGTGCCTAAGGAGATTTAGCATAGTCCTGTCAGGAAAGATTATTTATTTACTTCAAGAGTTAAGAGTGGCAGTTTGGGGATAGCACCAGGAGATATCAGCTGTGATGGCTTGGAGAAACAGTGTAAACCGGCAGTGTAAACAAGAGCAGGGCATGTATGAGTAGTTGAGAACAGTGAATAAGAGTATGACTAGACAGAAGATAGTAGGGATGACAAGTTTTTTGGGGCACAGTCTAAGTTGGTCTGGTGTCTGGAATGAGACTGAGGCCTAATAAAAAGGAGCATCTATACAGGAGCTTAAATGGGCTGTACCTTGTAGCATTCTGAGGACAGGTCTGACTTCTGAGTAAAAGTATTGTCCAGTGTTTTTTAAGTTGGTGGCTGAGCTTGGTGAGGTGTGTTTTTAAAAGACCTGTAGTCTGTTCTACTTTTCCTGAAGATGGAGGACCGTAAGGGATATAAAGGTTTCACTGAATACTAAGAGCCTGAAAAACTTCTTGGCTGATTTGACTAATAAAGGCTGGTCTGTTATCAGACTGTGTAGAGGTGGGAAGGCCAAACTGAGGAATTATGTCTGACAGAAGGGAAGAAATGACTGCAGTGGCCTTCTCAGACCCTGTAGGAAAGGCCTGTACTTATCCAGTGAAAGTGTCTACCTAGACTAAGAGGTATTTTAGTTATCTGACTCGGGGCATGTTGAGTAAAGCTAATATGCCAGTCCTGGGTGGGGGCAAATCCTCAAGCTTGATGTGTAGGGAAGGGAGGGGGCCTGAATAATCCTTGAGGAGTAGTAGAATAGCAGATGGAACACTGAGAAGTTATTTCCTTGAGGATAGATTTCTATGATGGAAAGAAAATGAGAGGTTCTAAGAGGTGGGCTAGTGGCTTGTACTATAGCATAGCCTGCCTTTGCTGGTGTGTGGCGATTAGGCCTGGTGGAACTGCCATCAATAAATCAAGCGTGATCAGGGTGAGGAACAGGAAAGAAGGAAATATGGGGAAATGAGATGAATGTCAGGTGGATCAGAGAGATACGGTCATGGGGGTCAGGTGTGGTATCAGGAATAATGTGGGAGGCCGGATTGAAGTCCGGGCCAGGAACAATGGTAATTGTGGGACTTAACAAAGAGTGAGTACAGCTGAAGGAGCCAGGGAGCAGAAAGTATATGCGTCAGGTATGAGGAAGAAAATAGATTTTGGAAGTTATGAGAAATGTAGAGAGTGAGTTGAGCATAGTTTGTGATTTTGAGGGCCTCTAAAAGTATTAAAGCAGTGGCAGCCGCTGCACGCAGACATGAGGGCTAGGCTAAAATAGTAAGGTCAAGTTGTTTGGACAGAAAGGCTACAGGGTGCGGTCCTGGCTCTTGTATAAGAATTCTGATCGCACTAACCATGCCTAGGAAGGAAAGGAGTTGAAGTTTGGGAGATTAATCGGACACAATTAGCAGGGAGAGCACGTGTGTTTTTATGAGAATTATGCCAAGATAGGTAACAGATGAGGATGAAAGTTGGGCTTGACTGAACTAATGGGGGCTATCTGCGAACGCTTGCGGCAGTACAGCCTAGGTAATTTGCTGAGCCTAATGGGTGTTAGGGTCAGTCTAAGTGAAAGCGAAGAAAGTCTGGGATGAAGGGTGCAATAAAGAAAACATGTTTGAGATCTAGAACAGAATAATGGGTTGTGGAGGGAGGTATTGAGGATAGGAGAGTATATGGGTTTGGCACCACAGGGTGGATAGGCAAAACAATTTGGTTGATAAGGCACAGATTCTGAACTAACCTGTATGCCTTGTCTGATTTTAGGACAGATAAAATGGGGGAATGGTAAGAAGAGTGTATAGGCTTTAAAAGGCCATGCTGTAACAGGCAAGTGATAACAGGCTTTAATCTTTTCAAAGCGTGCTGTAGGATGGGATATTGACATTGAGCGGGGTAAGGGTGATTAGGTTTTAATAGGATGGTAAGGGGTGCATGATCGGTCGCTAAGGAGGGAGTAGAGGTGTCTTATACTTGTGGGTTAAGGTGGGGAGATACAAGGGGAGGATGTGAAGGAGGCTTTGAACTGGGGAAAAAGGCGGCAATGAGGTGTGGCTGTAATCCAGGAACAGTCAGGAAAGCAGATAACTTAGTTAAACTGTCTTGGCCTAATAAGGGACCTGGGCAGGTGGGGATAATTAAAAAGGAGTGCTTAAAAGAGTATTGGCTAATTTGGCACCAGAGTTTGGGGATGGTTAAGAGGTTTAGAAGCCTGGCCGTCAATACGCACAACAGTTATGGAAGCAAGGGAAACAGGCCTTTGAAAATAAGGTAATGTGGAGTGAGTAGCTTCTGTATTAAGAAGGGGATGGACTTAATTTCTACTGTGTGAGAGTTACTTAGAGCGTCTGTGATGGTCTTGTAGGCTTCTGAGGTGATCGGGCAGTGTCAGTCCTCACCTGCTAAGCCGAGGAGATCTGGGAAGGGTCAGTCAGAGAGCCTTGGGCCAGAGTTCTAGGGGCTCTGGAAGTGGCTGCCAGGTGAGTTGAACAGTCCAGTTTTCAGTGGGGTCCTGCACAGATGGGACACGCGGCTTAGGAGGAATCCTGGGCTGCAGGCATTCCTTGGCCTGGTGGCGAGATTTCTGGCACTTGTAGCAAGCTCCTCGGGGAGGAGGTTCTGGAGGAACCCCTGGCAGCTGCGGTTCAGGCGTTTGGAGTTCTTGTGTGCTGGAGATGTGGCTGGGGTTTGTCTCACAGTGGAGGCAAAGGATTGCAACTCAGAAATATGTTGCTACTTGGCTGCCTCTACTCTATTATTGTACCCCTTGAAGGTGAGGTTAATTACGTCCTGTTGTGGGGTTTGAGGGCCGGAATTTAATTTTTGGAGTTTTATTTAATGTCGGGTAATTGGGTAATAAAGTGTATTTTGAGAATAAGACGGCCTTTTGACCTTTTAGGGTCTAGGGCTGTAAAGCGTCTCAGGGTTGTGCCGAACGAGCCATGAACTGGGCTGGGTTTTTCATATTTGATGAAAGAGCCTAAACGCTCACTGATTTGGGAGAGGTCTGATAAAGAAAAAGGAGTGTTAACCATGACTATGCCTTTAGCCTCAGCCACCTTTTTAAGAGGAAATTGCTGGGCAGGTGGGGGAGGGCTACTCATGGAATGAAACTGTAAACGGGACCGGGTGTGAGGAGGGGAGGTGATAAAAAGATTATAGGATGGAGGAGCGAAGGCTGAGGAAGAATTGGGACTTAGCTTGGCCTGGCGAGGAGCAGCCCGGGGAGGAGGGGCGAGGTCAGATGTGTCTGTAGAAAAGGAAGATTAGAAAGACTTAGCAACACTTGGGGTTGGGACTGAGGGGACAGGTGGGAGGGAAAGAAGGAAGATTGGGACAAGTTGCATTGGGCACAGAGACTAGGAAGGGATTGATGTGTAAAAGAATGCCTGGACGTCAGGCACCTCAGACCGTTTGCCTATTTTACGACAAGAATTATTTAGATCTTGCAGGATGGAAAAATTGAAAGTGCCGTTTTCTGGCTATTTGGAACTACTGTCGAGTTTGTATTGGGGTCAAGCGGCATTGCAGAAGAAAATAAGATGCTTAGATTTTAGGTCAGGTGAGAGTTGAAGAGGTTTTAAGTTCTTAAGAACACAGGCTAAGGGAGAAGAAGGAGGAATGGAAGGTGGAAGCTTTCCCATAGTGAAGGAGGCAAGCCCAGAGAAAAGAGTAGAGACACGGAGAAGGGGTGGGGGGGTTCTTGCTCTCTAGAAAAGCAGAGAAGGGGTAGGGGCACAGAGATACGAGGTCGGGGCATGGAAATAAGGGATCAGGGTGCAGAGATATAAGAGGTTGGGGCATGGAAATAAGGGATCAGGGTGCAGAGATATAAGAGGTTGGGGCGTGGAAATAAGGGATCGGGGTGCAGAGATACGAGGTTGGGGTACTTGCCCCTCCTCCAGAAAAGCGGGACTTGCCGCTAAGGGCAAAGGACTAAGGCAGGCATCCCTGCTTGGTCTGATACCTCTGAAACGTGGGTTAATAATCAGAGAGGTGTCCCTGCAATGATTAAACACCAACGGAAGGCTGCCTTCCTTAGTCCGTGACTGGCACTGGAGTTTTGGGTCCACAGATAAAACGTGTCTCCTTTGTCTCTACCAGAAAATGAAAGGAATTGAAATTAAGAGAAGGGAGAGATTGAAGTGTGGCACCAAGTTTCATGCGCGTCTGTGTGAAGAGACCACCAAACAGGCTTTGTGTGAGCAACATGGCTGTTTATTTCACCTGGGTGCAGGTGGGCTGAGTCCGAAAAGAGAGTCAGCGAAGAGAGATGGGGTGGGGCCGTTTTATAGGATTTGGGTAGGTAAAGGAAAAAGGGGGGTTGTTCTCTGGCGGGCAGGAGTGGGGGGTCACAAGGTACTCGATGGGGGGGCTTTTGAGCCAGGATGAGCCAGGAGAAGGAATTTCACAAGACAATGTCATCAGTTAAGGCAGGAACAGGCCATTTTCACTTCTTTTGTGGTGGAATATCATCAGTTAAGGCAGGAACCGGCCATCTGGATGTGTATGTCCAGGTCACAGGGAATATGATGGCTTAGCTTGGGCTCAGAGGCCTGACACCTAGTCAAATAGATCTTATATTAACTTATCTGTTTTCGTCCGTAGGTAATTTAGTTATTTCCTAATCAGTTCCATTGTGAGTTGGGCTCAAGAAAATCTTGTGACCCAATGTCTTTCTGATTAAAATAATGTGATTGCTGTGGGGCTATGAAGATAAAGACTCTGTTTACAGGGAGACAGTTTTTCTCAGAAGGTTGAGATCCATAACTGCATCTACTACTTCAGGGAAAAATGTAGAAACTTATTTCACACCAGAAAGAAGACAAATTTCTTGGTCTTGAGCCCAGAGGCTTCAGAATGTTGAAGGCAGTGGATTTATTAATGTTGAAGGTGATGGACTCTTGAAGTGTGTAATGTGACGTACCCCTTTACCCCCACCCTCTCAGCCTGGCCCTCAGATGAGATCAATCAGAAGATGAGAAAAAAAAAAACTCCAGGTAAGTTGCCTCTGGGGTTCTGCCAGACCTTGGGTTTGGTAGAGAAAGGCTTCTAAACTTTGAGACAAGTCAGCTCTAGGGAGGGTCAGAATGAAAATTTTAAAGTAAGCAATCACTATTCTTGAAAAATTCATTTTTAGTGCTTATTTCTTTCAAGAGAATGCAGTCGGGTTCAAGTTATATCAGAGTAGAAAAGTGGGAAGACTCTAATCTGGCATTTACTGATTTGGAGATACATAAGTGAATATATATATATATATATATATATATATATATATAAAATAAAATGTATCTCTATATAAATTATACACACATACATATATCTAATATATATGCATACACACATAAACATATAACTATACAGATATAGATATGTACACAAATGGATATATACACACAAATTGATATATATATATATAAACACACACATATGGAGATATATATACATACACACATATCTATATAGATATAGATATGGACACAAATGGATATATATATATATATATATATATATATATATATATATACACCTACACAAACTGATATACATATATATGCACAAATGGATGTGTATGTACACACATCTATATAGATACAGATATGGACACAAATGGATATATATAGAGAGAGAAAGATATAAGTTTATGTATGTATGTATAGATAGATAGATAGATATAAGAGTATGTCTTATCTATCTGCCTATCTATCTAATCTGCTCTTCATTTAAGTAACACTGATGGGGAATTAATTGACTAATTGGGGCCAATTTGACCCAAGGGAAAATTTAACCAGGTGGAAGTAGTTTTTCCTCTATTTTAAATACTAAAAAGTAAATGTTCTTTTTTATTAAAACATGGTGCCTACAGTTTATCGTGTCATGTTCAATAGAAAAGAGCAGCAATAGTATCTCATAAGAACAGATATAGATACCCATTTTTTAGTTTTCTCCTGCATTCTTCCCTTGATCAAGACATATATGGAATTTTAGGGTGTGTGTGTGTGTGTTTTAGAGTAATTCAGAAAATTTTAAAGTAATTTCTTCTCCAGGTCTTCAAAATAATATCATGAAGCTATTAAATTATAGAAGTGATTAAGCTTTAATATAATCAGAAATATTTCTGCTTCCACTATATTTTGTAAGCAACCAACAATAAAAATTATAATTTATATATGTATAGAATAATTATGAGAGTTTGATTTAGTGTATTTGCAAAAAATATATAATTATTACTTTTGCTTAGTTCAACTAGTAGTTTTTGAGCCAACTGTTTTGTGATACCAGAGATAATGACCTTACAATTGGGCCTTGTCCCCTCAATATTAAAACAATTTTTAAATACCTGTAATATAGTTTGAACATTGGAAATTACAATTGATTATATATTCCAAGTTAGGGTATATTTAGCAAAGATTTATATTCTGGAGCAATGTTCTTATCACAGAAACACATTTTGAATACACCTTTTGGATAATTATTTGTGAAAATCAAATAATTAGGAGACTTCTGAGTTCTCTTCTATCCAGGTTTAGCACTTGGAGGATAAAGGTAACTTTGAATCAGTTCCTTGGAAACTGTCATTTTTTAAATTATTTCTATTTTCAGGGAAGATTAATTGTTATCGTTGTGAAATATTTATAGAAAGCTAAAGGCTTGCTTACAGAACTCTTTTCTATGATGATGTAGCAAAAGTGAACAATTTTTCATATCTGAAAGTACTTTAAAAAATTATTATGATATAAATACATATAATTAATAATTTGTAAATGTATGGAGTTTGCAAAATGATTTTGGTAGTGGTTCATATTTCTATATATAAAAATCTTAAAACAAGAATGATACCAAAGACTGAATTTTCAATGATCCTGTAATTTAGAGAAAAGACAAAAAGCTGTCCTTGATTTTGCATGCTAATTAATGCCTTTTTTTTGTGATAGCACAAAATGCTCTGACAGTAACATTGAAGGAAAATTATTTATTTTTTATCAACTCCCAAAATGATGTTTGGGTGGTAGAACTAAAAATAGAAATGGTAAATAGGAACACCAGGCATTTCAGCAGTAAAAACATGCATACCTTAGCACAGCATTCTGTAGACACCTGGACTGGAATGTGTGTTTCTAGTCTAGTTCCTCTGACTAAGGAAGGTTTTTAAGTGCCATTCCTGCAGTTTCCCTTATAGAGGAGACAAAGGGAATATAGGATGGAAAGAATATTAGAATGGAAGAATGAGGGAGGAAGAAGGAACATCCACCCTTCCTTATTAGAGACAGAAGTGGCGACTTACTGCTCTTTACCTCCTCAGTCCCATAGCAGCAAGGAACTTAATTATGCCATCGATTAGAATGAGCTTGGAAATGAATCTTCCCAAGAACCTCCAGATAGGTCCAGCCCATGTGACATCTTGACTTTGGACTTCAAACTGCCTAAGCAGAAAGTCAAGCTAAGATTGCCTAGACTTTTCACCTACAGAACTGGATCAGAATAAAGGAGCATTGTTTTAAGCAAGTGTGTTTGTGCTTTGTTACACAGCAATAGAAAACTAATGCAGATAGATATGAAATTCATCTTGTTCTTAAATTTATATTCTATTTTCCTAAATGACATTTCACAGTTATTACCATCACCTTCTCCCTCACTTGTTTACTTTGTTATGAGTTGATAAAGTCCTTGATAGCTTTGAAGTGCTCTCCTATTGGGGAAATGAACTAACACAATATGCTCTCAGCAAGAGTAGTAAATACTGGTTGTTTTTTTAAATGCTTATGATAAGATTAGAATCTGAAAAATAGCTTTAACTTGATGGGATATTTTCTATCCCTTTAGATAAGATACTAATTTACATCCATTTGAAACTCTTCAAATCGTAAATGCTCATTATACTTCTTCATTGTTAGTATGATCAAGCCTTATGCATGCATATTTTAGTACCACTTGAAATTGCTACAGTCCTTTGAACAACTAAGTACTGGAGAAAATGAGGACTGCATTTCCCTCCATCTTGTTTTCAGAGATAGATGCATTTTCCATAGCAAATGCCTAACAAGCTGAACAGTTTCAAGGGCCCTGTTGATGGAAAACATATCAGACAGTGCTTTGTGAAGCATGATCTCCTAAATTTTCCTTCAGTGTCATTTGAATGACTACGATTTTCTAATTAAAAGTAACGAAGAACTTATATAATAAAAAATCTTATTATAAAAGGAAATAGTATATATTCTTTTTTAATATGAGGACTAAGTGCATTCATTAGCATAACAAAAAGAATTTGCAATGTCAAGGAGAATATTTCTTAGGCAATAAAAACAATTATAAAACAATTCCTGAGAACACTTTAAAAAATGATTTTGTTCCTTTAAGTTCACTGGTTCCATTGGTCTTTTCTGTCACTTTCCCCTCATTATAATTTTAAAAAGCTAAAATGAAGACCTGTCCAGCTAATTCAGTTTGTATAGAGATACAAAGCACAATTTTATAGGTGAAATTCATGATATAAATATTATAACTTAAAGATGCAGAAAATAATTGAATTAAAATTAGGTAGTTTTATAGTTGAGTATAGCTATGCAAGATCAGTTATACGTGAATCAAAGCCAATGAAATCACCATCCCATTAATGTGTTTATTTGACAACTAAGGTTTTGTTTTTTATAGTTTATTAAGAATGGCCTTTCTGTAATATTTAGAAAATAATTGGGAAACTAATTAGGAAGGAGGAGAAAAATACATTTGTAAAATAATTTTTATAATTTATTTTTCATTTATTTATTTTGACAATATTTTATAGTACCCATTACTATACCCATTTTACAGATGAGAACTGTAAGTCTTATTTAGAATTTAAACTGTCCTTGGTGATTTATCTAGCTAGTTATATAGCCAGGATTCAAATCCAGATTTTCTGACTACCTGTCTCAAGACTTATAGATAACTCTACATTCATGTTATAAAAACACTCAAGTATCCCAATCAAAATTCCTATTGAATATGTTGAGGAACACAATAAACTTATCCTAGTATTTAGTTGGAGTGAATAAGGCCTGCAAAGAGCTAAGTGATCCAAAAGAAAAGAGTATAAAGAAGGAGGGACTTGTTCTACCAAATATTAAAATGTTATTATTGCATCTATTGCATCAATGGAGAGATATAAAAATAGGTACAACTATATGTAATTATATATATATATTTGTGTGTGTTTAAGTACATTTTTATTTGTGTCTCTTTGTATATCTTACCTTAAAGTATTTACAAAACTATGAGTTTGCATTGATATCTCCAGTCCCATCCATCTACTTTATTTTTCTCATTTTGTATTTGAAACTTTTTTATATAACACTAAAAAAAGGTGTATATATATTCAGATATATACACTGTATATATACACACACACCATATATATACCATATACATACATCATGTGTGTATATATACCATATGTATACATCATAGGTGTATATATACCATATATATGCATCATAGGTGTATATATACCATATATATACATCATAGGTGTATATATACCATATATATACATCATAGGTGTATATATACCATATATATATCATAGGTGTATATATACCATATATATACATCATAGGTGTATATATACCATATATACATACTGTGCGTGTGTATATATACCATATATACGTACTGTGCCTGTGTATATATACCATATATACGTACTGTGCCTGTGTATATATACCATATATACGTACTGTGCCTGTGTATATATACCATATATACGTACTGTGCGTGTGTATATATACCATATATACGTACTGTGCGTGTGTATATATACCATATATACGTACTGTGCGTGTGTATATATACCATATATACGTACTGTGCGTGTGTATATATACCATATATACGTACTGTGCGTGTGTATATATACCATATATACGTACTGTGCGTGTGTATATATACCATATATACGTACTGTGTGTGTGTATATATCCACACATGCCATATATGAATATAAATATAAATAAATATATATATATATAAAAAGAGAGGGGTGAGAGAGATATAAGTAAATAGTTAACAATGACATGTCAATAGCAATGAGCAGGCTTCTTTAACAAATCTTCATTTCTAAATACCATTTTCAACCATAAGAATCTAAGGGCTCCTTAGACGAATGAAGAGGTAAGGGGAATTTCAAGACAAACCTGGAAAAAATGATAGAACATGTTTTAGGGTCACGGACTCTACTTAGTGGTCCTCTGCTGGTCAAATCTGGAATAATTTGAGCATCAAAATAAATAAACAATGTATTACAATACGTTAAATATAAAATAAATCCATGAATCCACACAGATACAGACAAATGTGATAAATCATGAAAAAAGTAAGTTCTTCTTTACCCATGAGTGCTAATAAATAATTGTGTAGTTTAAAAAATAATCTACAATAGAATAGAATTCATCCTGAAAAAAGGAAATCTTGTAATTTGCAATAATATGGGTGAACCTGGAGAACATTATGGTAAGTGAAACAAGCCAGACATAAAGTTGCAGTCATTTCAGTTATGTAGGATGAAAAACTCTACAGATCTAATGTACCATATGAGGATTAAAGCTAATATTATGATGTTGTATCCTGGAAGTTTTTTTTTTTTAGGCACTCTTGTTGCCACACACAAACACAGAAAAAATAACCTGTGTGAGCTGATTGATATATTAAGTTACTTTCCTATAGTAACCAGTTCACTATGTATAAGAACATCAGAACATCACACCTAAAACAGACAATAATACAAAAATTATCATGGGTGCTAAAACTAGTGAGAAAAATACTGATTCAGAACACGATGATGTAATTCAAAGTATACTACAAAAAATACTTTTTAAGTGTAAAAAAAAAAGATAGCACTATAGTGGATGATTTGGGCTGAGACCTTGTTACTCAAGTGAAAAATAAACTTAACATAACTAATATTGGAACAATATTGTGTGTCCCAATATGATGTATTAATAGGGCACAATATATCTGTGTTATTCCTCTCCAAAATGCATAATCTAACTCTAATCTGAGGAAAATTTGGGAAAAATCCAAATTGTGGGGGATTATGTAAAACAACTAGCCTGTTCTCTAAAAAGATCAAGGTCTAAAAGCAAAAAAACGGGGGAAATATTTCATATCAAAGAACAATCATGACAGCAAAATTCAAGGTATAAGCCAAGCCTAGAGGGTGGGATGTTAAAGAACCTGATGAGGATAATTAACAACATTTAAATATTGATTTTGCATTAGAAAATATTATTAAATCAATTGTATTTTCTGAGTTTGAAAAATTTACTGTGTTTATATGAGAGTATATTTTTGCTCTTAGGAAATACATAGTGAAATATTTAAAAGTACAGGAGTAAAATGTCTGTAACCTGCCCTCAAATGCTTCATAAACAAATACAAATGTCTATATATGATTTATGTGTTTATATGTATGTTTTTAAAATATAAAATTAAGCATAAGCAAACGAAGAAAAATGCAAACCAATAGATAAATCTGAGTACATGACATATGATTCAGATTTTAGTACTAGTATATCTTTTTCTGTAAGTATAAAATTAAAGATTAAAATTAATAACTGTTTAAACCAAGGATATTACAGAAAAAGTTAAGAAATAGAGGACTGAATGGGAAAAGATATTTCAGTGTCTAAAATAAATTGAGATTATTATGTAAAATATTTTAGAAGCTATTTCTAAAGAATGCTAGCAGAAAAAAATGTATATATTTCAAGAGTAAACTTTTTAGAAAAGGAGAACCAAAAATCTAACAAGCACATGTATAAAGTAAATATAAAATGATCATTTGTGAGAAACATGTAGATTAAGACAATCGTCTATTAATCTGAATAACTGGTATAAAGTTGCTTTCCAGTGTGCTTGCTAGTCTGTCCTTTAGCAGTTTATACATTTTCTTGTGGCTTCCAGCCCCTACAAACCATGAGCACTATCTATAAAAATGTTTGCCAGTCAAACTGTGTGTCTATACTTGGAGAGTTAAATGGGTAAAATGGACTGAATTTACACCATGAAGTATATGACTAAATAGGAGAAATGGATTAAAGAAAGATATAGATAGCAATATTGGCAAATATTAATAGCACAGTAATTACTGAAGAAAGTACAAAACTTGTATGTGATACGATAGCATTTTTGTGAATTTAAAACATACAAAGCAATGATGCCAATTTTGAAAAAGTATTCATTAAACACATTAAAGTAATTGCCTACATGAGGGTCAAAAGAGAACGTGGTATGGAGAAACAAACTCAATTCTTCCCTCTTAACTGTAGTTAGTATGGTGTTTTTTGTTTGTTTTGTTTTTATTACATTCATACCAAGTATTTCTCTGTGGAAAGGAATGTACGTTTTTTGAAACAATCATACTATCTTCTAAGATTCCTTCTCTCTATATACAGATAATGAGTTGCGTGATGATTTTTTTTTTAATTTACAGTTTCATAGCATTTTTTTGTGTTCAAGACAATATTCTAAGTAATTTTAAAATGTTGACTCAATTAATTCTCATCACCACAATTGTGATATGTTCTCTCATTATTCCACCATAGAAACCTAGGCACAAAGGGGCTAAGTAACTTACCCGATGTCCTGGCGTTTATCGATGGTGGAATTATATTTGAGCCTGTGCTTGTGACTCCAGAGATTTAATGTTGATTACTATGAACACCTGCTCCTCTTTATGAGTCATCGTTTCTCAGCCATATGACAAGCTATCCTGTAATGCCCCTGTTCTTCTCTAAAACCAGAATTTAGCATTCCTCTTTAAGACTGATCTCTATAGTTGAGTACTTTCAGAGTGTGTCCAGAAAATAATCTAGCACAGTTACTACAGGTTTGAAGACTAAAACTCAGGAAGCCTGTGTCAGTTTGAATGAAAAATCCTTGTGGTTTTTGTTTTGATTTATTTGTTTGTTTTTAGTGAATCATTCTGTCAGTGGCTTTGTGTCAGCAGCTGTAAGATATCTTCTGAATTTAGCGTCAATGTCCGGGGATATAATGCATCAGATTTAAGTGACTGGTATCCACTGAGTTTAATCTCAGAAAATCCCCCTCCTTGACACAGAAGACTAAAGCCACACAGGCCCGAAGTAATTTCTCTCTTTATTATTTATTTATGCAACACAGGTTCATTGTTCATCAGAGCTAGGTGACGTTTACTCTCTGTATGCAGAATATGGCTCAAAAAACTCACTTTGTACAAATTTGTTTTTCTAAAAATGCCAACTCATTCAATTTTGACATTTTGGTTGCTCACTGCTTCTTTTTATCTTTTTGGTGTTTTCTTTAAAGTCTTATCCAAAAACCAACTAGATTTAGATTTATCAGTTTTATTTTGTTACATTTCTGTTTTTATTTGTTGCTTTAGTTTTCCATCAGTTATTTGAATGACTATATTTACAGAGGTGAATCCAGGATTTTTTTGTGACCTCTAGCTTATAAAGTTAGGAGGAGTCATTTTTAGACACATGATACAAAAATTGTAGTTCAAAATAAAGTGCAAAGTGAATATTTGCATAGGATAAGGAAAGAGATATGGACAAATTGAACATTTTACAAGAGTTAGTTTATACAAATGGTCCATAATTTAGCAAATTAAAATATTTGTCAATTGCCTGCTCATTTTCATAAACTTTACCCTATGTCTTGTTGATGGTGTATTCTTTATCTCTTTATATGCTAACAATTTTTATGTATGATTTTTTATAGAGTAAATAGAATGACAATTCAAACTATCCTCCGAATGGTCATGGAAATGTGTGTTAATTATTGATCACAATAGGTTAACACTATAAGGAAGTGACTGTGAACCTCATCAATGTAACAAACATGGTAACACATTACTGTTACTAAGCTCTAGATTCTATTTGGATTTCATGAGATTTCTCATTGATATTCTTTTTTCTATTCTATAATTCAACCTAGGATACCACACTGCAGTTAGCACTACTTAAATTTTATTGAGAAAAGTTACAGCCTAAAAGTCAACCTTATACTTATGATCATTGTGCCATTAATGAACCCTTTTCATTTGTACACCACCTTTACATGCTTAACATATTATATAATCCAGGGTCTAACTCATATGTTACTAATTCAGCAAAGTCATCCCCCTGTTCACCAGGGACAGTTTGTCACATTGTTATTTATCTTCTCATGGTAATGTGTTTTTGCTGTTAGCATTCCACTCACTGTATTGCCAAAACAGTGCAATTATATTTTTACAATGAGCCCCTTGAGAGGATAAAATATGTTTGTTTTATTTTAATTCCCAATGTATAGCACAGTAGAGGGTAAATTATCGATATTTAACAAATTTTTGTTGATTTTATGTTGAAAACATTGTGTTTGCAAGACATAGCTAATGATGAAATCTGATCCATATTATGGAATCTAAAAATCTTTTTATGCTTAAAGTTACGAGTTTAACTAATTTTATCCATTTCACTGGATATGCTTTTCCATGAATATTTAAGTAAGTAATGCCAGCATTTTTTGCTTTGTAGCATTTTGAAAATAAAAACACCTGGTATTTCAATTTCAAGAATCACATGTATAATTAAAAAGACAAAAGAAAAATTGTTTTGAAATTCATAAAATATAAATAAAATTTAAAACATGACATAATGTCCTTCAAATTACTAAGCCCAAAATCCCAATTTTCTTCATAACTATTAAAATTAAAAATTCAAAATTATTTTGTATTTCTGAGCCTGTATCCATGCAGGCTGAGAGATTCAAGAATGTTTCCATGCAACTCCTTTACATAGTCAATTTAATAATTAAATAATATGTCTTTGTAATGCTAACCTCGATGTGAAGTGTCACTATGATCTGTTACACAGAACGTTATTTCTCATTGTTCATGTTTGTTCAGCCTGTAGACTGTCATCTATATTTAGAATGTATTTCTGGTATTTATAAATAAATGTAAAAAAAATCTTTTCACTAAAAATTTGAAAAAAAAATGGAATACTTTGAAGACCTTGTGACACATTACAATCTGGTCTTCAGGTTTGTGGAAAATTTTCTGGTAGAATTTTCACTTACTTTATCAATGATTTCTATGAGTAATCATTGATTGGTTTAATAGCTTGAAAATGGAAATTGTCGATATGCAGATTATTAATTACTTGACTATCACATATTATTCCTTTATTTTCTCTCTCTCTGTCTGTGTCTCTGTGTGTGCGTTCATGTGTGTGCCTAAGCAGAATACTTTGCTTATAATTCAGCTAACTGAATTTAGCATATTCCATACCTCAATATCTTACCATTCTTTAAGTCCTCATTTAAAAAATAGAACTTATAATTAGTTTGCCCCATTTCTTTGACAATGTTTACGGGAGACGGACTATGAAAGTTTGATGTGAAACTTTTAGAAGAACTATATTTTTTTAAATTTCTATATTTGATAACAATAATTTTTTTTTATTATACTTTAAGTTTTAGGGTACATGTGCACATTGTGCAGGTTAGTTACATATGTATACATGTGCCATGCTGGTGCGCTGCACCCACTAACTCGTCATCTAGCATTAGGTATATCTCCCAATGCTATCCCTCCCCCCTCCCCCCACCCCACAACAGTCCCCAGAGCGTGATATTCCCCTTCCTGTGTCCATGTGATCTCATTGTTCAATTCCCACCTATGAGTGAGAATATGTGGTGTTTGGTTTTTTGTTCTTGCGATAGTTTACTGAGAATGATGATTTCTAATTTCATCCATGTCCCTACAGAGGACATGAACTCATCATTTTTTATGGCTGCATAGTATTCCATGGTGTATATGTGCCACATTTTCTTAATCCAGTCTATCATTGTTGGACATTTGGGTTGGTTCCAAGTCTTTGCTATTGTGAATAATGCCTCAATAAACATACATGTGCATGCGTCTTTATAGCAGCATGATTTATAGTCCTTTGGGTACATACCCAGTAATGGGATGGCTGGGTCAAATGGTATTTCCAGTTCTAGATCCCTGAGGAATCGCCACACTGACTTCCACAATGGTTGAACTAGTTTACAGTCCCACCAACAGTGTAAAAGTGTTCCTATTTCTCCACATCCTCTCCAGCACCTGTTGTTTCCTGACTTTTTAATGATCGCCATTCTAACTGGTATGAGATGGTATCTCATTGTGGTTTTGATTTGCATTTCTCTGATGGCCAGTGATGGTGAGCATTTTTTCATGTGTTTTTTGGCTGCATAAATGTCTTCTTTTGAGAAGTGTCTGTTCATGTCCTTCACCCACTTTTTGATGGGGTTGTTTGTTTTTTTCTTGTAAATTTGTTGGAGTTCATTGTAGATTCTGGATATTAGCCCTTTGTCAGATGAGTAGGTTGTGAAAATTTTCTCCCATTTTGTAGGTTGCCTGTTCACTCTGATGGTAGTTTCTTTTGCTGTGCAGAAGCTCTTTAGTTTAATTAGATCCCATTTGTCAATTTTGGCTTTTGTTGCCATTGCTTTTGGTGTTTTAGACATGAAGTCCTTGCCCATGCCTATGTCCTGAATGGTAATGCCTAGGTTTTCTTCTAGGGTTTTTATGGTTTTAGGTCTAACGTTTAAGTCTTTAATCCATCTTGAATTGATTTTTGTGTAAGGTGTAAGGAAGGGATCCAGTTTCAGCTTTCTACATATGGCTAGCCAGTTTTCCCAGCACCATTTATTAAATAGGGAATCCTTTCCCCATTGCTTGTTTTTCTCAGGTTTGTCGAAGATCAGATAGTTGTAGATATGCGGCGTTATTTCTGAGGGCTCTGTTCTGTTCCATTGATCTATATCTCTGTTTTGGTACCAGTACCATGCTGTTTTGGTTACTGTAGCCTTGTAGTATAGTTTGAAGTCAGGTAGTGTGATGCCTCCAGCTTTGTTCTTTTGGCTTAGGATTGACTTGGCGATGCGGGCTCTTTTTTGGTTCCATATGAACTTTAAAGTAGTTTTTTCCAATTCTGTGAAGAAAGTCATTGGTAGCTTGATGGGGATGGCATTGAATCTATAAATTACCTTGGGCAGTATGGCCATTTTCACGATATTGATTCTTCCTGCCCATGAGCATGGAATGTTCTTCCATTTGTTTGTATCCTCTTTTATTTCCTTGAGCAGTGGTTTGTAGTTCTCCTTGAAGAGGTCCTTCACATCCCTTGTAAGTTGGATTCCTAGGTATTTTATTCTCTTTGAAGCAGTTGTGTATGGGAGTTCACTCATGATTTGGCTCTCAGTCTGTTTTTGGTGTATAAGAATGCTTGTAATTTTTGTACAAGAATAATTGTTAAAAAAGTTCTTCGTGGGATAGATTTTTTAAATAGAATAAGAAAATATAGTCATAATCTAAATTGTATTTCCTGGCAGTAAGTCAATCTCAAATGAGTTTATACTTCAGCTACATTTAATTTTGGCATTGAACAAATCTGGGGGCATTTGGTCAGATTATAAAACACTTTTAACTTCTCTCCTGAGTATGGAAAACTAGATTTTTCCTCTACAGTTATGCTTAATTGCAGAATGAGTTGAACAATGGAATAGAGCAAAATCTGCGTATGGTTACAATGGACAGGATGTGTAGAAATCATGTTTCTATTTGAGAAGGGTGATAACAGTAACACAAGTTTTACAGGATACATGCTTGTTATGTAAGTACTCCAAGCTTCTATAATCAAGGTTAGATCAGACCAAACATATTTGATGTCAGTCTTATGCTTGGAAAGCCACAAGGTTCATATGATTGTTCTGAGTGTCTACAGAGATTATTTAACCACTCTTGATTCCTATAGGTCTGCCATAACCTGTAATTTTTCTCTTAAGCAGGAATAAATTTTGTAATAATGAGGGTATTACTCAAGGAGTATTTTTTTAAAGATATTATTTTTTCTTTGAGCAAATAATAATAGTGATAAGGATAATAGTTAATTTTTACTGAGCACTTCCATTTTCTAAATGATTGCCTGGAATAAGATTACATATTTCAATAAATATAGAAGTCAGATACTGTTATTATTGCTGTATTAAAGATGTGAAAAGTGAGTGTTAGATAAGTTAAATAATTTGTCAGTTGTTACAGAAAAACTATGGTGCTGGATTGAAAGAAAGGCTTTCCTCAGATATCTGTATTTTTAAAAATTGTATTATCTTACTTCCACTATAACAGGTGATTACTAATAAATTTAATTAAAAAACTTGTTCAAAATTCAACTTTATTTCCAAAACAGTTAGGGACTATTGGGGGATTTTTAATTCCTTTATATACTGGATGCAAGAAGCCAGTATAAATTATATTCATGCATATATTGGATCCACTTTCCAGGAAATTTAAATTGTACAGTAACTCAATTTATTTTTCAGTTATGCTTTTAGAGGTGAGATGGTTACTAACTGGAAATTAGAATTTTTTCATTTAAAAGGCTCAGTCATTCATTTGAATAACTAACATAGACTCTACTGTTATTATTTATTATATCTTTATTATAAAATAGGTCAATGAGGCATTTTAATTTTTTTATTCAGAAATGAAGAAAAGTAGTTGAATTTAACTTGTCAGCAGCTTCTGGTATTTCTTTAAACTTAACAGAGAACGATCAATGTTTTTTCTAAATCAAGTCAAATTTCAAAAGCATTATCTAAAAGCACTCATTCGCAAATTAGAGCTAATTCACTACATTCATTAAAGCTACACTTACCTAAAATTATTTTACTTGATCATGAATATTATAATTAAATGAGTTAGTATGCAAATATCATTTAAGTTCATTTACATATGTTACTTAAATCATAAAGTCTTATAATTACAGTAAAGTAACTCAAAATACAGACTTCTATATTAAGACTAGAAATTACCATCCTGCAAAATGTATAAATAGAAGTCATTTTTACATGACTTATTTGCCTTACCTTAAAATATAAACATACAATAAAACTTTTTAAAAATTATTCCCTCAAAATTGTAATAAGACATATAAAATATATGTGTCTGTGGAATTAAAAATATATATGTATATTTATGTAGTCTAACAGAAAAATTATAATAAAAATATATTTAAGAACTAAAATAATGATGATAATAAGACAGTAGAGATTTTCAAGCTCATGGTGGTTATAATCGTATTCTTCTTGAGGTCATATAAAATAATACTAATAGCTACCATTTTATATCATTTAATATATAGCAGGTTTGATAATAAGCACCTATCTGAACATGTCTAAATCCTCACAAAACTTCTATCAGTCTGATGTTATTGTCCTACAATAAACAAATGAGTAAACTCAGGCTTCAGAAACAAGTAATTTTTGCAGGATTACATGTGTGAGAAGGGGATAAGTAGAAGTCTGACTCTAAAGTCCATGCTTATAATCTCTGTACATTATTTGCTTCTATCGCAGAAAATAGTAACTGGCAAATTTAGAAACTGAACTTGTGTATTCATGTCTATATTTAAAATTGTTCATGTGAAAATTCAAGTGTATGTTCATTCTGACACCCAATTAAAAACCATGGTGATTCTGATATATGAGTAAATGTGTAAAAATGAAAACATAAATCTTATTAATAGTTTATCTCTTTTTTACCTTTGTGTGCTTTGCTCAACAGAATACTCATAAGAACGGGTGTCACCATATGGGAAATGGACATCAAATGTCTGTTTAATTTTATCAGTGATCTAATCACAACAAAGTTTTAACTATTGTCTAGTTTTAAGTCTATGTGAGGCTTACCAGGTATTCTCCAATTGTGTACAATAGAATAATGTGATTGTCCAAAGGCACAAAACAAATAAGTTAGGATGTGAGTATATAAAATCTCAAACTGTTTCCCAATTCATCACAATATTTTCTGAAGTGTTCATGTAAACGGTAAGTTCCCTTACAGACATTGAAAATATATTATGATGTATTGAATACAATCAATTTAAAACCATTTTTTCAAGTATGCATCTACTGCTTCAACTTATGTAAACTTGATTTCTGAAGAAGCCATGACAATGGCCTGAAAAAAGCACCAATGCCTGAGACATGTACAATAAAGCCTGTGATTTCATGTTGCTAACGGAAAAGAGATGACACTCTCTGTTTTCCAGAGGACCCAACCCTGCCCCATCACAGCACTTCCAAACTCTTAGACGAGTATCCTTGTAAAACTGAAACAGCACTTAATGCATTAAAGTGCATTTGATGGGTTCACCTCTTATAAAGCCTATTTCAGAGAACAAGAAAATTGCAAGTTTTGAAATGGTGTTATTTAAAAATAGTTTTCAAATTGCTTTTTGATCACTTCCTGTACTTACATCCTCCTCCTCTCTGTAATAGACTTCTATTTGAAAATGAGATATAACATTTGAAAGTGTCATTTTACAGATTTACTCCACATCCTCTTGACTTCTTTCATCCATACTATTTCATGCCTTCCTAAATGAAGAAAGGAAAACATATTTTATTTCTTTGAAAAACATAAGAATATTGTAAAACTCCAACTGGACTTAATCGGCACTTAATATATCTTTCAGAAGCAAAGTAACTATTTTTGAGCTTAATCCTAGGAAAAGTTGTCATGGCACTCTTCACATCAAAAACATCAAGATTTTCAGAGTTCTTCACCTGAATATCTGGGTTTCCTTCTTGGGATTAATACAATCAATAATAACTATAATGATAGCAAATGCAAAACAATGAATAATCAACTACTTACCGCCTTGCTATGTACTGTCCAAAGTGATTTATGTAAGCTATTTATTTTAAACCTCACCAAAACCTTGTAGGTAGATATTTATGTCCTAATGTTACAAGTAACAAAAACTAAATGAAAAAGTCAAGCAACTTAATTCACTCTTAAATACGTACTATAGAGCACCTTTGTTTACTTGTTCACCTCTACAGCAGCAAATAAATCAATAAAAAATATCTAACAGAGATTACAATGTAACTGGGGAGTCACAGACACAGACACACACACACACACACACACACACACACACACACACACACTAGGTTGGCCAGAAGTATCTTAAAACATACAAAATTCCTAGTTAAATTTAAGTTTCAGATGACATAAATTTTACTGTCTCAGATACTGCATGTTTAAAGGATGTCACTACATGTCATTTTTAAAAGTATATCCCATATATCACATATTAAAATGTATAATTAAATGTAAATTTCTGATAAATGGCAATGTTTTTATGATACATATGTTGCAGGCTGTGTTTGGACATACTTATATTTAATTTCTAATTTAACTGAAATTTCACACACACACACACATACACACACAAATCTATATATATTGGACCATGACAAATGCTATGGAGAAAAAATGTGCTTGATAATTAATTAGAATACAAAATATCAGGGTGAGGGGACTGAAATTTTATATAGGATAGGTTAGATAGGGAGAGTTTACTGAGAAGATTTGAGCAAAGAGCTGAATGAAGTAAGTGAGAAAGCAAGTCAAGGTTAATGTAGAAAAAAAACTTTCTTGGCAGAGGAGATGGCAAGTACAAAAGACTAAACCAGGACTAGGTCAATTTTAGAGGATTGACTCAAATTGCCACAGAAATTCTGAATGTAAAATGCTGTCAAATAGTATCGCATGCTATGGAGAAATCTTTAGTGAAAAAAAAAAAACAGTTGGTCAATGCAAAAAAGCATCATTGTTGTCTTATTTTAAGAAATTGTCACAACCACCCAACCTTCAGCAACCAGTACCCTGATCAGTCAGTAACAACAGCATTGAGGCAAGACTCTCCACTAGTAAAAAGATTACCACTTGCTGAAGGGTAATCAATGCTCAAATGATTGTTAGCATTATTTTATAAAAATGTATTTTTTACTGAAAATATGTACAATGTCTTTATAGACAGAATGCTATTTACCACTTAACAGACTACCATATAGAGTAAACACAACTTATATGCACTGGGAAACCAAAAATTTGTGTGGCTTGCTTTATGGCAATGTTTATTGCTGTAGTGTGGAACAGAAGCCACAATATTTCTGAAGTACACCTGTATTTCTTCAATCATTTTCTTAATGATTATTATTATTACATTATTTACAAGAAAAAAATTAAAGCAAAAGCAAGTGAAGCCTTCTTCACATAGATGTTAAAACAAAGAATCAGAGATTTCAAGCCAGAAGGGTGGGTAGAGAAACGATCTTCTTAAATTATTTCTATATACTCTTAATTCTGTGGGGTAGAATGTAGGACCTGTCAGAGATGACTTACTTGTCTGCCATGAAAAAAAGTTTATCCTAATTCTTATGTTTTCTTCGTTCTTGGTTTGCTGTGTTGTTTCCCATTTCAGTAGGATCTCAGCTATGTGTTCTTTACATATTTTCCTAACAAGTTTAATTTCTATAATTTTCTTTCCAGGATTCCAAAAACTCCCATTTTAGATCTTTAAACAAAAATAATTAAAAAGAACCACAAAAATCTTCTCATTTGTTCATTCATTCAAACAATATTTATTCAACATGTACTCTGTGTGAGATTCCTGGTTTATTTCAAGGGACCAGACAGACCAAAAGCTCAACTCTCATAAAGCTTTTATTATGGAAGTGGAATACATAAATATTAGGATAATAAATAAAGCAAATAGTATGATAAAAGTTTATAACTGTTATACAAAAGCAATACAACTATGGAAAGAGGATTGGGATTACAGGATGGTGAATTGGAGTTGTGAAATAAGTGAGGTGAATCTAGACCTTATTTTGAAAGTAATACTTGAACAAAGATTTAAGGAAGGTATAGAAATAGGTGGTGTAGATACATTGGCAAAGTTTGTTCCAGGCAGAGAAAACAGCAGTAAAATGTTTCTCAGGTAGAAGTATACCGGTTTAGATTTAAAAATGTGTAGCAGTCAATATAGATAAAACAAAAGAAGTGAGAGGGAGGATAGTAGTCATACCTTTATTAAGAAACACTGTCCATTAGGCACTTGTAAGAATTTTGACTTCCATCCTGGATCCCCCAAGGGTCCATTGATGGTTTGAGTAGAGATGTGACATGATCTGACTGATATGTTAATAATTTTAGCTACTATATTGAACATAGATTCTAGGAGGCAAACATGGAAATAGGAAGGCCCCTTAGAGGGCTTTTACAAGATACTGCATGATGAATGAGACTGGCTTGGTCAAGGAGTTACCACTGTAATTATTTTTCAGCCAATGCTTTCTATAAGATAGAAGCTATAAATCTCATAAATCATTTTAAACTTCCTGACCAGCTACTTTTGGCATAATTGAATGAAGTGTTTTATTTCAAGACTATATTTCTCCTTGATAAAATTTCTTGATTATTTTTATCCAAAGAGCATTTATATTATCAACTTTAAAGTTTTTACTTGTAAAAGTTTGTCCTACCACATTTCCTTAGATTCTACATTGTTTTGCATAATAATGTTTCTCTATTTGTTAAGATCTTAAGGCAAAACTCGTGACTTTTTGTCAACCTTTCTGGAAAACATACTATACAATTGTATCGTTTTAATACTATTACTGATATGTACTAACACATTGATTAATAGTGTCAATATGAAAGTAAGCTCAAATACTGTACTTAGTCACAGAAACCCACCATAAAAAATAAGGATAAGACATAATTTCAATAGTAGCACAGTTTTCTACAAGTGGTTGATGATTAAAGAAATCAAGTAAAAAACTGACAACAAAATATTCATGTATATATAAATGTACATATGTATTCATGTACAAATGGGGTGTGTGTGTGTGTGTGTGTGTGTGTGTGTGTGTCTGTAGCTTCAGAGTTATTGTCTGGAAGGCCCTTTAGAAGGCTTTGACAATTATACTAAATATATTTTACATTAAAAGTTAACACATCTTCTGTATTTCAGTTTTAAGACTATTACTAGTAAATGAATATGCCCATTGCTGTTAATACATTAGTGAATTATTATTTGAAAATGCTTAAATCTTTTTAATAAATCCAGGACAAGTGATGAAATTTGTGTGCTTATAACTCATGGTATTTTGAACTCTCCATTTTTGAATCTCTGTTTCTATGGAGTGATGGTTCTAGCGATATGGTCTATTATTATTAAGTAATATAATAATTGGCAAGCAATCTAAATGGGATGAATAACTGCAGGATCAGAGAAGGCTGTGCAGCTGCACCTACATGTCAACTTTTGGGAATAGCTTAATTTTTAACAATTGTACATAGTAATTCTTGTATGTGAATAGTTTTAAACAATATTTAAGGTATTTAATATAATTTTAACATTATCATAAGTTTTCAAAAATTACCTGAAGTTCACACTTTATTCAGATTTCCTTAGTTTTTACTTTACAAACGTTTCCTGCTCCAGTATTGAATCCAAGATAACGCATTACATGTAGTTGTCAGCATCTCCTTAGGCTCCTCTTGGTTCTGACAGTTTCTTAGACTTTTATTGTTTCAGACAACCATGGCAGTTTGAGAAGCACTGGTCTAGCATTTTTATGGAATGTACATACCACAATTGAAACTTGTCTGTTGTTTTTCCAGAATTATACTATGATTATGAGTTTTTAGGAGGAAAACCACAGAAGTAAAATGTCATTCTCATCACATCCTATCAAGAGCACATACTGTCAACATGACTGATCACTGATGATGTTGAATTCAATTGTCTGACTGAAATAATGTTTCTCAGTTTCTTCAATGCCACGTAACTTTTCTTTTCCTCTATTTGACACTCTTCTCTTTGCAAGGAAGTCACTATGCCCAGGCCATACTTAATGGAGAGAGGCTTATGCCTCACATCCTTGAATACAAATATCTAAATAAATTATTTGAAAATTTTCCTTAGAGGAGATGTGTTTTTTCTCACCCATTTATTTATTTACTCAATAATTGATCCATGTAAATATGGACTGTTGCTGCTGGGATTTTTCTTTAAGTATGACTGAGTTTCTGTGGATATGGATATTTTCTGATAGAATTTAATCTTAAAGTAGAAAAATAAATATAGGGTAATGAATTCTATACTCGATTACCCAGAGCAGTATGTAGAGTAATATGCAGTAGTTTGCTATCACAAGGAACTCATAAATTAAAATATCTATGATCTACTTGGTCTCCATGGTCCCTGGGTCTTAGAATCAGAGATACATTAATTGATTTGCTGACCACTATTCAATAGCTTGTCCTTGGCCTGGGACCTATTAGATTTCAAATTTAGGATTTTATTCCTTTACCTCAAGGTTTAAATTCTCTTATTACTCAGGGAAATATCTTACTTCCTGTTTTTTTAAAATTTTATCATTTATTCCTTCCTCTGAATGATTTCTAGAATCTTTCTTTCTTGATAATATATTGATAAATGGGTTGAAATCTATTTTTCCATTATCATCTTTTAATATGAATTCTGAACACTTATGTCTGGATGGATTTTATTGCTGTTTCAAAAGAATCTCCTCTACCACTTTGAAAGTTTTTGATTTGATGTTGGCCACTTTTATTCCTTTAATTTTCTAATAGTAATTATGAGGTTTAAGTTTTATCTCTCTGATCCCCTTCAGCAGCTGTTTCAAGATTGACCTTCCTTGACATCTTTATGCTTATGAGACCTTTGAAGTCCTTTTCTTTCTAATTCTTTCTGAATGGCATTGAACTTACATGGTAAAAGTGAATTGCTTATTGTGATAGTCACCTTGATTTCTCCTTTGAACTTTCAAAGCTCTATTTTTTCAATCTTTTGACTAATAACATACTTTAAATGATTTTTTTCTATCCCAATTACCACTTAACTAATACAAGCACATGAAATGTTGATTATTTGCTTGAAACAGAAGATGACTTTTTCTATTGCAATACTGTCTTCAGCAAGATTACAAATCAGCATCGGTCATATCGAATTTGTTGCTTTCACAATCTACGCATAGTAGTGTAGTGTATGATATTATACACGTCTAAAAGATAAAAAGAAAACATTGTATTTAGAATATACATCATAATTAAAGTATGCATTTTATAAATGTTGTTATTTATGCATATATTAAAAAACTTCATTTATATAGGCAGTAAAATATATACAATATTTTATAATACATTTTACATTGAGAGATACGCGTTTTTCCGCTTTGATTCCAGAAACACTCTCATTGTCTACAAAGAATTATACTTACTAGTTATGCTGAATTGCTTTTTCTCTGTGCTATACTAATGGTTATATTTTATATTACTTTTTTTTCAAATTATGCAGAATAGTTAGAAAAATAACTATTTTAAAAGTAAAATTAACTGGCTCACATAATTCTAAATGTTTTCAATATGAAATATTAATATTAGCATGAATTCTGGGTTGTTTAGCAATATGTTGTAAATATTGGAAGTTAAATTTATACTATTTTTTATTCCTAACTATATTATCTTTTACATATTTGTTGAATAAATTTTAACATTTTTCTTATTGTCATTCTATACATGCTGTTCAAGCAACAAATGATTCTATCACATATCCCTCTCCCCTAGCTAAAAAAATGATCAAGGAAGCCAAAATCCATGGAGCATTACTATTTTTTCAAAAAGTAGTGTTATGCATGTTAGGGAAAGCTATACCATTTTAATGATATGGAAACTTCAAACATGTCTTTAAAGGCAACAGATGTAAATTTATTTTTGCTTATTTGTCATGTTTAAAGGAAGTGAGTTGGTAGCTGAATGTGTACTTTCAATATGCCTTAGGAACTCCCATCAATGCTAATGATCTGTTAATGGTCACGAGAGTGCTGAGGAGAGCAAAAAAAAAAAAAAAAAAGAAAGAAAGAAAGAAAAAAACAGCAGCAGTTCTGTGGTAGAATTATTTTATCTCTGAATCATATAAACATTAAAACATAAAACATGGATTGATGTATCAAAAAAATTCTTTCTACCAGAAAAAAAATTGCATTACATTTTTTTTCCAGGGGTGTCATTGAAATAATGTATATTTTTAAATGTATTATATTCCTTTAATGATTACTCATTTAGCTAAATATTCATCTTATGATTTCATTTTTAATGGGAGTCTTTGTTTGCTCGTTTTGCTGATTTGAGTTATTTGTAGATTCTGGATATTAGTGCTTTGTCGAAGGTATAGATTGTGAAGATTTTCTCCTACTCTGTGGGTTGTCTGTTAACTCTGCTGGTTATTTCTTTTGCTGTGCAGCAGCTTTTTAGTTTAATTAAGTCCCATATATTTACCATTGTTTTCACTGCATTTGCTTTTGGGTTCTTGGTCATGAAGTCTTTGCCTAAGCCAATGTCTAGAAGGGTTTTTCCGATGTTATCTTCTAAAATTCTTATGGTTTCAGGTCTTACATTTAAGTTTTTGACCTATCTTGAGTTGATTTTCATATAAGGTGAGAGATAAGGATCCAGTTTCATTCTTCCTATATGTGGTTTGGCAATTATCCCAGCACCATCTGTTGAATAGGGCATCCTTTCCTCACTTTATGTTTTTGTTTGCTTTTTTGAAGATGAGTTGACTGTAGACCCATAACAAGCAGCGAGACTGAAATGGCAATAAAAAAAATTGCCAAGAAAAAAAAAGTCCAGGATCAGATGGATTTAAAGCTGAATTCTGTCAGACATTGAAAGAAGAATTGGTACCAATCCTATTGACACTATTCAAAACGATGAAGAGGCAATCCTCCCTAAACCATTATATAAAACCAGTATTAACCTAATATGAAAAACAGGGAAGGACATAACAAAAAAAAAAGAAAATTACACCAATATCCCTGATGAACATTGATGCAAAAATCCTCAACAAAATACTATCAAACCGAATCCAACAGCATATCTAAAAGACATTCCACCATGATCAAGTGGGTTTCATACAAGGGATACAGAGATGGTTTAAGATACATAAGTCAATAAATGTGATACAACACATAAACAGAATTAAAAACAAAAATCCCATCATCATTTCAATAGACACATAAAAAGCATTTGACAAAATCTAGCATTTCTTTATGATTAAAATCCTCAGAAAAATTCCCATAGAAGGGACATACCTTAAGGTAATAAAAGCCATCTATGACAAACTCACAGCCAACATTATACTGAACTGGGAAAAGTTGAAAACATTCCACCTGAGAAATGGAACAAGACAAGGATGCCCACTTTCACCACTCCTGTTCAACATAATACTGGGAGTCCTAGCCAGAGCAATCAGACAAGAGAAAAAGTAAATGGCATCCAAATCGGTAAAGGGAAGTCAAACTCTGTTTGCTGATCATATGATTGTATATCTAGAAAGCCCTAAAGAGTCATACAAAAAGCTCCTAGAACTGGTAAATGAAACAATGTTTCTGGATACAAAATTACTGTACACAAATCAGTAGCTCTGCTATACACTAACAGCAACCAAACTGAGAATGAAATCAATAACGCAGCCCCTTTTACAATAGCTGCAAAAAAATAAAATAAAATACTTAGCAAGATATCTAACCAAGGAAGTGAAAGACCTCTACAAGAAAAACTACAAAACACTGCTGAAAGAAATTATAGACAACACAAACAAATGGAAACACATCCCATGCTCATGGATAAGTGAAATAGTGAAATCAATATTGTGAAAATGACCATACTGCCAAAAGCAATCTACAAATTCAATGCAATTCCCATCAAAATACCACCACCATTCTTCACATAACTAAAAAAAAAAAAAAAAAATCCTAAGATTCAATGGAACCGAAAAAGAACCTGCATAGCCAAACCAAGATTAAGCAAAAATAACACATCTGGAGGCACCACATTACCTGACTTCAAACTACACTGCAAGGCCATAGTCACCAAAACAGCATGGTACTTGTATAAAAATAGGCACATATTTCTCCACATCCTCTCCAGCACCTGTTGTTTCCTGACTTTTGAATGATTGCCATTCTAACTGGTGTGAGATGGTATCTCATTGTGGTTTTGATTTGCATTTCTCTGATGGCCAGTGATGATGAGCATTTTTTCATGTGTCTTTTGGCTGCATAAATGTCTTCTTTTGAGAAGTGTCTGTTCATATCCTTTGCCCACTTTTTGATGGGGTTGTTTGTTTTTTTCTTGTAAATTTGTTTGAGTTCATTGTAGATTCTGGATATTAGCCCTTTGTAAGATGAGTAGGTTGCGAAAATTTTCTCCCATTTTGTAGGTTGCCTGTTCACTCTGATGGTAGTTTCTTTTGCTGTGCAGAAGCTCTTTAGTTTAATTAGATCCCATTTGTCAATTTTATCTTTTGTTGTCATTGCTTTTGGTGTTTTAGACATGAAGTCCTTGCCCATGCCTATGTCCTGAATGGTAATGCCTAGGTTTTCTTCTAGGGTTTTTATGGTTTTAGGTCTAACGTTTAAGTCTTTAATCCATCTTGAATTAATTTTTGTATAAGGTGTAAGGAAGGGATCCAGTTTCAGCTTTCTACATATGGCTAGCCAGTTTTCCCAGCACCATTTATTAAATAGGGAATCCTTTCCCCATTGCTTGTTTTTCTCAGGTTTGTCAAAGATCAGATAGTTGTAGATATGCGGCATTATTTCTGAGGGCTCTGTTCTGTTCCATTGATCTATATCTCTGTTTTGGTACCAGTACCATGCTGTTTTGGTTACTGTAGCCTTGTAGTATAGTTTGAATTCAGGTAGTGTGATGCCTCTAGCTTTGTTCTTTTGGCTTAGGAACACTTTTACACTGTTGGTGGGACTGTAAACTAGTTCAACCATTGTGGAAGTCAGTGTGGCGATTCCTCAGGGATCTAGAACTAGAAATACCATTTGACCCAGCCATCTCATTACTGGGTATATACCCAAAGGACTATAAATCATGCTGCTATAAAGACACATGCACACGTATGTTTATTGCAGCACTGTTCACAATAGCAAAGACTTGGAACCAACCCAAATGTCCAACAATGATAGACTGGATTAAGAAAATGTGGCACATATACACCATGGAATACTATGCAGCCATAAAAAATGATGAGTTCATGTCCTTTGTAGGGACATGGATGAAATTGGAAATCATCATTCTCAGTAAACTATCGCAAGGACAAAAAACCAAACACCGCATTTTCTCACTCATAGATGGGAACTGAACAATGAGAACACATGGACACAGGAAGGGGAACATCACACTCTGGGGACTGTTGTGGGGTGGGGGGAGGGGGGAGGGATAGCATTAGGAGATATACCTAATGCTAAATGACGAGTTAATGGGTGCAGTGCACCAGCATGGCACATGTATACATATGTAACTAACCTGCACGTTGTGCACATGTACCCTAAAACTTAAAGTATAATAATAATAAAAAAAGGAAAAAATAAAATAAAATAAAATAAAAAACAACAACAACAAAATAGGCACATAGACCAAAGGAACAGAACCAAGAACCCAGAAATACACTGCCTTTTTCCAACATACTATAGTTAAACCTTTGAGCCAGTGGTTTAAATTCCCTTAAAAGTATAAGAAAAGTGCCTCGTTTTTAGTAAATAAGTGTATTTTGACCCTCTTTGTACTTGTTACTTCTCTTATGAATAGGGAACAGAGAGCAAAGGCTCTCTACCTCAGAAATGATGAGGAGATAAAGGAATACTTTTTGCTGTCGATAGAAGGCCAATGCGCTCTGTTAAGTATACTCTGCTAAATCACTCTTTACATGATCTTAAAGAGTGTTTTAAAGTCCATAAAATGCCTCAGAAACTACTGTATGAAACATACAAAATATTGTTATCATATGTTCTGCACATTTGAAATAATATTTTCTTAAGATGGAACATAAAAAAAATGCTATTCTAAGAAACTTTTCAAAGTAATTCCAGAGTCCCCAATGGCAAAAAAAGTTATTTTCTCACATGAGAAAACTTTGACCAATTATGTATGACCTTTTCTCGTAATATGACCCTTTTGGCATCACCGACTTCTCTTCACTGAACCGCTTTATTTTATGGTTTCTATTAGGTTGGTGCAAACGTAATTGTGGTTTTTTTCCATTACTTAATGGCTGGTGCAAACGTAATTGCGGTTTTTTTCATTAAAGTAATGGAAAAAAACCGCAATTACATTTGCACTAACCTAATATATAGTTTCAAATTATTTTCTTGTTTAAGCAGTTTATAGACACTTTAAACATTTTGCTAAAGGAAATATATTGAGAGGAATAAGAAGACAACATGAATAAATGTATATATAGATGCTAAATAAAAAATAACATAAATGGGGTATACAAACATTTCAATTAAGAACTTTGTCAGGCATCGTTATGTCAGGCACTGTAATATATCTATATTTTATCTATCTACAGATGTATGTGTGTGTATGTGTACATGTATAAAATGCATGTACACACTTATATAATTTTATCTCCAAACAATCATACAACATTATCTCTAAATTCAGGAAGAATAAGTAACTTTCTCAAGATCTCAAAGCTATTAATTTTGGAATAAAGATGTGTAATCCAGATGTCTCTGGTTCCAAAGATCATTAGGCTCCAAAGTGTGTACTATTTTATGAACTTCCTAAATGATATATTCTAGTTCTAGCCACTTTTTTCTCCAAAATGCCTTACTTACTACCACCAGAATAAAACATAAAATATCTTAAAATAATTACACACAGATTTATTTCTCAAACATCTTTTGTGCCTTTTATTTCATCTAAATAAGACTACATTCCTTCACTATAATTTAAAGATTGCATATCATCTGGCCTCTCTGTACTTCCCTATTTAACTATATTTTATTTGCATGGACTGTGGGTTTTATTCAAATTGGTGTATTTATCAGCCACAGCTCATGCCTTGCATGTATGTGCCTCTCTGCTTTACTTCCAACATATCATCTCTCATGCATCTTTTAATTTTACTTACCCATTTAGACCTAGCTCATGTTCCACCTTCTCCAATCCAGATTAGTTTTTTGTTTGTTTATTTGTTTGTTTGTTTTTGCGATGAAGTTTCACTCTTGTTGCCCAGGCTAGAGCGCAATGGCACAATCTCAGCTCACTGCAAGCTCTGCCTCCCGGGTTCAAGCGATTCTCCTGCCTCAGGCTCCCGAGTAGCTGGGATTACAGGCGCCTGCCACCACTCCTGGGTAATTTTTGTATATTTAGTAGAGATGGGGGTTCACCATGTTGACCAGGCTGTCTTGAACTTCTGACCGCAGGTGATCCTACCGCCTCGGCCTCCCAGATTGCTGGGATTATAGGCGTGAACCACTGTGCCCGGCCTGTTTTTTTATTTATGTCTTATCTTTAGGGTCTACACTGCAGGCTCCAGAAACTGATTAATTTTTTTTCTCTTGACTAGCTAACTACTATCTCACTTGATGTTTCCTCCTGCTTGGGATATGAAACAGTGTGTCCCAAGACATAGCTATTTATCTATCCCCAATATTTAGGAACCTCCAGAGGAATATGCTTGGGTTCCTTTGATTTTAAACATTTTATATACTTTGTCATAGAAAAAGTATTTAACAACAAAGTGGCATTTTTGTAGACTCCTGATTTGTGAAAGGTTTTTTGTAAGACCTAATAAAAATTCTCACACTTGCATCCACAGACTAGCATGTAAATTCTCACTCCTAACTCCCCTTTAGGACGGAAGTGCAATAGAGAACAACTGATGGATCCTGCAGCGTTACACCATCATCATATTCAACATTTGAAGTTTCGCTTGAACAGAAACGATTGCTTTCTTATATCATGATGAACTATAATAGCTGGTTTTCTTTTACCAGTAATTTTCTCTTCAGGAAACTAACATTTATATACCCTAACATTTATCACTTCATTAATTATAAAAAAAATGGTGAATCGAGACAATGTCTGGGCTAGGAAACCATGCTGAGCAATAGGTTGTTCAAAAGTAAAGCAACAAACATGACTGCAAAGGAAACCATCCCAAGATGGTAAATATAATCACATTTCTACTTTGATTTTCTGTTTACTTCAAGCTCAAAATAAAGCTGAATGCATGATCCTTAAACAAAACCAAGCCACCATATATCAAGTCATGAAAGTTTAGAACATTTACATAATATTTATGTATCTGCTTTCGTCTGTATAAATGATCAATCTTGAAGTGTTTTATGTTCACTTTTCCTAATATAATCTACACCTAAAATTTCCTTTCTATCCACATGGAAACGACTGTGGTGCAAGACCTATCAATTCCATTCTAACCACCTAAGTAGTTTATTCATTCACTGAAATCCTGCATTTTGCAGACAGATTAAACCATAATAAAACATTACTTTCTTCATTTCATTCTCTTTCTCACATACACACACACACACACTCACACACACACATACATATCAATAGCAATCCAATGTTTTGACAGGAAAGGTCATGTTACTCAGTTTAGAATTCAAGATAACTTTTAACATGTTCCCAAATTTTCCAAATTCTCTCTTTTGTTTTCCTACCTGAATGCTCCAATGATCACATTCAATAAGATCTTTTTGTAGATTTCTGTATATGCAAAATCCATTTTCATTTATCCACACTTGCTTATAATGTGCCTTCAGTCTGTAATGTCATCCCCTTACCCTCTATGTATATGTATCTTACTGACTCCTTTGTACCCAGTTCACCACCACACCGCCAACAACAACCCCCATTGCCCTCACATCCTTCATGGGTTTCCCCTCTGCTCTCTGTGTTATTGTCTGTAACTTTAATATTTCCTATTGATATTTAGTTATAATTGTATGGATACGTGTATAATTCCCTTTCTACTTAAAATTATAACCAAATATCTCTGTAAGAAGAGATGGTGTATTTATTTTATGCTCTTACTGATTATATCTAATACATCTTTGATTTCCTGTTTACAGCGTCTGAACAAAAAGCCACATTAATATAAGAAAGTCTACCTTGAATTATTGACAAAGGAAAACTATGTTTTTAACTACTCTGAATGACAAAAGTCTTCCAGGATTTATCATATTTCTTGTATATCAATGTTGTTAAGTGAATTAAATATATACATGAATCAAATGTCAGCATTCAAACGATTATAGTGGCTAGCATTCAATACTGTATATGGCCAATAATTAATAACTACAATTAAAATTTTATCACTGTATGAAACTTTTGATTTATATGATTCATATATTACATTTCAATATAATTTATTAAAATTATAGATGATAAAATATTTTGTATTATCAGGTAAAAAAACACCTTGAAATATATACACATATTTGCACCATTAAAAGTTGTCACATTTTTATTTATCATTATATTTTAAACTAAGACTGGAGAGAATGTATATACATACATAATTCCATATGTATGTATGTATGTATATGATAAGCCTTATATTTATTATACTGTGAATGAGAATCCAGGTGACAATGCCAGAGTTTTTCAATTTAGTTCTGATGGTCTTGAATCTGTGCAAAAAGTTTATTAAGAATGAGGAATTATAAAGAGAGATTTTAAAAGACTTCTAGGTGTGCACATTGTATTTTTTTTTTTTTCTATCTTCATGACCAAGGATGTCTGACCTAGCTTTTCTGGAAAGGTCTGCCTCTAATACCCATTTGCATCTGGCCCTTTTATCAGTGTCTATCTCTAGGGATTTCTTTTTAAGTGGCTGCACAGCAGCATCTCAGTGGTGCCACATCATTCTCTCCTTGAACTGTGTGAAGGACAGTAATCATACAATATTCATAGGGATACCAACAATGAGAACTGTGCTGAAAATAAGGGATAATGTTTTAAAAATACAATATATCTATTTTATGTTCATTTGGTGCCAAGATTCCTGAAGCCTACTTACAAATGCTTTTCTTTGTCACTATACTGACGCTCAAAGTACCTATTTTCAGAAAAGCAGAAATGAGACAGTGAATGTATTATGCAGTGGTCTGACCTCCTGTTTTTAGAATGGGCTATATATGACCAATAAATAACTCTCATCCTGCTGCCTAAACAAAAGGCCTTCAGGGGTACCACCATTTAATTGAAAGCAATCTATTGTGAATATTCTCAAGTCACCTGAAGTTTATTGCTCTTATTATTCAAAATAAAGTGGTTCCTACAATGTTACAGCATTTATTTGGGTCACAATTAAATGTTCAGGAGCAATAGTCCAGAGGGTGAAATGGTGCCTCAGGTTATACAGAATTACACTTTAAATGTCTAAAATTTGAAGAATTTTATCATTTGAAATTGAGGTTATTTTTGTTTTGAAATGCTTGTAGAAGGAATAAAGCTTCTTGGTGGTGTTATTGGCATTATTTTTTCTTCTGACTTAAGAGTAAACATTCTAAAATTAAGTATTATCTTTAATAGGTGAGAAATTTCATCTAAAGGTAGTAATAGGTATTTTTTAATTCATTAAGATAATAATTTCCATTTAAAAAGATTTTTTTTGTGATATCAAAGCAAAAAAAATGTAAAAAATTTCAGTAGAAAATCACCCTATTGATTCATTTGACTTTCAGTATTCATGGAGCTTCATAAAGTGAATTCTTTTTTTTATACTATTTAACCAAAGGATTATAAATCATTCTACTATAAAGACACATGCACACATATGTTTACTGTGGCACTATCCACAATAGCAAAAACTTGGAACCAACCCAAATGCCCATCAATGATAGACTGGATGAAGAAAATGTGGCACATATACACCATGGAATACTATGCAGCCATAAAAAAGAATGAGTTCATGTCCTTTGCTGGGACATGGATGAAGCTGGAAACCATCATTCTCAGCAAACTATCACAAGATCAGAAAACCAAACACCACATGTTCTCACTCATAAGTAGGCGTTGAACAATGAGAACACATGGACACAGGGAGGGCACATCACACACCGAGGCCTGTTAGCGGGTGGGGGACTAGGGGAGGGATAGCATTAGGAGAAATAAAATGAATTATTTATAAATTATTTTTGATAACGAGATATGCAACTTGGAATAAAGAAATCACTAATTAGAATTAAATTACCATTGTAGTTATCCAAAGGCATTTTATTTGTCATCTATTTCTTTACCTTTAAAGTTTTTCTACAGAATCTAAAATATTGTAACGTCACAGAAAATAAGCTCCCCCCAACAGTAACGAATCTGTTTACAGACACATTTTATAAAATGTGTTCTTTACCTGATCATTCCATCAGCACAGTCTTAATGAAAATATAAAGTGAACTTATGCCGCTCAAATATCTATCCATAAAAAAACAGACCATATATATTGTATTAATTAAGTATCTGGTCTCAGGATGGGTCTGAGTTCAGCATTGCTATTTCCTCACAAGGTAAGTTTTGGCAAATCACTTAATCTCTTAGGATTTGAGGCTTCTGATCTATTAAATGGCTGTCATAATATTTAAATAAGGTTATGCCCTGAAAAATGATAAGCAATATATAAAGCGACTATTAATGTTATGATGCTCTGTGGGTAAATTGGTTAAAATATGTATGAAGCTACATTCCATTTCTTGGGATACATAATTGGCAGTGAATTGTTTTCATTTTAGATATTTTCATTATTTTTAACTCCATGAGTAAGTATAGTCATTCCCAGTTTAAAAAATAATATTGGCCCATAGATGATTGAAAAGGGATTAAATATAATACACCTTTAGGTTGAAGAAAATGTTTTATATATTTAGTATATCCATATTTATATTAAAATTGTCATAAAACATAATTTCTAGTATTTCTATGAAGACAGAGTTCCAGGAAGTTAAAGTGCCTATGAGTAACAAAAGTCAAAATGCAGCTCTCCATTGCCAGATTTGTAAAGCAAACTAAGATTTTCCAAATGGTTAGGTGGATAAGTTTACTCTATAAATCCAACATCAGGTCTTAATATTCAGATTTTGGAGTAAATAGCAGACAACTTCATTTTGGCCTTAGACCCTAAATATTATTTCTAACAAAGTATACCAAAATCTTTCTATTGGCAAGGTAATAGGCACAATATGACCACTAATAAAACCAATGCTCTTATTTGATCCTTTTCTATTTTGTTGTGACATAAGCCTGAGGGAGAGAATTAATAAATGATTAAGTCCTCCACGCTTTCATAATTACCATGATGTGGTAACTGTAAATTCTTGAACCACTGTAGCCAGTGATTAAGTATATATTGTGACACTAAAAAGTATTGTGATATTGTCATTTCTGCCATATCAGAGATATGATGATTAATTTTATCTGTCAACTTGAGTGGGTTAAGGGATGCCCAGATCACTGGTAAAACATTATTTCTGTGTGTGTCTGTGAGGGTGTTTCTGATGGAAATTAGCATTTGGATTAGTAGATTGAATAAAGGAAATCTGCCCATGCCAATGTGGACAAACTCCATCCAGTCCATGGAAGGCCTGCCTGAATAAACAAAAAGGATGAGGAAGAGTCAATTTCCTGCTTCCTTGTGCTAAGACATTCATCCTCTTCTGCCATGGTGATCCTGGTTTTTGGAACTCTGGCCTGGGACTGGGACTTAGATCAGTGCCCGCTCTCCCCACTGTAAGTAAGACCATTGGTTCCCTTGGTCCTCAGGTCACTGGACTCAGACTGAATTAAATATTGGCTTCCCTAGTTCTCCCGCTTGCAGAAGGGATATCACGGAACTTTTTGGACTCCATAATTGTGTGAGCCAATTCCCATAATAGATCTTCTTTTTATACCTCTCTATATCCTAATGGTTCAGTTTCTTTGGAGAATGCTGACTAATACAGAGATTTATATTCATTGTGAACACATTCTAGATCTATTTATATTTTCTTCTAGGAACCAGGATAAACCAGAGTAATCCATAACAGAACAGTGTTCTTTCTCCTCATGACACCCTACACAAATATGTACAAATATGTGTGCTTCATACTATAGCAAGGGAATAGAGAGACAAAATTCCAAAGCAGCTAGGAAAAGGTAAGACTCTAATGAAATATATAGAGTAGCAGTTTAACCACAAAGAAAAATAAAATATTTCCCTCATAAAATATAGTAAGCAAGATAGCAAGACATGGCAGGTGTTGAACAGGATAACTGAGAGAGCAAAGCCTTCTAAAAAATGCAATTGATTAAAAAATAAAATAATTAAGAGTGTGAAGTCTTAATGCACCCAAGATTTTAAAAATAATACTGTGACTAGTAATAATGGTCCTGCAATAACAACAACAACAAAACAACAACATCTATTTTTGCATAGACTAATATGTAAAAAGGAACTCAGAACCTAAAGGAAAGGCAGAGCAAACATAGCCTGAATGGCACAAGAAAATAAATCTAACCCAGATAAATAATGCTTTTAACTATATCTGATTTCATGTCTAGAAGTATGAAATTAGAAATTGATATATACTACTTGCAAAGCGGAGGTGGCAGGATGACTTGAGCCCAGGAGTTGGAGACCAGCTTGGGCAACACAGTAAGATCCTGTGTCAAAAAAGATAAATTGACATAAGCAACTGAGGAATACTTAGAGTCTGTGATATAATAACTATACTTACGTTAGTAGAGGAAAAAACAATTTATATTAATTATTTGGTTGTTTCTGTGAAGTCCAAAATTAAATAATTTGAGAAGTTGAATTTTAATGCATGGAATGTTGCTACTCACACAGAAAATGTCCATAATAGGAATTACTTTAGAACAATTTTTAAAACCTCCTAAAATGATTTATATTTTTAAAGCAAATTGGCCACAGAAAAATATTACAAATACAGTATTTTTTCCTAGATATATAATCTCACTTTGAATGTCCTTGAAGGATACTTTAAAATAGGGAACAAATTCATCTCCATTCACTTTATTTCCTCAGTTCCTCATTAGAAAATGTATAACGTGAGCTGTTCTCAATGACTATCACACAGACACAAACACACACACACGCACAAACACGTAAATAATAAAACTAGTTCCATTGGGACCTCAGTACATATATCTATGCATAGTGGCAGCTGGTCTTTGGCTTTTGACGTCAGTGACTAATTTCTGCTTATTTATTACTTGCTGTTCTGCAAATGCACTAAGACAAACATTCAGTAAACACTTGGTAAGTAGCTAAGTACTGAGTAACCACCATAATCTAATGTACTCATGAGATTTTGCTAAAAAAGTAACACAAAATATTTTGCCTTGTGTATCCAGAAGTTTTTTGCCAGGTATAGCTCTGTCACTAATACAGAGTTCAGACCTGTAAACCAGCATCTTATAGAACTCACTGAGTAATTCCAGTAGTTTGTCAGTGATCTTCATTAGCATTTAGTTTTTTGAGAAAATTATTATATTATCTGCCAATAGTGACACCTGTAATGCTTGCTTTAAAAAATATCCATGTCTCTGATATACAAATGCAACTCTAGGGTCGCGGGTCACATTTTTGCTTATGGAAGATTTTTAAATTTTTGTGACAAATTTTAAGCAAGTGATGGTAGGTGTTTTGAGGAAGGGGCTGATTTTCCTTATCTATCCAATTTGTTTGAGGCTGGTCTGAACGATTGGGTGGGTTTAATCTCTTTTTCTTATTTCCCTCTACATTTTATTTGTACTATTTCATAGCTTTTATATTCTTCTTTGAGTGATATTTATTTGTGAACTTTTAATTTTTACTTATAAACTGGAAGTTTGAGTGTAGAGTTTGTGTTTTTTACTTTCCTCTATATTCCCTGAAATGTTGGTGACATCAATTTTACATTTTAGAGGTAAAAAATTTGGATAAGCATAATTGAGTGCATTTCAGTTGAAATGGATGTTGGTTGGGAGAAAGCAATGCAACCTATTAGCTACAGCCAGACCATTTTCTCAGATCAGATTTGTTTCCAAAGCTCCCTCATTATTCCCTTTTCCTCTTTCTGCAAGATAAAGAGAGGAGCTAATGAACCCTTAGCAGTCAAAAGACAAATTTCCTCCTCAAAAAGGATAGCACTGCTTATTCACAGGGGCACACTGTGTGAACCAACCCTACTCAACCCACCAATAACTTTGTGGACTGGAAATACCTCTGTTCATTAACACATAGGGAGACTTGGGCCAGTGCTGTTACTGGCACAAGCATTCCCATAATGATGAACTTTCTTATTCTCACAGCATCTTTTCAGTAAAGCTTGTTATTTCATATATATTTTTTTATTTTCAAATTAGTTTGTTGGTCAAAGCCTCAGAACACATGAGTGTTCCAAGAGTGGCTGGCAGAGATATCTTTGGATTAGAAATAAGTGAGGTATTTTTTATGCGCAAAAAAAGTTTATTTTCAATTCCAGCAACTACACATGCTGTAGTCTATTTTATACTCACATTTATTTCAGATCAAAGTGTCATCTGATGTAGAGCAGTTCAGTGGGCTGTGCTCTTTTCAGCCTGACAAACAGCAATTTTGTGCAGTAGGAAGTTCTTATTAAGCTGTGGTGGGTTAGGGACTCCAGGGATAAGAGAATTTTCCTAAAAGATTGGCTGAAGCATTTGTGTTAGCTTAATTGTACATTTGCCCTTTGACTAAAATTAGGGATTAAGTCCCTTCCCTGGGAACTGCATCTTAAGTTAGTAAGAAGCTAGATGGCACATTCTAATTAGATCTTTTATATTTCATACTGCCATGAGGTTTTTACCTTGACAACAGCACACCGTTCCATTATGCTCCGTTTTAGAAAAGATTTTCCCTTCATACTTTATGTAAGGCTGCCTCTGTCTTATATTAATAGTGGCTCACCAGTTGTGACTGTACATTGTGTAGGAGGTTGGCTAGCAATTGAGTTGTGGTTATGCTACATAGCACCTTTCCCTTTCCCTTATTTCATTTTGTCAACTTCAACACAGCATGGCTTTGCTTAACAAAGAACTTTCTGAGGGTCTCAAAGCTGGTCAGGTGGCTCATTAATAATGTCTCTCAATGTTTGCTTGATCCAGTTTGGGCAATACTTCAGAATTCTCAGCATCACCTGAAAACATCTTCAATTTTTGCATTGTTTTGTCAAAATAACATTCTTGAACAGAAATATCTGTTACCATAGAAGCTAAGATTATATGGTTTAACAGCATAAAAAGAACTTAACTAAAAAAAATGGTGATGGTATTCAAAACTACATATAATATTATGTTCCACTGTAATATATGCTTTTTTCTTAGTGAACAAGAGAGTACTGATTATTAAGGATTATTTGTGGGAACAGTACTCATTTTGTCTTTTTTTTTCCTTCTCTTGGAATTTTTATTGTTGCTGTTGTTCTGGATCCTTTGTAACCTGTTCCCGGGAGAAAAAGGAGAGCCACATTCTCATTGAGTTATAATCTCATGTTTCCCAGGTACCCAAATCCTCCCACTGATGCTTGCTTGTACTTCATGACTGAGAAATGAGTCACCTATACACATAACTAAGAAAATGACATGCTGTTTTGCAGTTAGGCAAGATTTCCTGCATAATGGTCACGTAGAAACAAGAAATTATTTCCTTCTGCAGAAAAGAATTCTTTATTTGTTTTTAGTTTAATTTCTTTTGAAACAGGGTCTCACTCTGTTGCCCAGGCACAGATCACTGCAGCCTTGACTCTTTGGGCCCAGGTCATCCTCCCACCTCAGCATCTTGTGTACCTGGGACTCCAGGCACGTGACACTAAGCCCAGATAATTTTTTGTAGAGATGCGGGGTTTCACCATGTTGCCCAGACTGGTCTTAAACTACAGGGCTCAAGTGATTCACTAACCTTGGTCTCCCAAAGTGCTGGAATTAAAGGTATGAGCCACCACTCCCGGCCTAAAATAATTTTTAACTTACAATCTGTAAAATAAGGAAATGAGAAAACTAAGTTCTAAGATCCCATTTGGAACAAACATTATATGAACCTATAATTATGTCTTTCTCTAAAATAAGAATATATTACTAAATTGTATTTTTTCTAGGAAACAGGCAGCAGGCTGAAATCATAGAAGGAAATAGAAAGAAAATATAAAATGTCTGCTTCACTATTAATTAAAACGAACACTTAAAAATCTTTAAATTGGACTTTTTCTTAAATGTGTGAAGGCAGCATATATCTCATTCTCTTTCTGAGGCTTTCTATGGCAATTCTCCTCTATGAGGGGCAATGTGAAATGCATCAATGCTGCTAACCCTTTAAGCCTATTCCCAAATGCAGGGCTTATCTTCTAACCAGGCTATGGAATTATTTCCCTTTGTATTATAATAATTTATATAGAAACTTTTATCTCTTTGAGTTTTAATAAGTTGAGTTTATGACTGATATTTCAGACTCTAAAATAGAATGCATTTTATGGCCTTCAGGCATAGTTCTTATACAGCAAGATGAATAACAAAATCAAATGCTTGTCATACATTAAAGTTGAACACAGTTAAAAGTGCTTTAGATACTCAAAACTTACCAGAACTGATGTTAGCACAACAGTGGAAGTAAAAAATTGCATTCCTTTAAAATCTTATTTGTGATATTAAGATGAATCTATATTTCTTAACTCTCTCATACCCTTTTATATCAAGGGCTTTTGCAATATGTCACTTATATAGTGATGGAGGTCTCAAGAATTTCCAATTGGTAAAATAATTCACATGTTATTACCTAGAATTGCAATCTTCTTATCCAATTTTGTACAATTCCTTAAAAATCTATGTAAGAAACCATCATAATAGGTTTACTGTGACTTAAAGAATAAAAGAAAAGTAACCCAACATGTAAAATACTTCCAGGAATACTACCTTCTTTGCAATAGTATTTATTTTTCCTTTTCAACTGTCAAATGGATCTAGAATTTTGACCTGTCCTTCAATAACTGCAGTTCCAGATGAATGAAATTATGATAAGAAAAAAATAACATTTTAAAACATGTGTTTTAAAAATGTTTCTATAACTACTCAAATAATAGAGGAACACAATGTGGGAAAAATGTCAAACCTTCCCACATTGTAGTGGGAAGTGAAAATAGCATTGTACCTTCATATAATCCTATTTTCCTCCCTAGAAATAACCACTGGTATAGCCTAGTTTATACATGTCCAGACCTTACTGTATTAATTTACAAACACCACACACATAAACACACATGCTTTTTGATACCCTGTTTCTAGTAGAGATTTTAATGAACCAAATTAGATACGTAATTTTCTCTGAATTGCATTTGATGTCAATATGACTTGGAGATTTGCTCGTGTCAGTCTGTTTAAATTTACTTATTTCTTTTAAAATATTAAACAGAATTCTGTGGTATATGTGTACTTTATTTTACTCAATCATCTTTTTTGATGGCATTTTGTTTGACTTCAAGTTTTTGAAATTAAAATGTGTTTTTAAATCTTAGACTTCTAGAAGTATTATTTTTTTCTAATTCTTTGAAAATACAGCTTTTCTTGCATTTATTACTGAAATTTATGTTTTTAATATTGCTTGAGAAATATTTCTGACTTTTAAAATGAATATTCAATTTTCTTCACAACATTTATCGGGTAGCCCATTTTTAACTAAGTATTTGAAACTTCATCTCCATCCTACAATATTTTTCAATGTACGCAAAAACCACTTTTGGTCTTGCTGTAAACCTACTAACAAAAACTCTGTAACCTAAATTATCATTAGCTACTGTCAAAACTCCATTAAATGCTGTGCAGATATCAATGTCTCAGTGACACATGAAGAATATACTTTCTTATAATACAGGTCTTAAATTTATCTCTTTATGGTTCAGCTACTGAGACCTGCCCTCCTCAATTCTTTCAGATATTTGAAAATGATTTGAACGTGGGGATAAGCTTAGGGTAATTAGGCATCCAAGAGCAGTTTTCTTTAAGGCCTGTACTTTGCTTTTTTGAGTCTTCTCAGGATCACTTCCTCTCTCAGAAATTAAATGCTATTCTACTGCCCCCAGCTACCTAGAAATATGTGTGAAATCCATAGAGACCTCCTACAGGCCGACCGAGTTCACTTGTCCATGCATCCTTCATTTAATTAAACATGTATTGTTCTTATGCTATGTCTAAGGCACTTCAAAGTAATAAATGTTATATGACATGTTGATGCTACACTGCCCAATTAAAGGGCAAATGAGAAAGATAGAGAAGCAAGGATTGTAACACTCCTGGGTCTAGCAGCATATCTAATCATTACTGCATTGTTAGGGTTGGCTCGCCAAGGAATAGAAATTGCAGAATCCCTTATATGGGAAATAAAATAAATTTTAGAAAGGAGGAAAAAATGCACAAGAAAATTAGAAAAATAATATCCACGATTGAGTATTAGAGAAAGCACATGTTAATTACTTATTTTCAGGATGGCAGCTCTGCCTTTAAATCTCAGGATTACTAGAAAGATGAGATGTAAATGCTAATACATACCAATTTAGGGGGAGAAGATGGGATTCATCAAAACCAGTTAGAAAAACTGACTAATAATTGTGTTGTAAAAAAAATTCAAAAGGATTGTAATGGGAAAAAAAAATGAGGGTTCTTATCTCTGGGAGCCCTTATATTCATTCTATTGGAAGTTTAAAACGTAATCTAAATTAAGGAACATGCATTCTATACATATTCTTCTGATTTTCTCTAACTTTAAAAAATGCCTTTAATTATCCTGTAAAATTTCCTGTGATCACTTTCCACATCTTGTCAATTTTACCAAGGGGAAGGGGAATTATAAGAAAAAGAAAGAACTGGAAGAAATTGTAAGGCAAGAAATGACAATTCTACAACCTGATTCCCTCTGACTAGAGGCATTCTCATTTATGCAGCAAATTTATGTGTGTGTCTGTGTGTAAGCATATATACATAATTAGTTGTCTTCTTGTGTTAGGACTAATTTAATGCTCTAGTTTCTGCTGATATTGGAATCGTTACTATTCATGTGTTATTTCTCCTATTTGCTTTCCTATATTTATTTGAATTTTTTTCTTATCATTGAATTTTGAGTTTTTTTATATTTTGATACAAATCATTTTCTAAAATATGTGATTTGCAAATAGTTTATCCTAGTCAGTAACTTATTTTTTATTTTCTTAACAGTGTCTTCTGACAAGCAAAGTTGTTAGTTTTTATGAAGTCTAAGTGGTCGATTTTTATTTTTAATTTATTCAATGTATATCAACAGAAATGTATTCAATTTAAATAACTTATGGAACTGAGCTTATGATGTATTATCTAAGGTTTACATACAAAGTCTAAGGTCATAAATATGTTCTCCTATGTTTTACTCTAAAAGTTGGGGTGGTTTCAGTTTTTGCTTTGCTTCTAAGCCTGTAATGCATTTTGGGCTCATTATTGTACATGCTGTAATTTTGGGACCAGCTTAATTTTTTGAATATGGATATTCAAATTTTCAGCAAGAATTTTTGGTAAAAACTATCCTTATTTCACTAAGTTGCATTTGCAACTCTGGAAAATAGACTTACATGGTTATGTCTATTTCTGTTCCTTTGACTTGTCTATTTAGACACCCATACCATCCTTTCTTTCCTGGAGAAGCTTTAGAATAAGTATTGAAATCAGGCAGTGTAATTTATCCAACTTTGCTCCTTTTATTTCAAAATTGATTTTAACTATTCAATTTCCTTGCCATTTCCACATGAATTTTAAAACCAGCATTATTTTATTAAATATCTGCTGCAATGTTGAATACAATTGCCTTTAATTTATAGATTGATTTGGGGAAAATTGATATCTAAATAATATTAGTCATCCAGTCCATAGACACATAAAGTTCTTCATTTTTCTTCAAATTTCTCTCTGAAACATTTTTCAGTTTTTACCGTATATGCTCTTCAAATATTTTGTCAGCTTTATCTCTAAGTATTTCATTTTTGATGCTCTTGCCTATATATATAGAAAGAAATTAAAATGTCTCCGTGTGTATGTATACACACCCAAATATATACACACACATAGAAACATTTTCATTTCCAATTGTTCATAACTAGTATATAGAGACATAGTTCATTTCTCTATGTTACTTTTACATAGGTTTAAACTCCATGATAGATTATTTTGTTTCAATACATTAATTGTATTTGTAACATTTCATATAACAAGGAAAGTGTCTTTATATTTACCTACGTAGTTTCAATTTCTGGTGTTTTTCATTCCTTTCTGTGGATCTGGAATCCCATTTGGTATCATTTTCATCTGTCTTAATGTCTTTGGCAGTTTTTTTGTGACTAGGAGGGGTGTGGCAAAACATTCATCAGGAACTACCATCTGTCCCTAGATCTTGATTCACACCGAAGAAAAGCCATCTCTACAACTATTGGCTGTGGTCAAAAATGCCAACGTCTTTGGCATTTCAGGTAACCTAGATCTGTTGGTAATACAGTCTTTAAGTATTTGTATGTCTGAAAAGTCTTTATTTTGCCTTTAATTTTAAAATGAATTTTTACAGGAGACATAATTTTAGGTATATCTCTTTTTTCCCCCTCAACACTTTAAGGAATATATCTGATCCATTGTTTCTGACAAGAAATCACATTTGCTGTTTGTTTGTTTTTTTTACTGTAGCCCACAGCTGCTTTTAAGATTTTGTCATCACTCTTTAGGAAATTTGCTTATGATATATCTTCGTGTTTTGTCTAGTTTTGATTTCAGACTTGTGCTTGAGGTTCTTTGAGCTTCTTGGATCTGTGAGTTTACAGTTTATATCAAATTTCAAAAGTATTCAGCATTATTTATTAAGAGTTTTAAAAATTCAAAATTTATGAATAGCTTAATTTCACATGTTCTCAGTCCTGTAGAGTTGTTCCACAGTCCACTGATGCCCTTTTATTTTTTCAGTCTTTTTTCTGTCTGTGTTTCATATTGGATATTTTTAATTATTTATGTATAAAATTTATCAACTTATGAATCTTGTATTCTGCAATATCTAATCTTATGGAATCTTTTGCTGTGTATTCCAAATTTCAGAATGTTTTTTAGAATCTCTAGAAATTTCCTTTGGGCTTTATTTTCTACGTCAGTGATTTTATTTTTATTTATCTTTTTTTTTTTAGAGACAAGGTGCAGGGTAGGGGTGGATGTCACTCTGCACCCAGGCTGGGGTGGAGTGGAAGAATTATTGCAGCCTCAAACTCCTGGGCTCAAGGGATCCTCCCACCTCAGCCTCCCAAGTAGCTGGGTTTAGGTGTGAGCCACTGCAATAGTGATTTATAAAGGAAAAAAACATGCTTCTGACAGGAAATAGCTAAGTTCCTCAGTCTATAGTTCTTTAAACAAAGCAATCTGAGATTTAGCTGGGGGTAAGTATCACAACTGCGCAGAGCACCTTGTCTTCATACAATTCAGTGACTCTCCATTTGTAGGCAAAGATAAGCCTTGTTCCTGTTTTGTTTAGGAGGGATATATGCAATGACATGAGAAGCAAAACTATTTTCCATAAGATTGTTTTATTTTGGTCATTTTATTTTCCTATCAGAATCATGTACATGCATAACTACTGAGACTTTGTTTCATTGCAAACCTTTGCCACCACCAGCATGTTCACACATAAATGAATGCTCCGCTTCATGAAAAGAGAAAATATGGTTCTGGAGTTTAAACAGTTGTGAAGGTTTTACCACAGCCTTCTCTTCGCCATCAGCATACATCCCTTTTGGAGGCACGAGTTTTCATGTGCTGCTTAAGACAATCTTTGCATTTGAATGTTTCCAGAGACATATTTCACATGTTTCCTCTCATGCTTCATGTGATACTGTCTCTTTGGGTTTCTCTCACATTTCAAGAAGCTCTGTCCATGGTTTTACCTCAGAGGAAAGTCTTGTCTGACACACAGAACCCTCTGAACCTTTCTCCTTCCTTTCCACCTGCTGGGTGAAGCAAAGTGTCTCCCACATCCTCCATGGTTTTCTTGAAGAGTGTTTCACCAATATACTGGCACTGAAAAATTTTCAGCTGCAATGTTTCTTAAAGCTCATGTTCCAAAGTTCAAAATTACGTACACATTATTTTTACTGATTTGATTCTGTTTTGAATTTTTGACCACAGCCAATAGCTGCAGAAATGGCTTTTCTTCTGTGTGAATCAAGATCAAGGGACAGATGGTAGTTCCTGATGAAGGTTTTGCCACACCCCTCATAGTCACAAAAAAACTGCCTCTTCCTCACCCTGTGTGTTTGCCCAGCATGCTTTTAGATTCTAGGTCCTGTAATTGGCAATGACATTGGGGAAGAAGGGGAACATCTCTCAGGAACTGCAGAGGTGATACAGGGTAGGGCTGGGCTCTCACAGTCTAAGGGGAACTACACTGCCTGGATCACCCAAGCAGACAGCTCCAGGGCAGTAGCTTCTGCACCAAGGATGGACACTGCCTGCTCCAGCCCTCAGGACGAACTCCAGATGCAACCTGAGTGCACTTTCAGGAGTGGCCCAGGGTTGGGTGTGTGGGAGTTGAGTCTTTTTTATATCTTCCCTAATTCTACATAACATAAAGTCTAATTCGGCCTTTCCTGTAGCTTGTTAAACATATAGAGTACAATTATAATACAAGATAAAACTTTCATTTATAATACTCCATCTGTGTCTTTTGGGGGTATTTTTCTATCAGTTGATTTTCATTTTATTGTGGGTTGTACTTTTCAGCTTATTTGCATGACTGTAGTTTTTCATCAAAAACAGACGTGAGGAATTTTATCTCATACTGCAAATTTTTGTATTCCAGTAAATACTACTGAGCTTTGTTCTGGGGTGCGGTTAGATTTCTTGGATATTGTTTAACTCTTCAGGACCTTTATTTAGAGCTGTTTTAGGTGGAGGCAGAGAAGCCTTTAGATTAGGATGAATTGTGACTCCTACAGATTCAAAAACTTTATGGATATTATTCTGAACAAATTTTGAAGCTTTCTAATTTAGTTCTTGGGAATAGGATTGATTCCCAGTCCCACGTGAGCTTGGGGCTTTTTCTCCTTAATACTTTCATAAATTTCTTACTAGGAATTGTTCCTCCTAATCTTTTTTGTTGTTGTTGTTTTGTTGTTGTTGTTGTTGTCTCTCGTATTCTGCCTTGCTAACAATTGCTGCCTTGGTCTCCTTGGTCTCCTAGATTTATCTTCTTAAAGAGACAAGAATACTAAGTTCCACATGGACTCGCCATCCTCAAATCGCTGGCTGCGTACTTTCTCCATGCAGTAAGCTGGGCCAACATATGACTCACTTTGTTCAATTATTTTCTCTCTCAGATCACTAACCTTAATTGTCTGATAACCTATGTCTTAACAACTATGGTTTCACATGTGGTAATGGTTTTATTGTTATTTTGGGGTAAAGGATAAATCTAGTCCTATTATTGTATCTTAGCTAAAAACATTTTAAAAGTTTTTAATTTAAGTTTTAATTAATTTAAGTTCATCTGTCTCTTATCTTTTATTATTTATAAATATTGTGTCCTATCAAAAAATATTTGCTTCCTACAAATATTTCTGCTCAATTTTTTAATATATTTTTTGTAGTTGTAACCCTTACACTTAGATCCATTATTTATACTGATTTAGTTTTGTGTATAGAATTTGGTAACATGTAGGTTCATTTTTATGCATTTAGATATTTAATAGTTTCATCAAAATGTCTTGAAAGTTCATCCTTTATGCATTGAATTACCTTGGTAGTTTTATGAAAAATTAATTTACCCTATGTGTGTTTTTCTATTTTGGCCTTCCTATTATTTTATACTAGTCTATATTTCTACCATTATATCAATACCACACTGCTTTTGTTGATATAGCTTTGCAATAAGTCTTGAAATCAGGTAATTTTAATTATCCAACATCGTTTTTCTATAAAGTTTAAGAGAGGCTTGCTGATTTCCATTTTGGTTTAGATGACTTTAAAATTGTAAATAAATTTAGAGAGATTTGAAATCTTTACAATATTGGGTCTTCTGATCCATAATGATACTACTGTTCTTAATTCACTTAGGTCTTCCATAATTTCCCTTAGCAATATTTCATACTTTTCATTGTGCAAAACTTGCACACTTCCTGTTAAATATATCCCTAAAAATTTCTTAAATTTGATACTGCTGTGTGGAAGTTGGTTTTCATTCATTTAAATATTCATTTGTTTATTGCTTGCATTCATCAACATGATAAAAGTATTTAATAGTTCTCAAAGCTTTTTTGTAGATTTTTTAAAAATTTTGTACATAGAACAGCATATCATCTGTGATAAAAAAAATTATTAAAGCCCTTATTTATTCAACTTTTGGTACTCTCCTACTTCTTCTTCTGAGACCAGTAGACAGTATTACACAATTTGATACTGTCACACTAACCAACAAGGCTCTGTTTGTTTTTAACTCTTATTTTTCTCTATGTTTCATTTGGATATTTTATATTGTTTTGTTTTCAATATCACTAGTCTCTTCTGCAATGTCTAATATGCTGTTAATCCAATGCAGTGTATTTTTCATTTTAGATATTGTTTTAAATGGATGGAACTTTATTTGAGCCATTCTACATATATCCTATGCCTCTCATCATTATATTCATCTTTTTCTCTACTGTCTTAAATGTGGTACCTATTTATAAATTTTTTTTAACATCTGTGGTTGATAACCCTATTATGTTGATAATTCTTGGTTCTGTTTCTAGTAGTTTATTTTTTTCCTGAATAAGAGTCATGTTTTTCTGCTTCTTTGCATGCCTGTTGAATTCTTGATTGGGTAATGAACATTGTGGTTTTACATTATTGGGTCCAGAGTTTTATTGTATTCTTTTAGTGTTGGACATTGCTTTGGTATCCATGTAAATACTTTGTCACCAGTTTAATTGTTTCCAAGCATGCTTTTAAGCATTTCTCTCAGATGTAACAGTTTTTTGCTGCCTATTGTTTACTGTCTGAAAACTGTACTTTCATATTTTTTGCATACTTTTGTTTTTATTTTTTAATTTTAAGATTGGAGGGAAAATCTATTCTCTCTTACTCTAGGAGAGGTGCAATTTATTGTTGTTTTAAAGCATTTTTTTCACTTAATATGGGATAAATATTGCTTCACGTAAATGTGCATTTATGGCATTACATTCAATTAATGATTACATCAGAATGTCTGGGTATTTTAACAATTATCAATTCAGAATTTATTTATCTCTAGGTTATTTATAATTTTCCAGAATTAAAAAAGTTTCAAACAGCATCATTTATTGAGAACGAGTTAGAAGTTGTTATGACTTTGTAGATATTTAATTATTTCCTATTTATTTAAAATTCTAATAGCACAATTTGATGGAAACAGTCACTGTCATCTTATTTCTATTTTCAGGGTATTCAGATAGCACATTGGTAAAACTGGGTAACTAATACATTGGCTAAAGGGTGATAACCAAATGAGTTAAGTAATGTACAAAGTCTTAAAATGTACCTAAAGCCACTAACATCAATTAAGAGCATGGAAATAAGAGGAAATACTTAAAAATATATTTTTTAAAATTTTAATTCAGCTTTTACTTGACTAAGTATATGACACACAGATATTAGAGAAAAATTTAATACCATTTACTGACACCATTATTTAAGTATTCTTTATTCCTTTCTGTCTGTAATCTGTGATGTCAGAAGCCAGGAGAGAGCCAAGAAAATATCTTGTAAATGTAGATTATTCTAAGTATCAAGTCACCACAGAGGTGAAAAGAGAGCCAAGTTTAATACTTCCTTCCTCTTTTTATAGCACCTCTCAATTACTTCCATGTGCAACTGATACTTTAAAAACTTTTACCTTCAAGTATTCACTTCTATTTTAGCTTTTGAGATTTGAAGTTGCTGCATGTCAATTTTTAGGCACCAAGAGGCTAATAGTAGAGGAATAAGAACATGATGTAAATGAAGGTCATATTTCCTAGATGTGTTATCATGTCATCTCCAAATTTAAGCAATTTTTATAGTTTCTTACAGTGAATCTGTGGTAACGCTGAAAAATAGAATTTTATAATCTGGGCTCCAATGTCTCTATGGCTTGAAACAGATACTGCAAATCTTGCCTAAGGTTTTAAAAGGAAAAACATAACCCAGAAATGAGATTATAGTCTGCAGTTATGGCAGCATTTGAGTAGCTTTTCTTATTTAAAATACAGAGAATACAATATTGACTGGCATATCACAGCTAAAATTTTTTCTGTCAAAAGACACCCAAACAATAAAGCAAGTTACCAGGAAACTTGTTTAAACGAAAGCCTTCAGAAAGATAATTGAGTAGGTGTAAAGTTGTTAAGAAGAAAATTAAGGCAAGAATGGAATACTAAGGTATCAGGGAGGTAGCAATTGCAGAAAACAACCACCATCTCTAGGGGTAAGGAGAACAAGTGAATAAGTTGAAATTATTAAAATTGAGAAACTTAGAGGAGGGATCTCCAGTATTGAAACTCATATCTCTGAGCGCGGAGTATGGTTCATCTGATACCGTGAGCTTGGAGGAGGGATCCGCTGGGGCTGCGACCAGACTTCTGGCAGGGAGCACTGGTTGGCTAGTGATGGTTCTCTGAGGGCAGAATAATCAGGCTTAATTGGCACGTGGTGGAAAAACTGCAAACTGGACTCAGCTGCTTCAGTGGCTAAGAACTGATGCTGCAGGTGAAAGAAGTTGCTGAGGTGAAATAGACAGGAACAGGAAGCGGACCGGGAGGAATAAGTCCCTTTTTCCTCTTTCAGCTTTCCTCTCTACCTCTTGTACCTCTCATTGGCTGAGCCTACCATGGAGTCAGATGGCAATGATGAATGTGGGGTGCAGAGTGCCAGCACCAGCATCACAGTTTCACAAGGTAGGATTGGAGCTGAGGGACAATAACCCTAAAACTGGCAGAGCAATCTGGTGAATTATCAAACTTTTGTTCTTTGATAATGCAATAGATGAAAACTTACAGCTCATTGTAGTTTTGATTAACATTTTTAAAAAGTAAGTACTGAGATTGAATACCCCTTAATTTTTATAATTGCTTGATTTTCCTTTCTACAAATTGTCTTTTGCTATTTCTTCTTCATGTTTTTCTTTGAATCATTGATTTTGTTTCTTATTCGTTAAAGAAATTAAGCCTTTGAATATGAGTTGCAAATACTTTTTCCCAGTCTGTCATTTATCTTCTGATTTATACTGGATGTTTTATGTATGCATTTTTATTTCTACAGAGTTGGATTTATCAATATTTTCCTTTGTGACTTCAGGGTTTTCCTTCACGTATAGAAAGACCTTTCCAACTTTGAGATTAAACAAAATTCTTCCATTTTTTTCTTAGTGCTTTTATGGTTTTGGTTTTAGGATTCAGATATTTGATCAACTTGGACTTTTTCTTGATATATAATATAAGGTATTAATCCAAATGTGTTTCTTTTTTCCTGCTTTACTAGTCAGATGTTTCAATACCATTTATTGAATAATCTATATTTTCTCCATTGATTTGAAAATTCATTTTTTATTATAATTCCTGTATGGTTTGTTTGTGTCCATTCCTGGACTTTCTAATCTGTTTCATTGATATGTCTATTCATGTGATAGCAGCACAGTGTTTGAATTACATTCTTTCCTTATTATCTTCCCTGTTTAGAATTCTATGTTCATTCTTGAATTTTATTTTCCCCATAGATACATTATAATCAGCTTGTCTAACTTTAGTTCCTGTTGGCCGTTTTATCAGGATCACATAAAAGTAGTAGATTAACTAAGGAAGAGCTGATATTGTTATACTGAATTTTTCTATTTAAGAACATGATATACATTTCAATATGGTTTTCTTCTTTTACGTATTTCTTATTAAGTTTATTACAAGATGTTTATTCTGCCTTTTTAAAAATTCTTATTTGTAACCACATGCATCTTGACTTGGTATCTTCCCCATACCCCAATTAAAAAAAAAATCTTTACAGGTACATGTTCTCAGGACCTCCTTGAGGGCTGTGTCACTGGCCATGGTCACTCATATTTGGTTCAGAATAAATCTCTTCAAATACTAAAAAAAAGAAAAAAAAAGAAAGATAAGTTATGCAAAACTCTTTTTCATTAATATAAACAACTCAGTTAAGTACATTGGGTAAGAAAACAGTTTTGACAAATTTAGCTGTTGATGAAAGTAAAGCCTTTGAGGTACAGAAAGATTATCTCAGGATAAAAGACAGAGAGACAATCGCAGACACATTCTCTCTTTCAGGATTTTAAGATTTAAGGCTATTAGTTGGAATAAAATGTGATGTATCGAAATGCAGTAACAGTCCTATAGATGATTCTAAATAATTTCCTTTTTCGGTTATCTATGGATGTAAAACAAACTATACCAAAACAGTGACTTAAAACACTAGCTATCATTTATTTTGCTCATGAATATGGAAGTTGCCTACACTCAACTGCAATTCTCATTTGTTAACTCATACATTCACATCAAAAGGTGTCTGCAGTCCTCATGAAGGCTTCTTCCCTCACATGTTTTGCACTAGAATGAAAAGATTCAAATATCTGGACACTAAAACCAGTGGAATTATTGGGTCTCTCTCTCTTTCTCTTTTTGTAGTCACTTTCTGTCGTCCTTTCATATAGTGATCATTTGGTAGCTGGCCTTTGTACATTGTAACAGAGAATCCCAGAGAGAACTACTGGAAGATTCATGGCATGTTATAACCTAACCTCAAAAGTCACTCAGAGTCATTTGCACAGCATTTTATTTGAGAATACAGTCATAAATACGCATCTATTTTAAAAGAACAAGCTTTATTTAAATCTCTTTATGGGAGGAGGATTAAAGGATTCATAGACTAACTTGTTCCCCAGTTGGATCAGTAAAAAAGAAAAAAAAATTAACAGACATATTTTTAAACCAAGAAGTTCACATTGAAATTGTTTTGCCTTAGAGAAACGTTATGGTGTTGGGAAAAATATAGTGGATGTAAGCAAACAAACATATTCACATTATCCAGACAACCAAAAAATGCTAAACTTTTAAAGATAATGAGCATATACTTCTGTAGCTAGCCTGCACTTTACCAGCCTAATCACCTAAAGTATAACTAACAATCCAGTAAGAGAAAAAAAGTTAAAGTAGAAATTATTTCCCAGAAATTTATATTTTACAAAAATAAAGTACTTTATGAAATGTTTCTTACACAATTTGGACCTTTGGGTCACATGTTTCAAAGCATACAAATTTTAATCAATGAACATCAGTTTACCATCACTTCAGTCTATCTTAATAGATAAAAAGAGTATGCAGTATTATATAAGGCTTAGGAAAATAAAAATATATTCCACATTTCTAGAAGAATATGGAGTGTATGTATTTTTTAATTTTTTTTAAAATTTATTTGTATACATTTAAGGGGTACAAGTGTAGTTTTGTTATACTACACAACATGGATATATTGTGTAGTGGTGAAGTCAGATATTCTAGTGTAACCATCACCCAAATAATGTACATTGTACCGATTATGTAATTTCTCATCTCTCACCCCTCCCCCACCCTCCTATGCTTCTGAGTTTCCATGTCTAATATTCCCCACTCTATGTCCATGTGTACACATTATTTAGCTTTCATAAATGAGAACATGTGGGATTTTACCTTCTGTTTCTGAGTTGTTTCACTTAAGATAATGCCTTCAGTTCTGTCCAAGTTGCTGCAAAAGACATGATTTCTTTCTTTTACATGACTGAATAGTATTCATTGTATACCATAATTTTTTGTCCAACAATTTGTTCATGGAAACATAAGTTGATTCCATGTCATTACTATTGTGAATAGTGCTGTGATAACCTGCAAGTGTAGATGTCTTTGTGATATAATGATTTTGTTACCTTTGGGTAGATAAATAGTAGTGGGATTGCAGGATCGAAAGGTAGTTCTACTTTTAGTTCGTGAGAAATCTCCATACTGTTTTCCACAGAGTTGCAGTAATTCACTTCCCCAACAGCCATGTATAAGTGTAACTCTATCTCCGCATCCTCACCAACATCTATTATTTTTTGTCCTTTGAGTAACAGCCATGTTTACTAGTATAAAGTGGAATCTCCTTGTGGTTTTAATTTATACTTTTCTGATGATTAGTTATCTTGAGCACTTTCTATATAATTCTTGGCATTTGTATGTCTTCTTCTGAAAAATGTTGAACATGGAAAGATGAGGATATGTAGATTTTTTTCTATTTATTCACTTTTTGGTCGTTTAGATTTTGGCTTCATTTTAACTATTTATTTTGAGATTAATTTTAGATTACAGAAGAGTTGTAGAAATAGAGGGAAGTACCTCTATATATCCTTCACCCAATGGCTCCCTATGTTAACATTTTACATTACCATGAGTATCAACACAAGAAAATAACTCTGGTACCATACTCTCAGCTAAACTAGAGAATTTATTCAATTATCACCAGTTTTCCCACGCATTGTCTTGTTCTTTTCTTGAATATAATTAGTTATTCCACAATACATTTAGTTATCATGTCTTCTTAGCCTCCATATTTGAAACAGTATTAATTTTTCCTTATTTTTCATGACCTAGTGTATTAATCCATTTTCAAACTGCTGATAAAGACATACACAAGACTGGATAATTTATAAAGGAATAAAGGCTTAATGGACTTATAGTTCCACGTGATTGGGGAGGCCTCACAATCACGGCAGAAGGCAAGGAGGAGCAAGTCAAGTCTTACATGGATGGCAGAAGGCAAGGAGGAGCAAGTCAAGTCTTACATGGATGGCAGCAGGCAAAGAGAGAGCTTGTGTCGGGAAACTCCATCTTATAAAACCATCAGATCTCATGAAACATATTCACTATCAGAAGAATAACACAGGAAGGACCCACTCCCATGATTCAATTATCTCCCACTGGGTCCCTCTGACAACATGTGGAAATTCAAGATAAGATTTGGGTGGGGACACAGCCAAACCATTTCATTCTGCCCCTGGCCGATCCCAAATCTCCTGTCCTCACATTTCAAAACCAATCATGCCTTCCCAACAGTACCCCAAAGTCTTAACACATTTCAGCATTAACTGAAAAGTCCACAGTCCAAAGTTTCAGCTGAGACAAGGCAAGTCCCTTCCACCTATGAGCCTGTAAAATCAGAAGCAAGTTAGTTACTTCCTAGATATGATGGGGTATAGGCATTGAGTAAATACAGCCATTTCAAATACGAGAAATTGGCAAAACAAAGGGGCCACAGGCCCCATGCAAGTCAGAAATCCAGTGGTGCAGTCAAATATTAAAGCTCCAAAATAATCTCCTTTGACTCCATGTCTCACAGTCAGGTCACACTGATGCAAGAGTTGGGCTCCCATGCCCTTGGGCAGCTCCACCACTGTGTCTTTCCAGGGTATAGCCCCTCTCCTGGCTTCTTTCACGGGCTGGCATAGAGTGTCTGTGGCTTTTCCAGGCACACAGTGCAAGCTGTCAGTGGATCTACCATTCTTGGGTCTGGAGGATGGTGGCTCTCTACTCACAGCTCCAGTAGGCAGTGCCCCAGTGGGGACTCTGTGCGGGGGATCTGACCCCACATTTTCCTTCTGCACTGCCCTATCAGAGTTTCTCCATGAGGGCCCTACTCCTGCAGCAAACTTCTCCCTGGGCATCCAGGCATTCCCATACATTCTCTGAAATCTAGGCAAAGGTCCTCAAACCTCAATCCTTCACTTCTATGCATGTGCAGGATCAACACCATGTGGAAGCTGCCAAGGCTTGGGGCTTCCACCATCTGAAGCAATAGCCCAAGCTGTACCTTAACTGCTTTTATTAATGGCTAGAATGGCTGGGATGCAGGGCACCAAGTCTCTAGACTGCACAGAGCAGAGAGACCCTGGACCCAGTCCACAAAACCATTTATTCCCCCTAAATCTCCAAGTCCATGATGGGAAGGGCTGCCACAAAGGTCTCTGACATGCTTTGGAGACACTTTCCCAATTGTTTTTGTGATTAACACTTGTCTCCTCGCTACTTATGCAAATTTCTGCAGCTGGCTTGAATTTCTCCTCAGAAAATGAGATTTTGTTTCCTATCCCATTGTCAGGCTGTAAATTTTCTGAACTTTTATGATCCGCTTCCCTTTTAAAACTGAATGCCTTTAACAGCACCCAAGTTATCTCTTGAATGCTTTGTTGCTTAGAAATTTTTTCCACTAAATTCCCTAAATCATCTCCCTCAATTCAAATATCTAGGGAAGAGGCAAAATGATGACAGTCTTTTTGCTAAAACATAACAAGAGTCAGCTTTGCTTCAGTTCCCAACAAGTTCCTCATTTCCATCTGAGGCCACCTCAGCCTGGACTTTATTGTCCATATCACTATCAGCATTTTGGGCAAAGTCATTCAACAAGTCTCCAGGAAGTTTCAAACTTTCACAAATTTTCCTGTCTTCTTCTAAGCCTTCCAAACTATTCCAGCCCCTGCCTGTAAACCAGTTCCAAAGTCGATTCCACATTTTCAGGGATCTACAGCAGCACCCCACTCTACTGGTACCAATTTACTGTATTAGTCTCTTTTTGTGCAGCTGATAAATACAATACAAAGACTGGGTACTTTATCCAGGAAAAAGGGTTTAATAGACTTACTATTCCACGTAACTGGGGAGGCTTCACTATCATGGTGGAAGGCAAGGAGGACAAGCCACATCTTACATGTGTAGGAGATCAGTCAGGGTGGTGGGAAAAATTATAAGAAAATTTCTAGGACAAGACGCAAACCCTCTTGGAAGGCCGGGAGGTTTTGCAAAGCTTCGGGAGAGAATAAAAGCTGAATGCAGCTAATTCCCTTACCCTGATGCAGAGGGTGAGAAGTAGATGCAAGGGAGTGTAAAGGAGTTTATCTAGATAAGTTTATTTACTTATGGTGTCCAGAAACTGACCTTTGATCATCCCCACGCAAGACTGCTCCTTGAAAGGGGGAATAACAATGTTAATTATCCACAGGTTGTGTTAGCTCCAAGCCTTTATCATAAAATCTGTACTGAATAAATACAAGCGACTCAGGCTTATCGAGACTGCACTCTCTCTTCGGCATCTCTAAGCTGAGCAGTCCCTTAGTCACGCTCACGCAAAATATCTGCATACTTCTTTCATCCATCGCTTGTCCAGAGTCTGCAGGACAGACACAGTATACATGGATGTCACCAGGCAAAGAGACAGTTTGTGCAGGGAAACTCTGCCTTTTAAAACCATCAGATCTCATGAGACATATTCACTATCAGGAGAACAACATGGGAAAGAACCACCCCCATGATTCAATTACCTCCCACCAAGTCCCTCCCATAACATGTGGGAATACAAGATGAGCTTTGAGTGAGGACACAGCCAAACCACATCACCTAGAAACTTTTGAAGAATTCTGGTCAGTTACATTATAGAATGTCCTCCAATTTGTTTTCTTCTGAAGTGTCTCCATTATTACATATACCTTATATATTATTGGAAACAATGCCACAACTCTGATATGTCCTTCCTACTCTCTTGTATTGGGTAGTTCTTGGTGAAGATATGTGTTACTGGTGATGTTAACTTGATCATCGGTTAAGGTACTGTCTGCAATGATTCTCCATTGTTACTTTTTTCCCCTTGTAAACATTTAATATTTTGAGAGGGACATTTGAAGCTATGAGATATCTCTTTCTGCTTAAATTTTTACCCACTAACGTTAGCATCATCCCAGTGGACACTGCTTGTGAAAATTATTAATGTGGGGTTTTAATACTAATCGTCTATTTTTATCATTAATTTTACATTTGTTATTCAGACTTATTCTGTCGTGAAGAGATATATCCCTGTCCTCCATTTACTTATATATTTAGTTGTTTGTATCATTATGATCCTAGAAATTTCTCTTTTTCAAGTATTTTGGTTATTTCAGTTCCTTAGATTTCCTATATAAATTTGAGTATAGTATTATTGATATCTACCAAAAAGCCTGAGAGAGTTTTGTTTGAGATTCCATCTAATCAGTGGATTATTTGGGGAAGAACTGACATCTTTACAATATATAAGCACGTACATCTTTACAATATATAAGCATGTATATCAATTCATAAGCACGTATATCAATTCATAAGCACATATATCTCTTCATTAATTTAGGACTTCTTCAGTATATTATTTCATTTTCATGCCTCTGATAAAGACATACCCAAGACTGGGAAGAAAAAAGATTTAATTGTACTTACAGTTCCACATGGCTAGGGAGGCCTCAGAATTATAGTGGAAGTTGCAAGTCACTTCTTACATGATGGCAGCAAAAGAAAAAATGAGAAAGACACAAAAGCGGAAACCTCTGATAAAATCATCAAATCTTGCAAGACTTATTCAGTAGCACGAGAACCGTATGGAGGAAACCACCACAATGATTCAAATTATCTCCCACCAGGTCCCTCTCACAACATGTGGGAATTATGGGAGTACAATTCAAGATGAGATTTGGGTGGGGACACAGAGCCAAACCATATCATTCTGACCCTAGCCTCTCCAAATCTCATCTTCTCATATTTCAAAAGCAATCGTGCCTTCCCAACAGTCTCCCAAAGTCTTAACTCATTTCAGCATTAACCCAAAAGTCCACAGTCCAAAGTCTCAACTGAAGAAAAGGCAAGTTCCTTCCACCTGTGGGCCTATAAAATCAAATACAAGCTAGTTACTTCCTAGATACAATGGGGTACAGGTATTGGGTGAATACAGGTCTTCTAAATGGGAGAAATTGGCCAAAACAGAGGGGCTACGGCCTCATGAAAGTCTGAAATTCAGTGGGGCAGTCAAATTTTAGTTCTCCAAAATAATCTCCTTTGACTCCATGTCTCACATCCAGGTCACATTGACACTCTGATCCAAGAGGTAGGTTCCCATAGTCTTGGGAAGCTCTGCCCCTTTGTCTTTGCAGGGTATAACCCTCCTCCTGGCTGATTTCACGGGCTAGCATTGAGTGTCTGTGGATTTTTCATGCACGTGATTCAAGCTGTCGGTGGATCTACCATTCTGAGGCCTGGAAGATGGTGGCTCTCTTCTCACAGCTCCACTAGGCAGAGCCCCAGTAGGGACTCTGTGTGGGGGCTCCAACCCCACATTTCCCTTCTGCACTGCCCTAGCAGAGGTTCTCCTTAAGGGCTCTGCCCCTACAGCACACTTGTGCCTGGGCATCTAGGTATTTCCATACATCTTCTGAAATGTAGGTGGAAGTTCCTAAACCTCAATTCTTGATTTCTATGCACCTGCAGGATCAACACCACAGAGAAGTTGCCAAGGTTTGGGCTTGCACCCTCTGGAACCATTGGCTTAGCTATACCTTGGCCCCTTTTTGCAATGGCTGGAGCAGCTGGGATGAAGGACACCAAGACCTAAGCTACACACAGCATGAGGACCCTGGGCCTGGCCCATGAGATCTTTTTTTCCTCCTAGGCTTTCAGGTCTGTGATGTGAGGGGCTGCCATGAAGATCTATGACATGTTGGAGATATTTTTCCCATTGTCTTGGGGGTTAACGTTTGGCTCCTTGTTACTTATGGAAATTTCTGAAGCCAGCTTGCATTTCTCCTCAAAAAAGTGGGGTTTTCTTTTATACTGCATCTTCAGGCTGCAAATTTTCTGAACTTTTATGCTGTTTCCCTTTTAAAACAGAATGCTTTTAAAAGCACCCAAGTCATCTCTTGAATGCTTTACTGCTTAGAAATTTCTTCTGCCATATAGACTAAATCATCTCTCTCTAGTTCAAAGTTTCAAAACTTTCTAGGGCAGGGAAAAAATGTCGCCAGTCTCTTTGCTAAAACATAACAAGTGTCACCTTTGCTCCAGTTCCCAAAAATTCCTCATCTCCATCTGAGACCATCTCAGCCTGGACCTTCTTGTCCAAATCACTATCAGCATTTTTGTCAAAGCCATTCAACAAATCTCTAGAATGTTCTAAACCTTCCCACATTTTCCTGTCTTTTTCTGTGCCCTCCAAACTGTTCCAACCTCTGCCTGTTACCCAGTTCCAAAGTCGCTTCCACATTTTTGAGTATCTCTTCAGCAACACCCCACTCCTATTACCAATTTACTGTATTAGTCCATTTACATGCTGCTGATAAAGACTTACTTGAGACTGGGAATAAAAAGAGGTCTAATTGTACTTACAGTTCCACATGTCTGGGGAGTCCTCAGCACCATGACAGGAGGCAAAGGCACTTCTTACATGGTGGCAGCAAGAGAAAAAATGAGAAAGATGCAAAAGTGGAAACTCCTGATAAAACCATCAGATCTCATGAGACATATTAGCTACCCTGAAAACAGTATGTGAGACACCGCCCACATGATTCAAATTGTCTCCCACTGGGTCCCTCCCACAACACGTGGGAATTATGGGAGTACAATTCAAGGTGAGATTTGGGTGGAGATACAGAGCCAAACCATATCATTCAGTTTCTCCCATAAGTAGTTTCTTTTCCTATTTCATTGGATTGATTATATTCCGGCTTGTATGGTATCAGACCATAATTTATATATTTGTTTATCTGTATTTAATTTGCTTTTTTGCCATGTTTGCTTTATTATTCTTTGTCTAATGTTTTCACCAGTTTGAACATAATGTACATACTTCTCTTTAAAAAACACCAATTGTTTGGTTCTGAGATTTGTGTTTTTATAGTTTGATGGTTGTCATTAATTCTGAAATATTCTCAGCCATTCTTTTTTAAACAATTTCTCTTGCCCTATTCTCTTTTATTTTCCTCTAGAATTCTAATTACACATAAGTTAGACCATATGGTATTTCCAGACAACTCTTGAGTGTTTTATATTTTTCTTTTTGTTTTTCAATTGGTATAATTTCTATTGTCTGATTTTCTGATTTGAGTTGATTTTTCCCTCAGGTGTGCCAAGCATACAACGACAGTCTTTATGTCTCTGTTAGTATGTTTTTAATTTCTAGTATTTCCATTTGAATTTTTTTTCTTTTGTTTGATTTGTGTCCTGTACTTGTGTTCTTTCAATAATTTATTTTTTTATTGGTATAAATTTTTCTACTGAAATTCCCAATATGATCCTGCATATTGTACACCTTTTCCATGGGATGTTTTAACATATCAATTATAACTATTTTAAATGCCCTAGCATAAATTCTAATATCTGTGTCATTTAAAATATGGTTTTGATTATTACTTGGTCTCTTAGCAGTGTGCTATCTCAGATAATTTTATTTGTCTTATAGGTTTTGTTGAAAGCCACCTGCAATCTGTTTAGGACAATACACACTGAAGTAAACAGTTTTTCAATGCTGAAAATGATTATACCTTTTCTCTTGAATGCCTTCAGTGCAGGAGTTCAAGCTAACTAATTAATTAATTCAGGTGATGAGCTGAGAAGAAGTATATTGTTGTTATAGTTATTATCTATGCATAATAGGATGCACATTCCTGTAGCAATACCATGTGTTTAGTGTATAGATTGGTTTGACCCTGAGTATTGGCCTTCCTTTTACATTGTGCCTCAGAGAGTGTTATTTTTTGCATGTTCTTATTCTTTTCTTATACTGCTCTCTGCAGTTCTCAATCATTACTTGTGTTTCAAAGCTGGGCGGCTTGGCTCCCAGTACTTGAGAAGCATTCTTAAATGGTTTGATCAAGCTTTAAGTCTTAGGCAGTCACAGTATCCTAGGTTTGGGGAATGGCTCCTACTTATTTCTTTTCACCTCCATTGGCTTAGTTCAGAATCCAGTTCATAGATCTTCACCTGATTCAGGAGTAGATATTTTTCCCATGTTTTATTCTAGATGCAATAAATTTTCTCCAGTATTCTAAAGGCAGTGGTGTATGTTGCCCACCTCTGCATAAATTAAGGCTTTTGTTCTATAGTGGATTTAGAGGAGAAGGGCTCAAGTGGGAGTCTTTCTTCTCTAACAGAACTGCTACTGCCCTCCTCTACATTTGATCTACAATGGAAACTTTCTTAGGACTCATTTGGATAGTTGTTGTGAATACTCAGTGAGATTGTTGATAAACGCTTTCCACAGAGTGTAAAATACCTCAATATCTATGACACCCAGGGCATTACAATATCCCACCAACTCAAATACAGCCTTCAAAAATTTGCATTATATATGCTGAGCTCCTGTTGCAAGTGCCCATTTATGTCTTCAATAAGTAAACCAGCGCTCACTTCTCTCTCCCTCCAGGTTTCTCTGCTCTCTCTGTAGGTTGCTGTCTCTAATGAAATTTTGGGGCAGTGGGTTGATCTGAATGAAAAACATGCAAACTGTTTTTCCTAAACTTTCACTCCACAGTCAACATAGAAGACTTCTGTGACTAAATGTGTAGGTATTTTTCCCCCACATGCCAAGAAAGCAATAAATTCTGCAACTGGATGTGTTCTAATTCAAGTCTGGCACTGTCTCCCTGGAGATATCATCAGATCCTACAGGTTGAGGGCTCAGTCCCACAAAATTGCCTTCCACTTCTGATGCCAACCATAAGCCCCAGGTTTTTTTTACCTGTGTTTATGATTGACCCACTATAAATTGGGGCTTTCACAGCACCTCTCTGGGTTCAGTTAATTTGCTGGAGTGGCTCACAGAACTCAGGAAAATGTAACTCAAGTTTATCAGTTTATTATAAAGAATAATACAAAGGATACAAATGAAAAGATGCATACAGCAATGCATGCGTGAAGAGGCATGGAGCCTTCATACGCTCCTCATGCATGCCACTCTTCAAAAACTTCTACATGTTCAGCTATCCAGAAGCATTCTGAATCCTGTTTTTTGAGGGGTTTTATGGAGGCTTTATTACATAGGCATGATTGATTAAACCATTTGCTGTTGGTGCTCAACTGAGCTTTTAGCCCCTCTCTCCCCACTGAAGGTTTAGGAGTGGTACTGAAAGTCTCAGCCGTCTAATCCTGCCTTAGTCTTTCTAGTGACCAGCCCAATCCTGTGGCTACCTAGAGGTTGTCAGCCACTAGTCAAGTCAGTAGCATAGAAAATTTTATAACACTGGATAGTCCAAGGATTTTATGAGTTAAATGTCAAAAAATGGGGACTGAAGACTAAATATATGTATTTCACAATATCACAGTTGCTCTGTCAACTTAGCTTTATAATGGGTTCAAAACTGGTCATGAATTTACAGTTTGTTGCATTTTATTTTATTGTAAATATGGGAATAAAGTACCTTCAACTTCTCAACATCTAGAGATGAAGACAGAAGTCTCATTTATTCACTCTTCTATGGTTTAGAATTTTAACAATAGCATATATGACATTAAAATAGCCTAGATATGTTTAAAAATATATACCTACCATAAATGCATCTGCTTAATCCTTTGTAAAAATTAAGGTACAATAATCAATGATATTTCTTGACTTATAATGAGAAAAAAGTAGTTTAAAAGGATAAATAAAACAAATATTTTAAGAGAACTCCTAGTGATGACAGTGTTTCTGACTAAAGTATGATGCAAACTAGTACATGTGTATGTGTACCAAGGGCAGGACCAGGTAAAATATATCTGCTTAGGTTATTGCTACATTTTGTGTAGATTTTCTGTGAGAAAGTTTCCTGAACTTTGCAAAAAAAAGAATCTGGAGAATGGAAGAGAGATGAAAGGACAAGTTGGAGAAAAAGGGTGAGTTTCCTGAAGAAAGGAAATCTGTGTATTGTTAAGAGTAAAGGATGGGAATGGTGGCTACAGAATTTCAAGTAAATTGTGGAATGAGAAGAACTAGAGGAAGAGGGTTTTCAAAGTGCTGTGAATTACAAGAAAAAGAGTAATAAAATGTTATTTCTGTGTAAATATCTTTTGGCTGATGGATTGATGTTTCTTTGACTGTAAGATTGCTTTCTGACTAGGCAATAGAGATTCCAGGATCTAATTTCAGAGTTAAGTGTTTACATGTAAATCCACCAAATATTTACAGTTCTTTTATGGAGTGTTAATTAGACTTTTCATTTCTTCATTTTACTGTTTTTATTTAATAAATTTTCTTGAGATAAAATATAATATTTTTATGATGAGAAAATCAATAAGAGCTATTTTTAGAAGTCAGTCTTTAAATTGAAGCCCAGCATAGTGTAGAAAATTAATAAAGAAATAAAAGAACAATACATACCAAAGTGAGAGGTCTGCCACCATCTATCTGGATGACCTTATATAAGAGAATAAAGTTCTTTAAGCTTCAGTTTTCACACAAATTAAATAATAACTTTAAATTGGGTTTGTTATTTTTCACAACTGTGCATCAAAAAACTCTAAGACCTAGAAGGTGGCACCAGGGGCCTCACCAGAAAGCCCCTCAGGACTGCTTCCTTGTTTGTTTGTTTGCTTGCTTTAACATTAAGTTTCCTGTTAATTTTGAAGTAATGCTACTAATGTACAAAATTAAACGTTAAAAATTTGTGAACGGAAGCAATTTTAAATCCTAAATTGATAAAACACTCTGAGACATTTTGTTAGTTTCCTAGAACAGCCATAACCAAGTACTACCACAAATTATGTGGTTTAAAAACACGTATTCTCTCAGAGTTCTGTAGGTCAGAAGTATAAAATTAAGGTATCTGTAGGCCTATGATCCCTCTAAGTTCTTAGGTAAGAATCATTTCTTGCAACTTCTTAGCTCTGCTGGTTGCCAGTAATTCTTAGCATTCTTGGACTTGTAGATTCCTAAATTCAATCTCAGACTCCATCTTCACACGTCATTCTTCCGTCTGTGAGCCTGCATATATTCCACTCTTCTTATAAGGGCATGAGTCCTACTGGATTAGGACCCACCTTAATCTAATATCACTTTATTTTAGCTTGGTTACATCTGCAAAGACCTTGTTTCCCAATAGAGTCACATTACAAATATGAGGCGTTAGGACTTCAACATATCTTTTAGAAGGACACAGTTCAACCCACAACAGATACTAATGGGGTAAGCATAACATAGCATGGCATGGCATTGAATGGCATGGCATAGCATAGTATATTTGTTTTGAAAGACCTATAGTAATTAAGATGTTTAAAAGATATATTCTTATCTGAGCCTGACACTTTTTAGCTATATGACCTTGAGCAAGACTCTTAGTTTTTCCAAAACTAATATCTTTATCTGCAAAATGCAACTAATAATTTTACCTATCTCATAAACTTGCTTGGAGATTTCATGAATTTATATATTTAAAACACTTGGAACAGCCAATGATGCATAGAAGATGCCCTGTAACTATTTGTCATTATTATATTTGTAATATATAATAAGTCTGTATAAATTAACTGCCAAGTTAGAGACTAACTCTTTAAAAAGGAAGTGAATTCAATGTGGAATGAAGTAACACAGATGTCCTCAAATAACACTGAGCTTGAGCCTTCAACTACCACTAGAGATTGGATAGATGAAAACAAATGTTTCATTTTTGTGAAGTGATGTAGATGAGCAAAAGTAATTATTTTCTGTTCTCTTTCCTTCTGTATTCAAAAAGAAACAATTATTTCTACTTGATTTCAATGTTTTTCAACATGAAAACATTTACTATTTCTTGTTAGAATTTGTCTTTAAAATATGTATTACAAATCATGAGTGTTTTATTTCTAATGGTATGTGAATATACTCTGCAAAAGAAAATAATGAGCTGGATATTTCTTGCCCATTCTTTAAAAAATTCTAGAAAATACAGGGTGGCGTCACAAAGATAGTCAGCTTTATAAACTAGTGTAGTATCACAAGTGTTGAGTAAATTAATAATTATTACATATGCATATAATTATGATATAATGTACACATACTTATATATCATCATATAATATACTCTACATATATAATTTCTATTATCTAAAGAAAGATTATGAGCAATTGGTTGTATACAATGACTTAATATTTTTCCATTTTGAGATTTAAACATATTCTCAAATTTTAAATTATTTTTTGAATGTTGATCAAAAAGTGTTCAGAAATGTGCTAGCAAATATGAGACATGGTTGTGTTTCCAAATCTTATATTCAAGTAGAGGGATATTTAAAAACATGAAAATACATATCACTCACGAATTCAACAGCAATGCAAATACTAACTGGAGGCATCACAGGGCAAAATAGCACTTCATAAAATGTTTAATGAGAGTCTTAGGAATTTCTATCGAAATCATATGAACTGCTTTTTCTTTCTTTATCATGGTAAAATACATATAAATTCTGCCATTTTAATTATTTTAAGTGTATTATTAAGTGGCATTAATTACATTCACAGTGTAATTCCAATATTGTCCAACCATGTCCAACAATCTATTTTCAAAACCTTTTTAACACTCCAAACAGACACTCTTTAAAGAAGTAAGCACATATTTCCAATTCCCCTTTCCCCAACTCCTGATAACTTCTAAACTACTTTCTCTCTTTATACATTTACCTATTTTAGATATTTCAGATAGATTGGAATATACAATATTTGCTCTTTTGTGTCTGTGTGATTTCACTTACTGCAATGCTTTCAAGGATAAATCATTGTTGTAGCATGTATACAAATTTTATTTTTTATTATGGCTGAATAAATATCCCATTGTATGAATATACCACATTTTGTTTATCTGTTAGTGGAAAGTGAGTTGTTTGCTTCTTTTAGTTACTGTTAATACTGCTGCAATTAACATTGGCATGGAAATACCTGTTTGAGTCTCTGTTTTCAATTATTTTAGGCATATATCTAAAAGTGGAATTGCTGGGTTGTATGGTAATTACATGTTTAAATTTCTGAGGGAATGACAAACTGTTTCCCACAGTGGCTGCTTTATTTTACATTCCCACCAGCAATATAAAAGGGTTTCAATTTCTTACATCTGCACTAACACATATTTTTTATTTGCTTTTTAATAATGGACATTCTAATGGGCATGAAGTGACATCTCCTGGTTTTAATTTGCATTTCCCTAGTGATTACTAATGTTCATGTGCATTTCTATTTCTCTTTTGATTAGTGAATATTTGAAAATCTTTTCATGTATGTATAGCCCACTTTTATATCTTCATTGAAGAAATTTTTATCAATTTACATTTGCCCATTTTTAAATTGTATTGTTTATTTTTGTTCTTGAGTGTAGGAGTTCTTTATATATTCTAAGTAAAAGCTTTCTCAGATACATGATTTGCAAATATTTTTTCATATTCTGTAGGTTTTTTTTTTTCTTGACAATGTCCTTTGTGGCACAAAAGATTTTAGTTTTGGCAAAGTCCAACTTGTCGATTTTTCCTTTGTTTTTATTTTTTATTGCTTTTAGTGTCATATATGAGTATCTGTTGCCAAAACCATGAACATAAAGGCTTATTCATGTTTTGTCTGAGGTATTTTATAATTTTAGCTCTTACATTTAGGTCACTGATACATTTTTAATCAAGTGGTCTAATCGTGTTCTTTTGTATGTAGAAATTCAGTTGTTTCAGCACCATCCATTCTGATAAACTATTTTTTCACCATTGATGGACTTAGCACCCTCGTCAAAAATCAGTTTGTCATAAGGATGTGGTTTAAACTCTTAATTACATTCCATTGGCCCATATGTTTATTCTTCTGCAAGTATCAAACTGTTTTGATTATGGTAGCTTTGTAGTAACTTTCCACAATAGAAAGTGTGTGTCCTTGAACTTTGTTCTGTTTTTCAAAATTGTCATGGCCTTGAGGGGACCCTTGCAATTCTGCATGCATTTGAGAGTTGGCTTTCCTGTTTCTGCAAATAAAGGCTTTTGAAATTTTGATAAAGAGTGTGTTGAATCTGTAAATTGATTTGATTTTTTTTGAATTGCTCATTGCTGTTTTAGGAACCACAACTAGATTTTGTGTGCTGATCTTGTGTTATATTTTTTTAATTTTTAATTTTTAGCTCAAATGCTTTCTGAATTCTGTGGAGTTCTTTTTTTATTATGTAAGATCAAGTTATCTCTGACTACAGACAATCTTATTTTTTCCTTTCCAATTTCAATGCTTTTTATTGCTTTTGCTTGTTTAATTTCTCTGGCTACAATTTCCAGTAAACTGTCAAATAACAGCAATGGAAAAAAGCATGTTTGCTTGCTCATTATCTTAGAGGGAAAGCTTTCAGTCTTTACAATGGCATAGATGGTTATTAGTGTGAGATCTTATAAATGTTCTTTGTTATTGTTTAGGAAGTTCCTTTGTATTCCTACTTTTCTGTTTTTATCATGAAAGAGTGCTGAATTTTGCCATGTGTTTTTTCTGAAACAACTGAGATAATCATTTTTTTCTTTTTTTTCTACTAATGTAAGATATTACGTAGACGGATTTTTCTATGTTGAACCACCCTTGAATTCCTTAGATAAATCCTGCTTGGTCATAGTGTATAGTTCTTATATGTTGTTTGATTTGGTTTGCTAATGTTTTCCTAAGGATTTTTGCATATGTATTTACAAGGGATATTGTTCCATGTTTTCCTTTTCTCGTGATGTTTTTATCTGATTTTGGCATTGTTAGCCTCATGAACTGAATTTTAAAATATCTCTTTATTATCAAGTATTTTTGGTAACAGTTTGATAAGTTTTTTTTTCTTTTTTCGATATTTGTCATGATTAACTACTGAAGACATCTGGTTCTGGACTTTTCTTTTTTAGGAGATTTTAGATTACTTATTGAATATCTTTAATTGTTATAGGTCTGATGAAATTTTTTATTTCCTTTTGAGTCAGTTTGGAAAATGTGTATATTTTTAGGATTTTGTAAATTTCATCTAGGTTAACTATTTGTTGCTGTACAATTGTTCTTAGCATTCTCTTAACATTCTTTCCTCTTTCTATAAAGCTAGTAGTTATGTCTCTATTTTTATTTTGGTTTTTAATTACTTGCACTACTTTTTTTCCTGGTCAAACTAGCAAAAAGTTTGCCAATTTGGTTGATCTTCTCAAACACCCAACTCTTGGGTACCTTGATTGTATTGTTTTTCTATTCTCTGTTTTATGTCTCCACTTTAGCCATTATCATTGTCTTGTTTCTGAAAGCTTTGGCTTTAGTTTTCATTTCTAGTTCCTACTTTGTTAATATTTTCCCTAGTTCCTTAAGATGTAAATTCCTTTTTCTAATTCCTCAAGATGTACATTTGGGTTACTAATTTGAGGTCTTTTTTTTAAATATAGGTATTTGCAGCTATAATTTTCCCACTGAGCACTACATTTGTTACATCTATTAAGGTTTTACATGTTGTGTTTTATTTTAACTCATCTCTAAGTATTTTCTAATTTTTTGCAATCTTCATTGACACATTCATTGATTAATATTCATAAACAAAAACAAATTTAGAGTTACAAAACAAAATTACAAAAATATTAGCTTCTATATTGTCCATATATTTACCTCTATTGGTGATATTTATATCTTTGTATTGCTGTGAATTACATCCAGTTTCCTTTCATTTCAACCTAAATAATTCCTTTTTGCATTTTTTGTAAGGAATGTCTAGTAGTAATCAACTTTCTCAGATTTGGTTATCTGAAAATGTCTTAATTTTACTTTATTTCTCAAGAATAGTTTTGTCAGGTATAGAATTCTTGGTTGGCATTCATTTTTTTTTCATTCAGCATTATAAATATATAATACCCATGCCTTTGGCCTTCAGGTTTCACTTGAGAAATTAGCTCCTAATCTTGTTGAGGATCCTTATATATGATGATGCATCATTTCTCTCTCACTTCATTCAAGATTATATTTTCTTTGGCTTTTAACAATTTGACTATGCTGTGTCTTAATGTGGGTCTGGTTAATTTTTATTATACTTGGATTTTGTTCATCTTCTTGGATTTGCATACACATGTACTTGATAAAAATGGTAGTATTTTTGTTTCTATTACCTTAAATATTCTCTCTGCCCCTATTTTCTATTTCTTCTAGTTCTGAGACTTTCATAATTTGTATGTTCTTGAATTGATAGCTTTCATCAGGTCACTTAGGCTCTGTTAAGTATTCTTTATTATTACTTTTTCTTTCTGCTCCTCAGAGTCAATAATTTTAACTGTCCTATCTTCAAGTTCACTGATTCTTTCTTCTACCTCCTCAAATCTGCTGTTGAGCCCATATAGCAAAACATTCACTTTGGTTATTCATTTTATCTTGAGAGGTTTTGTTTGGTTTCTTTGTAGCTATTCATCATTTTAATATTATTGTCTTTTTGTTTAGACATTGTTTTGTTAATTTCTTTAGTTTTTTATTTCTTTCTGTCTCCTCTCTTAGCTGTTTAGCATATTTAGAAGAGTTGTTTAAAGATTTGTCCAGTCCATCTCATGATTGGGCTTTCTCAATCAGTTTCAAATGCTGTAAGAGAAAACCATAGAATGGACATCTTAAACAACAGAAATTTATATATCACAGTTCTGGAGGCTGGGAAGTCTGAGGGTAAGGGCCTGGTGGATCCAGTGTCTTGTGAGGGTGTGTTTCCTGGTGGATCCAGTGTCTGGTGAGGGTGTGTTTCCTGGTTTGCAGATGGCAGTTTTCTAATTGTATCCTTTAATTTTAACCTAAAGAAGTTCCTTCAGCATTTTTTTATAGGGCTAAAATTGTGAAGAGCAGAGAGAATGAGTGAGAGAGAGAAAGAGAGAGATCAAGCTCTTACGCTTCTTCTTGTAAAACTTGTAATCCCACTCATGATGGCTCCACCCTTGCGACTTAATAATCTTGCAAATGCGCCACCATTTAGCTCCATCACATTGGAGGTTAGGATTTCAACATATACACTTGATGGAGAAACAAACATTTAGCTCATTGCATATTTTGTCAATTTAATATTTTTTCCTTTCAATAGGCAGGTTTTTTTCTGTTTATTTGCATGTCTTGTGATTTTGTTATTGTTTTTAAAAAGTAGACTTTCGAATGCTTTAATGTGGCAACTGGAAGTCAGATTCTCCCTCTTACTCAGGATTTGCAGCTTTTTTATTGTTGAAGGTTTAATAGTCCATATGTTTAGTGACTTTTCCAAATGATTGTAAAAATTGTATTCTTTGTCATATGTGGTCCCTGAAATCTCTGATCTTTTACCTTGTGTTTAGTCAATACTTTGACAGAGATTTTCTTGATTGTTATGAACTAAAAATAAGTAAATAAACAAAACAACAACTATAGAACAGAAAAAAAAAAAGCAAACCAAAACAAACTTCTCTATCAATCATTGCAAATTGGCTCTATGCTGGGGTACTTCAAATCTTTGCCAGGTTTCCAACTTAGTCTAGTTCCCAAGGCAAAATATTAGGACCTTCTCAGTTTTTTCTGAGCATATATCTTGCCCTGGTTATGCATGTGGAATTCTAAATTCTCCTGTATACACAGATGTTCCTAGTTTTCCAAAGAATCTATCACAACTTTACTTATTGAACTTTAGATGGTATATAAAAATGAGCAGCTTTTCCATACTACCCACAGAGGGGTCCATATGGCATTGTTCTGTATTCCTGTCAGTCCTAACTTAAAGTGAAACCTTCACAATGTCTGGAGCCCTTCATGTCTTGCAAATAAAGGAGGAGGACGTCCTTAAGTTCCTTGAAGCAGGAACACACTTAGGAGGTTTGTTGTATTTATATCAATAAAATATAGTAAAACAGTTTTTAAAAAATATATATATAGTATATATGTGTATACACATATATACACACACACATATGTCTTAAAACACACACACACACACAAACACACACACATACACACTGAAAGTTGAACTAATAAACAACAATTATCTGGGGCTAAAGTTACTCTCTCCCTCTCTCTCTCTCTCTACATATATATAAACACACACACACACCATATATATATACACACACACACACACACTATATATATACACACACACACCATATATATATACACACACACACACTATATATATATATAGAGAGAGAGACAGAGAAACCATATATATGGTGTATATATACATTGAGATATGCATATATATTGCATATATAAATATATATATGGATATATATATATGTGCAATATATGCCACTTTTTTTGGTCTGATTTAGGAAAAACAGAGACAAGTACCATATGTTAGTTCTTCAGGAAGCCCATTTGACAGCTCAGAACAGATAAACAGAATGCTTTATATATAAGGTTTGCTCTGCTTTTTCAGGAATTGGAGACCAAGGTCCCACACTGAAAACAAGAAGTTGCTACCACTTCAAGACTGCTACTGTACCAGGGAGGTGGTGTGATAAAGGCAAGTAAAAAAACTGAGAATTTTTTGTCAATTTCAACTTGCCTTTTCTTAACATTCACTTGATTGACACAAACATTTGACTGTTTTTTAGAATTTTGTCAAAGTTGTTTCTAACGATTCATGCTTATTTGTTGCTTCTTCTGGGGATGAAGGAGAGATTGGTATTGCCTACTCTACCATTTTGCTGATGTTACTCTGAGATATCATAAATTTGTTAAAAATAATTTTTTGCTATATTATGCCTACTTAAAATCTAGTGGGTGAAGATAAATCCTGCTTGGTCATAGTGTATAGCTCGTATATGTTGTTTGATTTGATCTGCTAATGTTTTCCCAAGGATTTTTGCATACGTATTTATAAGGGATATTGTTCCATGTTTTTCTTTTCTTGTGATGCTTTTATCTGATTTTGGCATTGCTAGGCTCATAAACTGAATTTTAAAATATCTCTTTATTGTCAAGTTTTTTTGCTAACAGTTTGATACTTTTTTTTTCTTTTTTTGATATTTGTTATGATTAACTACTGAAGACGTCTGGTCCTGGATTTTTCTTTTTTAGGAAATTTTGTGGCTCTATGTTTCCATGTATATATACAGATAATAACTATATATTTGTGGAATGCAATATGACATTATGATACATGTATACATTGTGGAATGATAAAATCAGGACAATTAACATATCTATCCCTTTAAATAGTTCTTTTTGTTGTGGTAAGAACATTTGAAGTCTGTTCTTTAGCTATTTTGAAAAATATATTACATTATTAACTATAGGCACCATGTTATGTAATAGGTCCCAGAATTTATTTTTCCTAAGAAATGATTCCCTTTCTTTCATATAGTTGCCAACACTTGTTATCTTTCATTTTTTTAATAGTAGCCATTCTAGCGGGTGTGAGGTAATATCTTGTTGTTGTTTTAACTTGCATTTCTCTGATGACTAGACATGTTGAACATTTTTTACATACCTGTGAGTGTGATAACAACTCACTGAAGCCTCAACTTCCTGAGCTCAAGTGATCCTCTCATCTCAGCCTCCCAAGTAGCTGAGACCATAGGCCTGTGCCACCATGCTTAACTAACAATTTTGTCTGCTTTGTATAGAGACAAAATCTCACTATGTTGTCCAGGCTTGAACTTATAGGCTCAAGTGATCCTCCTACTTTGGCCTTCAAAACTTCTGGGATTGTAGGCATGAGCCACCATTCTCAACCCTTTTGTCCATTTTCATTGAAATTTTTTTTCTTGTTATTGACTAGTTTGAGTTTCTTATATATTTTGGATATTAGCCCCTTATCTGATGTATGATTTGCAAACATTTTCTCTCTACCTGTAGGGTGTCTCTTTACTCTGTTAATTGTTTGATTTGCAGTGTAGAAACGTTTTAGTTTGATGGAATCCCATTTATCTATTTCTGCTTTTGCCATCTGTGCTATTAGGGTTATATCCAAGAAATCACTGACTCGTCTAATATCATGTAGCTTTTCTCCTATATTCTCTTTAATAGTTTTACAGTCTCAAGTATTACATTTAAGTCTTTAATTCATTTTGAATTGAATTTTGTATGAGAAGTGATATAAGGGTTCAATTTTATTCATATGCATGTGGATATTGGGTTTTCCCACAACTATTTATTGAAGAGACTGCCTTTTCCCCATTTTGTGTTCCTGGCACCGTTTTGGAAAATCAATTGACCATAAATGTCCATTTTATTTATTGACCCTCTTTCCTATTACATTAGTGAATGTTTCTGGGGTTTTTGTTGTTGTTGTTTTTTATTGTTTTGTTTTGTTTGTTTGTTTGCCTGTACAATGCTGTTTTGATTACTACAGTTTTGTAATATATTTTGAAAGCTGGAAATGTGATAGCTTGAGCTTAGTACTTTCTGCTGAAGATAACTTTGGCTACTTGGGGTCTTTTGTGGTTCCACACGAATGGTAATTTTTTTCTGTTTCTATGAATAAAGACATTGGAAATTTGATAGGAATTACATTGAGTCAGTATATCACTTTGAGTAGAACAGACATTTTAACAATATTAATCCTTCCAATGCATCAGCACCAGATATCTTTCAATTTGTTCATGTCATTTTTCATTTTTTTACATCGATATACAAGTTTCAGTACACAGGTCTTTCACCTCCATAGTTAAATTTACTAATTTACTGATATTTCATTTTTTGATGTTATTGTAAATTAAATTTATATTTTTTCAAGTCTTTTTTTCTTAGTGTATAGAGACACTACTGAATTTTCTAAACTAATTTTGTATCCTGCTACTTTACTATGTTCCTTTATTAGTTCTAACAGTTTTTTGGTGTAATCTTTGAAATTTTCTCTATATAAGATTGTTATAAGATGTGTGGAAATCAGAGAAAATTTTACATCTTTCTTTTCTATTTAGATGTTCTTTTTCTTACCTAGTTAATCTGGCCAGGACTTCCAGTACTACTTTGAAAAGAGGTGATGATAGTGGGCATTTTTGTCTTGTTCCTAATTTTAGAAGACATGCCTTCAACTCTTTATCACCCAGTATAAAGTTAGCTTTGAGCTTGTCATGAGCTAAGAAAGGAGAAAGAGAAGGGTAAAATAAGTAAAATTTATATACCAAGAAAAACGTTTACATTACAAAGTGATACGTGAGACTAAAAAATAATGAGGACCTTTATTGTGTTGAGAAACATTTGTTAACTTATCTTTATTCTTTTTTATTTTTTTCTGTATGCTCTTCAGATTGGATGATTTCCAGGGACCTGTCTTTGAGTTCCTGATTCTTTCTGTTGATTGAGCTAGTCTTCTGTTGAATCCCTCTACTAAATTTTTCAGTTTAGTTATAGCAATTTTCAGCTCTACAATTTCTGTTCAGTACTTTTTTACAGTTTCTATTGCTTTGTTGAAATCTTCAGTTTATACATGCATTGCTCTCCTAACCTCAATGAGCCTCTTTATGACCATAATTTTGAGTTTCCTGTTAGGTAAAAAACATATCTTCACTTCACTTGGGTAAGTTTCTAGAGATTTATCTTGTTTGCTTATTTTAAATATATTTACCTGTATATTCATTTTTTTTTTCACTGTCTTGGTGTCTGTGAATCAGATAAGACTACTGCCTCCCTCAGTCTTGTTAGACCGGTCTTTTGTAGGAGAAACATCTCACCTATCTGTCTGGCTAGAGATTTTAATGTACCTTTTAAATTTTTGTATTTGACCAAACTACTGTCTATGTTTTTGGTGGCTCCTTGGAGATTAGAATAGGCCACATCCTGTCAGTAAGTAAGGTACTTACTGACCTTACTCTGATAACTAAGGTAAAAGCCAACCCCTCTAGATGTAACTGGAAAGGTTGGAGATGTATTTCAGTTTTATCTATCCTCATGGTAAAGCTGAGCACAGGCTCTTATCTCCCTCTCTTTCTGCAGTAAGCCTGAGCAAGGATCTTTGTCAAATGCCTGTACTCATATTCAGTTTGTATGCTCTGATCTTGGGCAGATAGCTGCTGGACGTGAGCCCATTGTGTATCTATCTCTTTATTTTTTGTGGTCTAGGGCCACTCGCGAACACAAATATCCATTGAATCCCAGAGTTAGGTTGTTAAGAAGATAGTCCCTTGAGCAGAAGCTATGGGAGTTATGGCACTATGTGCTTCAACCATTTCTTTTCAGGATGAAAAGGTAGACCTGGATATATCACTGGAGCAAGCAGGAGGAAAGGCTCAGGAAGTTTCAAGCCCTGGCTAAGGCTATCAAAGGGTTACTATTTGTCTATTCTGTTAGCTCCTTGATACAAATTTATTAGAAGCAGGACATTAAGAAGACACTGAAAGAGAATACAAGAAACCTCTTTCAGAGAGAAAATAGAAACTATACATTCCAACCCTACATCTGCACTGCTTTAAGGGGGCATAGCCACTAGAAGATATTGCACATCATTTAAAAACTACCTCTTTGTTCTGTGATCCAGAGAGCCTTGGATATGCCTAGTTTTTTCTGCCCCCAGAGATAAGATGCTTAGGAGACAGCCCATCTGGTGGGATCCATAAAAGTTGGGGTACTTAATGTGTGGCTTAAACCATTTTCTGGGAGAAGAAGGAAACTTCATTTTTAAAGCCCCATTATCTTCAGCACCCTTGAGAGATGAAGCGCCTGGAAGTACTTGAATGATTGCTCACAACTGTACTTTTTCTTCTGTGTTCTAGAGAGACTTACATATGCGTAGTCTTCTCTGCTCCCACAGCTAGGAGGATTAGAATTCAATACCTTGGGTGGAAGCTGTAAAAGTTGGAGTGTTTGATATTTGGACAAACTCTTTCCAGAATGAATTGATAAACTTGATGTTATCACTGGGGCAAGCAGGAGTAGAAGGCTTGGAAAGTGCTGATCTGCTTCTCAGACTGCTGGAGGGTCACTGTTTGTTTGATCTTTAGGTCCTCAATGTATGTTAGGTAGAAGCCAGGCTACTAAGTATCCACTGCAACAGTGTGTCATAAACCCCTTCTGGGGAGAAACAAGGAGCTGTTTTTTCAAGCCCCTTCTCTGCACTACTGCTGGAGGATAGAGCCCCTAGAAGTGCTTGCACATGTATACAAAACCACTCATTTTTTTTTTCTTGTGGACAAGATAGACTTTTACATGGTTAATCTCCTTCACTCCCAGAGTTAGTGAATTAAGAACCAAATTAAAAGGAACCTTAGAGTGAGGGCATTACATGTGAGGTCCAAGCCCTCTTCTCCACAGGCAGAGCTGAGTGTTTGGGATTTCTCTCCTGTCTACGTGGTGCAGTATCTGAACAGGGCCTGTACCTGGGTGTGCCTCTGCTTTTACTACCCATTCCGTGTGGATGTTTTCTTAGCTGCTCAGTGAGTAGGAGTCTCTCAACTATTTCTGAATTTCTCTCAGATGGAACTGATACATGAGTAGATGTTTATTTGGTACATCCATGCTTGGAATGTGAGTCAGAAAGCTCTTTTTCCACCATTTTGTTGACATCTCCCATAAAGTCATTTTAATAAGACATTCACTTCATGAAAATATAGATAGACCTAGAAAATAATACAAATAAGGGTGATTTTTTTTTTCTAAGATGGCAGATTGGAGGAACTGTCAGTGTGTCTCTCCCACTGGAAGGACAGAATACTGTGTAGAAATTCACACTGTGAACTGTTTTCCAAGGAGCAATGCAGGAAATTAATAGGAAAACTTAAATAATCCATAGACCCTTTGAAACAAGTAACAGTCTGAAGCCTACTCTCTGAGACAAGAGAAAAACTGTAAGTCCACAGAGTGTGAGGAGAGAGAGACTGCCTCCAGGATATACATTTCCACTTGGGAATCTGAAAATCCAGCTCGCAGGAGACATTAAACCTACCCAGAGCTGGGACTGATTTAAGGAATGACAAGAAATCTGAAAGTAGAAGCAGCAGCAGGAAATACTTTGCAAGTATTCCCAGTCTCCAGTGAGGACTGAAGGAAGCCATTCCTGATTATATCTCATAAGAGACTTTGGGGAAGTCAGTCAACTAGCTCAGGGAGGGGTCACTATGATGACAATGAAGCTCCTAACTGAATTTCATAATATAATCTCAAGTGGGGATGAACTCCCTTGCCCAGAACCCAGGGGCTGAAAGGGAAGTATGCTCCAGAAACAAGCACAGGAACTGGGCACCCAGCCTAGTGCGGAGACAGGGAGGCCATGGTTGCTATCTCTGAAGGGTAAGCTTATGGCCTGGGCAGGTCTGAGTTCTGTGCACAGGCAGCCTGGGTCTTAACCTGGTGATGTTAATGGAACACTGTGGGAGTGAGATTGTCCTTGCCAACTGCATGGAAGCTGGGTGAAGCTTACAGCCGCCTGTAACTCCCCACTCCCTTTGCAAACTTTTCTGTGAAGCAGAGGCAGTTATACTCACCTTGGGAACACTGCTCCAGTGACCATAGAACCACCCCCTGACCCTCACAGGGGTCACAGCTTGCTCTGCTCAAGGAGAGTCAGAGTACAGACTCGACTAACCTTGCTTCTCCTGGTTGTGCCCATCCACCCACCCTGGTAGCTTAGCACAAACAACATAAACTTTTGGGAACCTTATAGCCCTGCTTATTGCCTAAGAAACCAGAATACTGAAGAGGTGCCACGATGGCCAATTAGAAGCAGCTGCGATCCAAGATACTAACAGAGAAGAATGAAAGGGGAGAATGAATACAGTACCTTCAACTGAAATATCTAGGTTCTCACATTGGGACTGATTAGGGAAACAATTTGACTGTGGACAATGAAGAAAAGCAGGGTAGGGTGATGGCCCACTCTGGAGTGACATAGAGCCAAGGGAATCCCCAGCCCTAGCCAGGGAAACCGGGAGTGATTGTGTAACTCCAGGAAACCATGCTTCTACCATGGATCTTTGCAACCCATGGATCAGGAGATCCCCTTGTGAGCTCATGCCACCAGGACCTTGGGTCTGACACACAGAGCTGTGTGGAGTCTTCAGATCAGCTGCTCATGCACACACAGAGACCATGTAGCTTTACATACTCCAGCGCAGGGATCCCCAACAAACATGTCTGCAACTCACGTAAGGCTGGAGGTCTGCATACAACCCTAGGAAGAGTGTAGATAGAATTCAGAGAGCTGAGTATCGTTCCACTTACATGACACCTCATGGGATAAGAAAACCTGTTTTGGAATTCCAGCCAGGCATTGGCAACAGGATGGAGCCTGCCTGAGATCAGACCGAGCCCCCCGGGGTTGGGTGGGGGGGAAGGTGCACCATCTCTGCTGTTTGGTTGACTCAGCCATTCCAACTTGTGGGCTATGGAGAGTCCAAATGGTCCAGACAAGAAAGGGTCCCCCCAGCAGTGTAGCACAGTGGCTTTGCCAGATCATGGACAGACTTCTTCTTTATGTGGGACCCCAATCCATTCCTCCTCACTGGGGAGGACCTCCCAGCCAGGGCCTCTAGCCATACCCATCTGCAGGTATTATGGAGAAAGCTCTGATCTCTCTCTGGGACAGAGTGCCCGGAGGGAGGGGACAACAACAACAACAACAATAACAAAACCACAAAAAAACCCATCCAAACGTCAGCAAACTCAAAGATTGAAGGTTGTATATAAGCCCACAAAGATGAGAAAGAATCAAAGCAAAAACAATTAAAACTCAAAAAGCCAGAATGCTTTATTTTCCTCCAAGTGACAGCAACACCTCTCCAGCAAGAGCTCAGAACTGGGCTGTGTCTGAGATGGCTGAAATGACAAAAGTGGGCTTCAGAATGTGGATAATAACAAACTTCAATGAGCTATAAGTGCACGTTGTAACCTAAGGCAAAGAAGATAAGAATGATGATAAAACAATACAGGAGCTGACAGTCAAAATAGCCAGTTTAAAGAGAAACATAACTGACCTGTTAGAGTTGAAAAACACATTACAAGAAGTTCACAATGCAATCACAAGTATTAGTAGAAGTATAGACCAAGCAGAAGAAAGAATCTCAGAACTGGATCACTGGCTTTCTGAATTAAGACAGGCAGACAAGAAGAGAGAAAAAAGAATGAAAAGGCAAGAACAGAACCTCTGAGAAATATGGTATTATGTAAAGAGACTGAATCTACAACTAATTGGGGTACCTGAAACAGACAGGGAGAATGGAATCAAGTTGGAAAACATACTTCTGGATATCCAGTAGAATTTCCACAACCTAGCAAGACAAGAAAACATTCAAATTCAAAAAATGCAGAGAACCTCAGTAAGATACTCCATGAGAAGATCATCCCTAAGACACATAATTATTAGATTCTTCAAGGTCCAAAAGAAAAAAAAAATGTTAAAGGCAGCCAGAAAGACTAGGTCACCGACAAAGAGAAGTCCATTAGAATACCAGTGCACCCTTCAGCAGAAACCCTATAAGCCAGAAGAGTTTGGGGACCAATATTCAACATTGTTAAAGAAAAAAAATTCCCAACCCCGAATTTCATATGCAGCCAAACTAAGCTTCATAAGCCAAAAAAAAAAAAAAAGTTAACATCCTTTTTGAACAAGCAAATGCTGAGGAAATTTATTACCACCAGAATGGCCTTCCAAGAACTCCTGAAGGAAACACTAAATATGGAAAGAAAAGATTATTACCAGCCACTTCAAAAACACACTGAATTTCTCAGACTAGTGGCATTATAAAGCAATCACATAAACAAATCTGCATGTTAACCAGCTAAGATCATGATGACAGGATCAAATCCACACATAACAATACTAACCCTAAATGTAAACAGGCTGAATACCGCAATTAAAAGACACAGAATAGAAAGCTGAATAAAGAATCAAGACCCATTACTATGCTGTAATCAAGAGACCCTATCTTATATGCAGAGACACACATAGGCTCAAAACAAAGGGTTGGAGGAAAATTTACCAAGCAAATGGGAAACAGAAATAAAAGCAGGGGTTGCAATCCTAGTTTCTGTCAAAACAGGCTTTAAACAAACAAAGATCAAAAAAGACAAAGAAGTGCATTCCATAATGATAAATTGTTTAATTTACAAGAAGAACTAGCTATCTTAAATATATATGCATCTAATACAGGAGCACCCAGATTCATAAAGCAAGTTCTTAGATACCTTCAAAGAGACTTAGGCTCCCACACAATAACAGTGGGAAACTGTAACACCATGCTGACAATTTTAGACAGATCACTGAGGGAGAAAATTAACAAAAATATTCAGGAACTGAACTCACCTCTGGATAAAGTGGACACGACAGATATATACAGAACTCTATACCCAGAAACAACAGAATATACATTATTCTCCTCACCACATGGCAATAACTCTAAAATTGATCAAGGACAACTACCAACCACTGCTAAAGGAAATAAGAGAGGACACAAACAAATGGACAAACATTTCATGCTCATGGATAGGAAGAATCAATATTGTGAAAATGGCCATACTGTCCAAAGAAATATATAAATTCAATGCTATCCCCATCAAGCTACCATTAACTTTCTTCACAGAATTAGCAAAAACTCCTTTAAATTTCAAGTGGAACCAAAAAAGAGCCTGTATAGCCAAGACAATCCTAAGCAAAAAGAACAAAGCTGGAGGCATCATGCTACCTGACTTCAAACTATATTATAAGGCTACAGTAATCAAAACAGAATGGTAATGGTACCAAAACAGATATATAGAATAATGGAACAGAACAGAGGCCTCGAAAATAACAGCACATATCTACAACCATTTGATTGTTGACAAACCTGACAAAAACAAGCAATGGGGAAAGGATTTCCTATTTAACAAATGGTGTTGGGAAAACTGGCTAGCCATATGCAGAAAACTGAAACTGGACCCCTTCCTAACACCTTATACAAAAATTAACTCAAGATGGATTAAAGACTTAAATGTAAGACTTAAAACCATAAAAGCCCTAGAAGAAAACCTAGGCAATACCCTTCAGGACATAGGCATGGGCAAAGACTTCAAGACTAAAACACCAAAAGCAATGGCAACAAAAGCCAAAATTGACAAATGGGACCTAATTAAACTAAAGAGCTTCTGCACAGCAAAAGCAACTATCATCAGAGTGAACAGGCAACCTACAGAATGGGAGAAAATTTTTGCAATCTATTCATATGACAAAGGGCTAATATCCAGAATCGACAAATAACTTAAACAAATTTACAAGAAAAAAAAACAAACAACTCCATCCAAAAGTGGGCAAAAGATATGAACAGACACTTCTCAAAAGAAGACATTTATGTGGCCAAAAAACATATGAAAAAAAGCTCATCATCACTGGTCATCAGAGAAATGCAAATCAAAACCACAATGAGATATCATCTCATGCCAATTAGAGTGACGATCATTGAAAAGTTCAGAAACAACAGTTGCTGGAGAGGATGTGGAGAAATAGGAACACTTTGACACTGTTGGTGGAAGTGTAAATTAGTTCAAACATTGTGGATGACAGTGTGGTGATTCCTCAAGGATCTAGAACCAGAAATATCATTTGATGTAGCAATCTCACTACTGGGTATATACCCAAAGGATTATAAATTATTCTACTATAAAGACACAAGCACACATATGTTTATTGCAGCACTGTTCACAAGAGCAAAGTCTTGGAACCAACCTAAATGCCCATCAATGATAGACTGGATAAAGCAAATGTGGCATATATACACCATGGAATACTATGCAGCCATAAGAAAGGATGAGTTCATGTCCTTTGCAGGGACATGGATGAAGCTGGAAGCCATCATTCTCAGGAAACTAACACAGGAACAGTAAACCAAACACTGCATGTTCTCACTAAGTGGGAGTTGAACAATAAGAACACATGGACACAGGGAGGGAACATCACACACCGGGGCCTGTTGGAGGGTGGGGGCTAGGGGAGGGATAGCATTAGGAGAAATACCTAATGTAGGTGATGGGTTGATGGGTGGATCAACCACCATGGCACGTGTATACCTATGTAACAAACCTGCATGCTCTGCACATGTATCCCAGAACTTAAAGTATTAAAAAAAAAAAGTAGCCTATAAAAAAATAAAAATACAATGAATCACATATTTGGAAGTAAAGCACTCCTCAGCAAATGCAAATTCTGAAATCATAGAAAACAGTCTCTCAGACCACTGCACAATCTAATTAGACCTCAAGATTAAGAAATTCACTCAAAACCACACAACTACATAGAAATTGAATGACCTGCTCCTGAATGACTCTTCGGTAAATAATGACATTAAGGCAGAAATCAAGAAGTTCTAATGAGAACAAAGAGACAATTTACCAGAATCTCTGGGACACAGCTAAAGCAGTGTTAAAAGATAAATTTATAGTACTAAATGCTTACCTCAAAAAGCCAGAAAGATATGTAGTCAATAACCTAGCATCACAACTAAAAGAACTAGAGAACCAAGAGCAAACGAACCCCAAAGCTAGCAGAAAACAAGAAATAACCAAGATCACAGCTAAACTGAAGGACACACACACACACACACACACGCACACACACGCACACACACACGCACACACACACACACCCTTTAGAAAATAAATAAATCTAGGAGCTGCTCTTTTGAAAAACTTAATAAAATAGACCGCTAATAAGACTAATAAAGAAGAAAAGAGAGAAGATTCAAATAAACACAATCAGAAATGATAAGGATGATATTACTACTGACCCCAAAAAAACACAAACAACCAACAAAGAATACTATAAACACTTCTATGTATATAAACTAGAAAATCTAGAAAAAATAGATAAATTCCTGGACACATACACCCTCCCAAGACTGAACCAGGATGAAGTTAAATATCTGAATATACCAATAATGAGTTTTGAAATTGAGCCAGTAATAGATAGCCTACCAATGTAAAAAAGCCTAGGACCAGATGGATTCACAGCTGAATTCTACCAGAGGCAAAAAGAAAAGCTGATACCAGTTCTAATAAAACTATTCCCAACAAATTGAAAAGAAGGGACTCCTCCCTAACTCATTCTGTGAGATAAGCATCAGCCTGATACCAAAACCTGGCAGAGATAAAAAAAAATATTAGGCTAACATTTTTGGTGAGCAAAAATTCCCAACAAAATATTGGCAAGCCTAATCCAGCAGCATATTAAAAAACTTACCCATTACAATTAAGTAGGCTTCATCCCTGGGATACAAGTTTGGTTCAGCATACACAAATCAATAAATGTGATTTATCATTTGAACAGAACTAAAGATAAAAAAACACATGATTATCTTAATAGATGCAGAAAAGGCCTTTGATAAAATTCAACAGCTCTTCATGTTAAAAAATCTCAATAAACTAGGTATTGAAGGAACATACCTCCAAATAATGAGAACCCTATATGACAAACCCACAGCCAATATCATAATGAATGGGCAACAACTGAAAGCATTCCCCTTGAAAACCAGCACAAGAAAAATATGCCCGCTTTCACCACTCCTATTCAACATAGTATTGGAGATTCTGGCCAGAGTAATCAGGCAAGAGAAATAAATATAGGGTATTTCAATAAGAAGAGAGAAAGTCAAACAATCTTTGTTTGCAGATGACATGATTCTATATCTAGAAAAACCCATCATCTCGACCCAAAAGCTTCCTAAGCTGATACGCAACTTCAGAAAAGTCTCAGGTTACAAAATTAATGTTCAAATATTGCTAGCATTTCTATACACCAACAACAGGCAAGTCGAGGGCCAAATCATGAATGAACTCCCATTCGCAATTGCCACAAAAAGAATAAAATACCTAGGAATGCAGCTAACAAGTGAACTAAAGGACCTCTTCAAGGAGAACTACAAACCGCTGCTCAGAGAGATTAGAGATGACACAAACAAATGGAAGAACATTTTATGCTCATGAAGAGGACGAATCAATATCATGAAAATGGCCATACTACCCAAAGAAATGTATAGATTCAATGCTATTCCCATTAAACTACCATTGACATTCTTCACAGTATTAGAAAAAACTAATTTAAAATTTGTATGAAACCAGAAAAGTGCCTGAATAGTCATGACAATCCTAAGCAAAAAGAAAAATGCTGGAAGCATCATGCTACCCAACTTCAAACAATACTACAAGGCTACAGTAACCAAAACTGCATGGTACTGGTACAAAAACAGACACATAAACCAATGGAACAGAATAGAGAACCCAGAAATAAGACTGCACACCTATAGCCATCTGATCTTTGATGAACTTCACGAAAACAAGCTACGGGGAAAATTCCTATTTAAGAAATGGTGCTGGGAGAACTGGCTAACCATATGCAGAAAATCAAAACTGGACTCCTTTTGTAGACCCTATAAAAAATCAACTCCAGATGGATTAAAGGCTTAAATGTAAAACTCAAAACTATAAAAATCCTAGAAAAAATCTAGGTAATACCATTCAGGACATAGTCACGGACAAAGATTTCATGATGAAGACGACAAAAGCAATTGCAACACTAGCAGAAATTGACAAATGTAATGTAATTAAACTAAAGAGCTTCTGCACAGCAAAATAAACTATCATCAGAGTGAACAGACAACCTACAAAAGAAAATTTTTGCAGTCTATCTGACAAAGGTCTAATATCCACCATCTACAATAAACTTATATAAATTTACAAGGAAAAAAAATCTCCTTAAAAATGGACAAGGAACAGGAACAGATACTCCCCAAAGTAAAACATACATGTGGCCAACAAACATATGAAAAAAAGGTCAACAGCACTGATCATTAGAGAAATGCAAATGAAGACCATGATGAGATACCACCTCACACCAATTAGAATGGCTATTATTTTAAAGTCAAGAAACAATAGATGCTGGAGAAGTTGTGAAAAAAAAGGAGCACATTTATACGGTTGGTGGGAATCTAAATTTGAGATCTAGAGGCAGAAATACCATTTGACCCAGCAATCCCATTACTAGGTATATACACAAAGGAAAATAAATCATTCTATTATAAAGATACATGCACAAATATGTTCACTGTAGCACTATTCACAATAGGAAAGACTTGGAATCAACCTGTATTCTCATCAACAGTGGACTTGATATAGAAAATGTGGTCCATATACACCATGGAATACTATGCAGCCATAACAAGGAATGAGATCATGTCCTTTGCAGGAATATGGATGCTGGAAGCCATTATCCTCAGAAAACTATCGCAGGAACAGAAAACCAAATACCACATGTTCTCATAAGCTGTAGCTGAATGATGAGAATACATCAACACATGGTGGGGAACAATACACTTTTGGGTCTATTGGAGGGCAGGGAGTCAGGGGAGGGAGAGCGTCAGGAAGAATAGCTAACGGATGCTTGGCTTAATACCTAGGTGATGGGATGATCTGTGCAAAAAACACCTTGGCACACCTTTACCTATGTAACAAACCTATACATCCTGCACATGTACCCTTGAACTTAAAATAAAAGTGGGAAATAAAAAAAAGAAACCAGAATACTTACCCTGGGCAACTTAGGGCAGGCTCAAATCCCACTGTTGCTACTGCAGCTGGTGCTCTTTTGCAAGTAACACCTCCTGGCTTGAGGCCAACCAATGCAGTCCATTAAAATATCTCTAGGTAGAATAACATGGCACTCAGGAAGGAGAAAATGACTGCATAGCCTTAGCTATCACCACCACTCACAACACCCTGGATCTCCAGAGATCCTGATTCTGTCCACGTGACAAGTTCACTACAATTATAAGCAGCATTTGAGTAACCCAGCACACCAAGACTGGCTACAAACAAGGAATCTCACAGAGTCTATATCAATCCCCACCACCCCCATTAGAGCTGGTACTGGTATCCACTGCTGGGAGACTTGAAGACAGATCACATCACTGAATCCCTTGCAGATATTTTCCAGCAACAGCCCAGAGTGTGGAAGCCCCACTGGGTGGCTAAACCCAGACAAACAATAGCAAACAATGTAGTCTGGCTCTCATTAGCTCCTACTCCTAGGGGAAGAGGGAGAGCACCACATCAAGGGAACACCCTGTAGAACAAAAATATATGGACAGCAGTCCTTGAGTCCCAGATCTTTCCATTGGTGGGAAGTTTCTTTCAGCAGAGGCACAATGACAAGCTGGAAACAGGAGAGAAAGTCTGCACCTCTATCCCAATAATCAGGCAGTCTTCATGCTCACAAAGGGTCTTGGTGAAGGGGTCCTTGTTCCCCTCCTTCCACCACTGCAGGCACAGCTGGGGCTACTCCCATGGCAAGTCAGCATGGATACAACTGTAGACAGCCTTCCTGGAAGAATTAAGGCTGATTGTATCTCCACAAGAGGAGCATGCCCCAGTTTCAGGCTCGAACAAGGACTGTGTCACAATTTCTCTCTACTTGGAACATCAACATTCCTACACATTTAAAAAAAAAAAAGGTGTCTGTCTGACTTGAATAGCTGGAACACTGGACAGGAGGGAGGTGGATAGCTTTCCTGTTGACCAGGCAGGGAAGCTGAGGTAACTCTCACCCCTCTTTCTGATGAAACCTCCGTGCATCTAATTGTGAGCTCCCACAGACACCTTTATCAAGGCTGGGACTTCTGCCCACCATTGGGTATTGCATCTACCCACGTGCTTTAGCTACAACTGTTTTTTTACCCAGGGGTACATCCCCTACTGGTATGAAGCCTGAAGCATCAAGTTGTTAAACAGAAAACTGAGGAAATATTAAATAAATTTAAAAGTGCACATAATGGAGGAATGATACAAGCTTCAAGAGATCCTTGCCATTCTAACCTCACAGCAGACAATAAGCTTGCCCATACATCAAGTACATAACTACTACAATTAGCATTTGAGAAAGCCAGCACACAAATACTCTACATAACCAAGGAAGTCATAAAGAGTTTTCAACCCTAAAAGCACCAAGAACCAAACTGAGCTATAATAAATTATAAACATTAAAGTCACATCCTTGAGAGAAAAAAAAACATAGTCAAATCAAAAATAAATTCAAGAATAATTTGAAGAAATAGTCTACTCAAATTAGAAGAAACAAAAAAAAGTAATTCTGGTAATGTGACAAAATAGGGTTCCATACACCTCTAAATGATCACAGTAGCTTCTCAGCAACATGTCCAAACCAAGATTAAATATTTGAAATACCAAATGAAGAATTCAGAAGGCTGATTATTCTTTATGTTGTTTTTCACCTTTCTCTGCTACCTACTCAAGGAGGTACCAGAGAAAGGTGAAAAACAACATAAAGAAATTAAAAAGCAATTTAGCATATGAATGAAAATTTTCCAGAGAGATAGAATTCATAAAGAAAAACCAATCAGAACTTCTGTAAACGAAAGATACAAATAGACAAATTTTTTAAAATGCAGTGGAACATTTAAACGATAGACTAAAACAAGTAGAAGAAAGAATATCAGAGCTCAAAACAAGTCTATTGAATTAACCTAATTAGACAAAGATAAAAATAAAGAAGCAAAAAAAAAAATTCTCCAAGAAATTTGGCATCACCTTAAACATCCAAACCTAAGAATAATTGATGTTCCTGAGGGAGAATAGAAGGCTAAATGTCTGGAAAATTTACTTGAGACAATAAGAATAATTGATGTTCCCGAGGGAGAATAGAAGGCTAAATGTCTGGAAAATTTACTTGAGACAATAATTGAGGAAAACTTCCCTGGCCTTGATAGAGATTTAGATACACAAATGCAAGATGCTAAAAGAACTCCTGAGAAATTGACTGCAAAAAATAATCACTAAGGCACAGTCACCAGACTATCTAAAATCAAAATGAAGGAAATAATTCTAATAGCTGTGAGATAAATCATTAGGTTACCTGCAAGGGAAAACCTATCAGAGTAACAGCAGACTTCTCAGCAGAAACCTTACAAGCTAGAAGGGGCTTGGAGTCCTATCTTTAGCCTTCTTAAACAAAATAATGGTCAGCCAAGGATTTTGTAGCCTGCAAAACTAAGCTTTATAAATAAAGGAGAGATAAGTCTTTTTCATACAAACAAATGCTAAGGGAATTTTCCAATACCAAACCAGCAATACAAGAAATGCTAAATGGAGTTCCAAATCTTGAAACAGAAGCTTCATGTGCACCAAAATAGAACTTCCTGAAAGCATAATACTCACAGGGCCTATGAAACAATAACACAATGAAAAAATAAAGTATCTAGGTAAAAATTAACATGTGTAGAACAGTACCTACCATCTGGATGTTAATGTTGAATGTAAATGGCCTAAATGCAACACTTAAAAGATACAGAATAGCAGAATGAATTTTAAAAACCACCAACCAACTATCACTTGTCTTCAAGAAACTCACATAACATGAGGATTCATGTGAACTCAAGGTAAAGGGGTGGAAAAAGATATTCCATGGAAACTGAAAGCAAAGTGAGCAGGATTAGCTATTCCTATATCAGATAAAACAGACTTTAAGCAACAAGAGTAAAACAACAAACAAAAAACCGACACAGAAGAACATTATATAATAATAAAAGGATCAGTCCAAAAAGAAGATATTACAATCTTAAATTTAGATGCACTTAACACTGGAGCTCCCAGATTCACAAAACAATTAGCACCAGACTTAAAAGATGAGATAGACAACAACAACAAAATAGTGGGGAACTTCAATACTCCACTGAGAACACTAAATAGGTCATCAAAACAGAAAGTCAACAAAGAAACAATGGACTTAAACTATACCCTAGAACAAATGAAGTTAATGGATATTCACAGAACATTCTTCTCAACAACTGCAGCTTATACATTCTTCTTATTGGCACATGATATTCTCCAAGATAGACCATACAATAGGCCACAAAACAAGTCTCAACAAACTTAAGTAAATTGAAATCATATCAAGTATCTTCTCAGACCATAGTGGAATAAAACTGGAAATCAACTCCAAAAGGAAACCTCAAAAAATGCATGACAATTATATAATCTGCTCTTGAATCATTTGGGTGTAAATAATAAAATCAAGATGAAAATTTTAAAAATTTTTGAAATGAATGATAATAGTGACACAAGTCATCAAAACCTCTGAGGTACAGCAAAAGCAGTGCTAAGAAAAATGTTCATAGTGTTAAATGACTACATCAAAAGTCTGAAAATCACAACTTGGCAAACTAACGTCACACATCAAGGAACTAGGGAAACAAGAACAAACTAAGTCCAAAATCCAGTAGAAGAAAAAAAATAAATATTAGAGCAGAATTAAATTAAATTAAAACAAAAAAATACAAAAAATAAATGAAACAAACAACTGGTTCTTTGAAAAGATAAAATAAATGATAAGCCATTAGTGAGATTAAACAAGAAAAGAGAAAATCCAAATAAGCTCAATTAGAAATGAAACTGGAGCTATTACAACTGATACCACAAAAATACAAAAGATCATGTAAGGTTACTATTAACACCTTTGCACACACAAACTAGAAAATCTAGAGGAAATGGATAAGTTCCTGGAAACATGCAACCCTCCTAGATTAAATGAGGAAGAAATAGAAACCATAAACAGACCAAAAACAAGCAGTGAAATTTAATCTGTAATTTTAAAATTGCCAACAAAAACTTCCAGGACCAGATGGATTCACAGCTAAATTCTATCAGACATTAAAGGAAGAATTGGTCCCAATCCTACTGAAACGATTCCAAAAGATACAGAAAGAGGAAATCCTCCCTAAATTATTCCATGAAGCCAGTATCACCCTAATGCTAAATGCAGGGAAAGACATAATAACATAACAACAAAAAAAGAAAACTACAGCCTGATGTTCAAGCTATGAACATAAATGCAAAAATCCTCAACAAAATACTAGCTAATTGAATCCAACAGCAAGATAATATATCATGATCCAATGGGTTTTATTCCAGGAATGCAGGGATATTTTAACATATGCAAGTCAATAAATGTGATACATCACATATTATAACATTTCTAGAAGATAATATTGGAAAAACTTTTCAGGACATTGGCCTAGGAAAAGCATTCATGACTAGGATCCAAAAATCAAATACAACAAAAACAAAAATAAATACATTGGACCTAATTAAATTAAAAAGCTTCTGCATAGCAAAAGAAGTAATTAGCAGAGTAAACAGATAATCCACAGAGATGGAGAAAATATTCGCAAACTATGCATTAGACAAAGGACTAATATTCAGAATATACAATGAACTCAAACAAATCAGCAAGAAAAAAAATAATCCCATGAAAAAAATGGGCCAAGGACATGAATAGACATTTCTGAAAAGAAGACATACAAACTACCAATACACATACAAAAAATGTTCAACATCACTAATCATCAGCAAAATGCAAATTAAAACTACAATGAGATACCACCTTACTCTTGCAAGAATAGCCATAATTTAAAACTCAATAAACAATAGATGTTGATTTGGATGTGGTGAAAAGGGAACACTTTTGCATTGCTGGTGGGAATGTAAATCAGTACAACCTCTATGGAAAACAGTATAGACATTCCTTAAAGAACTAAACATAGATCTACCATTCAATCCAGCAATCCTACTACTGGATATCTACTGAAAGGAAAAGATGTCATTATATGAAAAGACACATGCATATGCATATTTGTAGCAGCATAGTACACAATTGCAAAGATATGGAACCAACCTAAGTGCTCATCAACCAAAAGGTAGATGAAGAAAATGTGGTTTATACATACCATGGAACACTACTCATCCATAATAGGAATGAAATAATGTCTTTGCCGCAGCTTGGATGGAGCTGGAGCCCATTATTCTAAGTGAAGTAACTCAGGAATGCAAAACCAAATACTGTATGTTCTCATTTATAAGTGGAAGTTAAGCTATGATGACACAAAGACATACAGAGTAATATAATGAACTTTGGGGACTCAGGGATGGAGGCTGGGAAGGGGGTTTGGGATAAAAGACTACATATTGAGTACAGTGTATACTGCCCAGTTGACAGGTGCACTAAATATCTCATAATTGATCACTATAGACCTCATCCATGTAACCTAAAATCATCTGTACCTTAAAAACTATCAAAATAAAAAATAATAATTAAAAAAATAAGGGTGACAACATGCACAAATAAAGACTGACAAGAAATGTTAAGTTGCTAATAATAAACTGAAAATTGAAACTAAAAGTCAATGAATTATCATATCTTGCCTAATTGCTCTTTATTTTATATACATTTTCCTCTAACAAAACATTGAGCTAGTGCAGAGTTTAATTATATGACAAAATTGGGCCTAGAATTGAGGTCTGTTGGTTGACAATATCATTTTAGCAGATCCACATCAAGGAGAGGGATGAATTTAGGGCAGAAGGGAATATTACCAATATGGTAAGTATTTTTTTTCTTGACTTATTAAAATGCTTTGTTTTTACAATCTGTATTTGTTTGCTTGGGCTACCGCAACAAATTAGCACCAGCTGGGTGGCATCGACAACATAAATTAATTATGTCATAATTCTAGAAGTCACAGGTCTGAGATCAAGGTGCCATTAGGTTTGGTTTCTTCTGAGACCTCTCTTCTTGGCTTGTAGATGGCCATCTTCTGCCTGTGCCTTCACGTAGGCTTTCCTCTGTGTCTTAATGTCTTCTTTTTGAAAAGAAACCAGTCATACTGGAGTAGGTCCTACCCTACTAACCTTATTTTGGCATAAGTACCTCTTTTAAAAACTCTATCTCAAAATACAGTTACATTCTGAGATAATGAGGGTAAGGACCACAAGATATACATTTTTGAAAACACAATTTTGCCCATAACACAGTCATTCTAACAAATGTCTCTATTACTTTAGTAACAATTCTGGAAATTATGTAGTTTATACAACTTTTTTTTTTTGAAATTTATGGAATTATTTCACTTGAGTTAGTCCTGGGATATCTAGGTCTCACTGATAAGACAAAAATAATTCAGAATATATATGATATTTAGATTCTAGTCCCATTAATCACATTTTTATTGACCTACATAATAAGATTAAAATATTTTCAGGGTTCCCTTTATTATGACTATTTTGAACTACAACAAATTTCATTGTGACCTCTCTTCTAAATGTTTGAAAATCTTGAAACAGTACATAATGATTCTAAAGGCCTTGGGTTATAAATAGTCTAGTGTTACTATATTTTTCAGCAATTTGTTAGTCTTGTTTTGTAGTGTGAGTTCAAAACACATTAATATGAGAGGTTTAGATGATTTAAGTTGTTATAAAATGGTTAACTACTACGAACTATGATTAAATATATGGGATTTTCTGAGAAAATGCCATTTTGCTTTTTTGACTTAATTTCTGTTAATAGAATTTTAAAACAGGGATAATTTTGAGTTAGTAGATTATTAATATTATGCAACCCAAGAGTAAAAAGTAGGCTAAATGTTGACTCATTCAGCAATTAAGAAATTTCAATTCACCCCTTGAATGGCCTCCAGTATTATGACATTACTATTTCCTATAAAACAGACATGTGTAAATTACTTACAATGTTAATATACTTCTTTAATTAATTATGCAGAATTTCTGAACTGCATTGTCTTTTTATGAATAAGTAAGAAAAAGAAAATATTACTTATTAGTTTTCAGAATGTCTTTTAGATAGAAAAATACTAATATATTCTTCAAAAATTTTTTCTTTGTGTTGTTGGATGTTTTGAGGAGTTAGATAATCAAAATGGTATTATGAATATAACAAGACATATCTGTGAAACTCTGAGAGTTAAAATCTGAAATTCTCCAAAATCTGCTTGTAATCCCAGCTACTATGGAGGCTGAGGCAGGAGAATCGCTTGAACCCAGGAGGCAGAGGTTGCAATGAGTCGAGATTGCGCCATTGTATTCCAGCCTGGGCAACAAAAGCGAACCTCCGTCTCAAGACAAAGCAAAAAACAAAAACAAAACAAAACAAACAAACAAAAATACTATTTTTGTGCATTATATGTTTCTTCTCCCTTTAACTTCAATAAGTTTAATTTCAAAACATGGCAGAAAATGGCTCCTATGAAACCTTTATTGTTTTTTATCAGTGCAAGGTTTTTGTTTTGTTTTGTTTTTTTGTTTTGTTTTTCTTACACTCCCTTTTGGCTACAATTTTCTATGTAACTAATTTCTAGCGGTAAGGCATATAAAATGTTCTCCTGTGGAATTTGTTATTATAGGGAAAGTGACAACTGATGCCAATAACTGCCTTTCTTCCTGCCTTATAAACAGATATGGCGTTTGAAACTAGGGCAGCAATTTTGCAATTGTGTTGTATAAAGTACGAGAAAGAAAGTCATTCCTCTGAGGTTGGTAGGTGGGCCATGTGGTAAAAAAGTGTAAGAGAGCATGCATTAGCTCTTCTCCCTAATGCTCTCCCACCCTCTCCCCACTCTCCCCAGACAGGCCCCAATGTGTGTCATTTCCCTCCCTGTGTCTATGTGTTGTCATTGCTCAGCTCCCAAAAGAGATAAACACATTATGATATACTGTATATTATATAGAATAGATTTTGTTAACAGGAATAAAAAAGAAGGAACATTTTTACTACACACAACATGGATGGATGTCATAAATATACTGTCAAGTGAAAGAAACCAAGCACAATAGAACACATATGTATTACCCCACTTATACATAGTTCAACATCGGGCAAAGCTATTCCATAGTGTTTTAAGTGAGCAGTTGTCTCTGGAGAGAATAGGGAGTACCAACCAAGGAGGACATAAGGATAGTTTCTGGGGTGCTTGTAATATTCTATTTCTGTACCTTGGTGGTGGATACACATATATGATCAATCTATGAGAATTCACCAAACTGTATATTTATGATGTAATTTCCATCATTGTAAGTATATTATAATTTTTCTTTTTTTTTTTTTGAGATGAAGTCTTGCTCTTGTCACCCAGGCTGGAGTGTAAGAGCGCAATCTCAGCTTACTGCAACCTCTGCCTCCTGGGTTCAAGTGATTCTCCTGCCTCAATCTCCCGAGTAGCTGGGATTACAGGTGCCTGCCACCATGCCCAGCTAATTTTTTTATATTTTTTAGTAGAGATGGGGTTTCAGCATGTTGCCCAGGATAGTCTAAAACTCTTGACCTCAGGTGATCTGCCCACCTCGGCCTCCCAAAGTGTTGGGATTACAGGCATGAGCCACCGCGCCCGGCCGTATTATACTTTTAAGATGTTTAAAAACATACAAGTTATTACACCTGAAGAAAAGGAGGAGAAGCGTGGAGGGGATGGGCTTGGAAACAAGCTTTCTTCGATTCTGTCTTGTTATATAATTTTGGCTTTGGAATTATGTGAATATTTTACATATGCAAATAAATAAATTGTGTAAAAAACAAATATAAGACAGAGTCCCCGGTAGTACATTTGAGGACCTGAATCAAAAGAAGTAACTCCCTTACTCCAGGAATATTTGGTCATGCGTGGACAAATAAACGCTTGTTTTTTTAAGCCGTAGTCAATAGGGTTTTCTGTTTCATACACTGGATGCATTCTTAACAAATAGATAGTTTAACAATAAATAGTTTCATACAATGGGATACGTTCTTAACACCTTATTGTGTAAATTATATAGAAGAAAGTAGGAAAAAAAAAAGAAAAAGAAAAGAAAGAAATATATCTATCTTGCCCAATAATCAGGAGGCCACTAGAATATGTAGGACCAATGTGTCCAATAAACTGGGCATTTCTCCTATGACTGCAAGATGTCTTCTGCAGCTTTAGCCATTATATAAGAATGCACAGCTGGAGAAAAAGAGAAATACAGATAATGATGCCAGTGTGCCTTACCTTTAATAATGATTAATGTTATGTTAACTTGAAAGGGCTAAGGGATGTTCAGATAGCTGGTACAACACTTTTTATGTGTGTCTGTGAGAGTGTTTCTGGAAGAGCTTAGTATCTGAATTGGTAGACAGAGCAAAGATGATCTCCCTCACTGGCATCCAATCTGGTGAGGGAGAGGAAGGGCAAATTTGCTCTGTCTGTTTGATCTGGGTAATTCATCGTCTCCAGTCCTTGGACACTGGCACTCCTCTTTCTTGGGTCTTCAGACTTGAAGTAAATTATACCACCAGCTTTCCTGGTTCCCCAGTTAGCAGATCATGGGATTTGTTGGCCTCCATAATTAATTAATCTCTCTCTCTCTCTCCTATTACTTCTGTTTATCTGGAGAACCTTGATGAATACACTTTTTTTTTTCCTAAGAAAAAATAAAAGATTTTCCTGATAGATATCATTTTTCATTTGTTCTCATCGGACAAATCCATGCCTCATGTCCACCCTTTGCTATAAAGTGTGAAACCAGAGTGGGCTTAACATGATGGATGTACATTTTGCCACAATAAACTAGATCAAAATGTTGTATTTAAGAAGAAAATAGAGGTGGATAGAGTTAAGATGAATAGAAGTGTCTGCAACAAACATTTAATAAAACAACAGGAATTTCCACTCATTTTTGCTTTCTTTATAACGTTTGACAAGTAAAAAATAAACAAATGTCAAGTATACTATGCTAAAACAGTTATTGTAGGCAAACTGGATCAGAAAAAAGAAATGTGAAACAATAATATACAAGCCCATCAATAAGCTTTTTTTGCAAAAAAATAAAAAAGAGAATGAAGTATAAGTATAGTATGTTATATAAGGTCTTATTTAAATGCTTTTTCTATAGTTACTGAAATGTCCTTCTTTTCTCTGACAAATTATAGAGGACAAGAGCTCAGATATTGAATATTTAATATATTTTTAATTTCATATTTCATAATAATTGCTAACTTCCTAGTAAAAATGTCACTATGTAACTAAATTGTTTCATATTCTCAAGCATGCTGAATAAGAAAAAGAACCAATAAAAACAAATATTTTCTAATTTAGAGGGTCATTAGCCCTGATACCATCGATTTTAGTTAGCATACATAATAACACAAAAATTACAAGTAAATAATTCTGCAAATTTATTTAACTTTGAACATGATATCTGATATTTTTCATAATTATAGTGGAAAAACATTGCTACAGGGAGATTAAGGAGTTGGGCATAGTGTCATGTGTCTGAAGTTCAGCTACTCAGGAGGCTGAGGTGGGAAGATTGCTTGACCCCAAGAGTTTGAGGCTGCAGCAAGCTATGATTGTGCCACTGCACTCCAGCCTGGACAACAAAGCAAGATGCCGTCTCAAAAAAACAAAAGTATATAAATAAATGAATAGTTTTTTAAAAAAATAATAAATAGGTTCAGGGATGTGAAGAAAACTAATCTCAATCCTTGAAGTTGTTAGGATAAAGATAACAGTAATGAAAATGACGAGGATGATATATTGCATGTTTATTACGCTACTGATAAAAAATCTTTGTAATGTATTTTATATTTATTTGCCACCAAATTTATCCTTGTTTTACATGTGAGAAAGCTGAATTCAAAGATGCACAATAAATCATTGATAGATTGCAGGTAACAAGAGACAGAGATGTAAGCATTCACTATTGGTTACTGACATGTCTTCTGAAAAACTTTACCCATCAACATTTCAGTAATCAGGTGTGTTGAACTCTTTCAATAAAAGTAATCATTTGGAGTAGGAAAAACATTCAGACTTAATATCATATAAAGGATATAAGTGGAATTTCAGTCAGAAAAAAAGAAAAATAACTTTGAAACCTACAAAAAATGTTTCTTCTTTTGTTACAGTTTAGTATTTTGTCACCATAAAATACTTGTGAAAATATTATAACAATGAGAATTGGTTCAGTACCAGTTTTAGAAATTAAATTTTTATTATTTTTTGATATTTACTTGACTCAATTTTAGTAGTTTATTATTATTTTGACTCCCACTAGACACTAGATAAACACAAAATTAAGTGGATTAAAAGAAAATTTTAAATAAAAGGAAGTATTTAAGTTTAATATATTTAATCTGTCTAAAGTGTTTGAGAAAACCTGCATGTCTCTCTTTATTCCAGTGAATAAGCACTTTGATTCTTCATAATAAATCAAGAAATCACTTAAGGTAAATTTCAAGTCCTTATCTTTGTGATCTAAAAATATAATAATAGGCATGTTTACAAACAATTACTTCCGTTACATACTGTGAATTAAAATAAGTTATGCAAGTGATATATTATAAAAGTGTGGAGTTCTAGAATTGCAAGATATTACAGAAATTACTGAAACATCTTCATTTTATAGTGAAAAATTCAGACTCAATAAAATTAAATAATTTATCCATGTCCCCAATGCTACATAATAAAATTCAAAATAGGAAGTACCCTTTCTAACCTCAAAAAGGTGAGAGATCATCTAACAATTTGGGTTTTTAACAATTCTCTGTATTTCATCTGGAATGTCTGCCTAGCATATGAATTTCAAAAAATATATCCTAGTTAATTTAACAACAAAGTTTTACTGTAGATTTAAGGAAAATATTTTACTGTATATTTTCTAACATACCCACACACACGTGCATATCCTTAGCAGCTCAGAATAAGACTTAGATAAGTATTTATTTAAAAATAGTATTACATTGCCAATGAATGTAGATTCTCTAAGATTTCTAATGTTTAATTTTTTATTCTACCATATGACTAGCAAAAAAAATCACTATTTTTGCAGAGGGTCCATTTACATGTTAGATGTTGTCAATAGTCTAGACTGAATGGGTATATCCCAATAAGCAGGCTATTTTAACTTCTATTTTTATACATACTTTTTGTAACTATTAATTGTGACTGTTTTGATGTACACACATGTAGATTCTTGCTATGAAAGAATAATAAATGGCGCTAATCTCAAAAATCACAAATGGAGAATGATGTAATGAAAATGATTGATCAATTGATTATCTAGAGTTAACTATGTTTAGAATATAATAGAATAGAAAGAATTAAATTCCTTTTCCCAAGGGAACTTGCCAATCATTGCAGTTTCATTTTACAAAGTAGGCAAGACATGTGCATTTGTGCTGGCTTTTTTTTTTTTTCAGTCTGTTTGTTTCAGTTTTTCCCTCTTAATTACCTTACAGGTGAATTTGATATTTTTTCAATTTTATACAATTATTATAATTAATTTAAATTTTGTACCAACTAATACAGTGTTGCTTATTTTCTAATATCTTTATTAGGACTCTTTATTCATTTAGACACCAGTTATTAGAAAATTTAAGCTTTGATCATAGAAGAGAATGTTATCAATTTATTAATACTCTAATCAAAACTCCAGCTAAATATGCTGCCATTTACTTAGCACACAAGTTAAAAAATTGGCTACATAGGAGACTCAATTTAATTAAAATTGATGAGTTAAAATGAAGTTACTCATGCACGGTTGTTTTCTTAAAAACAAGTTCCTGATGGCACACATTCCTCTGCAGACCACATTTGTAGAGGCATCTAATATTTAATATTTATAGATTATTCTGTATTGCTATAAGTGAAAGCAGAGCTATGTTTCCTGTCCTAGTGATCACTTATCTATATATAAATTTAGGATGACCCTGCATCAGAGAAATTAAAGAGAATAATGAACAAAGTAGTTTAATATTTTAGAAGATAGGAAGAAAATAAAAGGGTTTTTATTTCCATTTATCTTAAACATCATGAACATACAATTATTTATCTCAACTTCTAATCAGTCATTTGAATGCAGTTAAAATTATTTGGTCAAATATAAATAAATATAAATATATGAATACAAAATTTGATGGTATGACATCCAAATATAATATCATCATAAGCATTGATTTTCTGAGGGAAGTAAAGAAACTATGATACTGATCTCAGTAAATTTTAGCCTAATATTTTATCTAATTTTGTTTCATATGCAAATTTTACCCTGAAATATAATTTCAAATATTTAAAAGATAATAATGTGGGAAAGTAGTAGAATTAGTCTATATTATTCCAAGGACAGATATTGAAATAAGCATCTGAAAGAAAATCAGATTCTCATTCAAGAAAAGAAGTGTATTTATGTATTAAAGTTACCATCAATTTTACAGAAAAAAAAAAAAAAGCTAAAGCCCTGAGATAGAAGCATAGATCACAGGGGATTATAGTTTAGTATATGTAAATCAAGAAACTGTTTAAATGAGTTTGCCAGATAACTAACAGTTATGTGATTATTTTCAAAAACATAAAATGTAGAATTCACTAATAGGCCATAATTTATCAAGAAAAGACAAAGTAAATTAGGTACAACAAAAAAGCCACAGAATGAGAAAGATGAATAAACTTTCAGACAATGTTAATTAATAAAAGTAATTGTTACACTGAATTAGGCAAAGATACAGCAACCTATTATAAATAGCACATTGGTAAACTGGAATGTCCAAGGTTAGAGTAATTGGGATGGCAACTGACTGGAAATAATCATATATGAGAAGTCACTATATTAATGAGAATATATACTTTGGAAAAGAGAATATTATGAGCTATATACAGCCAACTGCAATATTTGTTAGTTAAAACAAATGGTGGGTTTGTTCTTGCAATCTTATAGAAAAACAAAAATGAAGATCAAAAGTACACAACTGCAAGTAAAGTTTGTTTCATTAAAGAAAGAGTTTTGTAATGTTTTCAATAATGGAATGTAATATTTTTGAAATAGTATTTCTACATTGTTAGAAATTTTCATTAAGGTTTATGTTGTGGGGTAGGTGGGTGCTATTAGGTGATGGTATTAGGATATGAGGTTTTTTGTGAGGTGATTGAGTCAGGAGGGCAGATTTATTATGAATGTGATTAATGGCTTTATAAAACAGGCCAAAGGAGCTTATTCCCTTCTTTCTCTGTGTGGGAACACAGTGAGAAGGCATCATCCATAAAGCAGGAAGCAAGCCCTTACAAGACTCTGAATCTGTTGGGAACTTGATTTTGGACTTCTCAGCCTTCAGAATTGTGAGAAATAAATTTCTGCTGTTTATAAGTTAACTAGTTTATTATATTTTGTAATAGAAGCCTGAATAGATTAAGACAACAGTTTGTTTTGAACAGATTTTGTTATATAGAATCTCTGATGCCCCATGTAGTTCTCTAAAGTCATCTTTAATTGTAAGTAGGAATGCATGCTCATTTACATCATAAAAATCAAGGCCATAGTAGTCTTTTGTAGCTCTAGAGGTAAGAATTGAGTTTTCATGACAGATATATGTTCAATGTAACATCCTAATATAAGTATACAAAATAGCTAACATGTTTTGTAGGAAAATCAATCAAATATTTAAATGGAAATCATGCAAAATCTAAAAGAAAACACTGTAAGACAAGAGTGAGGAAATCATTTATTGTTATGACTGAACCCCATGCAATAATAGAAAATATAAATAAGTTTGCAACATACAAAAAGAAAAACTCCATGAAAAAAATAATACTGTAAGCTAAAACAAAGGATACAACACTAGGAAAAACGTAGCAAAGAACCAGTATCATTAATATAAAAATATCTAAAATATGGGATGCACAAACAGTAACATCATAGAAAAAAGGGAAAAAGAGATAAATCAACAATTTAAATAAAGTAAATATAAATAGCCCTGCAAACATTAGAGTCCTCAACATCCTCATCATTAGAGAAATGCAAATGAAAACCATATAGTTAGAAGCTAGCTTTATTGACATATGAGCATGTTTTATTTGGGTGTTACTTACATAGGTGTATACATTTTCAAATGTTCACTGAAGATTTACACATTTTAATCTGTACAACTAAACTTCAATTAAAAACAAATCAAATCACAAGCAAAAAATAGAGATATTTGGGGAAGGATTTTTCATACTTTGAGAAAACACAGAGCATCTCATTACCAAACCAGAATTAATTTAATCATGGATACTACCCAGTACCAACCTTTACCCTATTTCAAAATATACAGGCCATTTGGGCTTGTAAAACAATATTTTCTTGAGGAAGTTCAAGACTGTCAACAAGGTGTTATAAAGATTCTTTCTGTTCTGTATTAGAATGCATTCTGAATGTGATTTAAAGTGCTATATTTAAGCAATTCATGCAGAATATTACCTTCACGTAGAGAGATGTTTTGTTGATGAACATATTCCTGTAATTATCCTATTAAATATACAACTTACATGAAAGGGTCTAGCCAAACATGCCCAAATAGCTGCACCATTTTACATCCCCCCCAATAGTGCACAAAGGTTTCTCTTTCTCCATATCTTTGCAAACATTTGTTATTTGTTTGTTTGTTGTTGTTTGATGGCTCTTCTAACAGGTGTGAGGTGCTATCTCATTGTGGTTTTGATTTGCATTTTCCTGATAATCGGTTATCTGAGCATTTTTTCATATATATGTTTCCCATTTGAAAGTCATCTTTTTCAGATTTTCCGTTGTTAGCATCTAGAAATACAACCAATATTTGCATGCTGGTTTTGTTTTCTGCAATATTATTGAATTCATTTATTAATTCTGACAGTATGTTTATGTATGTGTGCATGTATGAATCTTTAGCATTTGCATCTGCTAACAGAGATACTTTTAGTTCTTCCTTTCTGATTTGTCTTTTTTAAAGTTTTTATTGTATAATTACTTTAGCAAGGACTTCAACTACCACATTGAATAGAACTGGCAAGAATGAGGTATTCTTACCTTGCTCTTTATGCTGGAAAAAAATATTCAGTTTTTCATCATTTATAGTAATATTAGTGTGGGCAGTTCCTACATGGCCTTTACTATGTTGAATAATTCTTTTTTTATGCCAGCTTTACATTTTTTAAATCCAAAAAGGGTGTTGAATTTGTAAAATGATTTTTCTGCACCTATTGAGACGATCACTTGATTTTTATCCTTTGTTCTGTTAATGTAGTATATTACCTTGATTGATTTTTATATATTCAATCATCTTTGTGTCTAAGTCATTAATTCTAATTGGTCATGGTCTATGATTCTTTTAATGTTCGATTGAATTCAGTTTTCTAGTATTTTGTTGAGAATTTTTGTAACTATAATTATCAGGGATATCAGCCTGTACATTTCTTTCGTTACAGTGTCTTTATTTTGCTTAGATATCACAGTAATGTTGGCTCCATTAATTATTTTTGAAATGTTTGGTAGAAATCTTCAGGGAAGCCATCTTGGCTGGAGTTTTTCTTTACTGAGAGGAATTTGACTGCTGATTCAATCTCCAAAACAGCTATAGGTTTGTTCAGATTTTATATTTCTTCATAATTCAGTTTTGGTTGGCTGTATATTTCCAACAATTTATCCATTTTTTGGGTTACTCAGTTTGTTAGTGTATAATTCTTTCTGGTAGACTATTAACAACCCTTTATATTTCTGTGGCATCAGTTATAATGGCTCCTCTTTCATTTCTGATTTTATTTATTTGAACCTTCTCTCTTTTATCTTTTTTACCTCAAGGTTTGCCGATTTTGTACATCTTTAGAAAGAAAAAGAAACCTCTAGTTGATTTTTCTACTGTTTTTCTGCACAGTTTGTTTCTGTTTTTCTAGTTGAGATATACATTTACATTGTTTAAAATGTTTCTTTTATTTTAATGTAGGCATTTACTGTAATAAAGTTCCCACTTAATACTGTCTTTGCTGAATTCCATATATTTTGATATGTTAAGTTTTCTTTTCATTTTTTTCAGGATTTTTCTAATTTCCATTCTGAAAAGGAAAACATTCAAATAATGGATTTATTCTTTGACTCATTGATTGTTAAAGAGTGTCTTGTTTAATTTTCACATATTTGCAGATTTTTTGTTTTTCTTCTGTTATTGATTTACTTTCATTCCATTGTTGTCAGATAGAAGATATTTGGTGTGATTGAAATAATACCAAATAGGATTCAATAAGTCTTATTAAATTCAATAAGACTGGTTTTGTGACCTAACGTGATATATCCTGGGAAAAGCTCTAAGTGTGTTTGAGAAGACTGTATAGTCTGCTTATGTTGGTAGAATATTCTGTATATGTCTCTAAGGTCCATTTTGTCTACAGTGTTGTTCAAGTCATTTGTTACATTATCAATCCTTTATCTGAATGTTATATCTATTTTTGAAAGTGAGGCATTGAAATCTCCTATTTTTGTGTTGCTGTCAATTGCTCCCCTCAGTTCTGTCAATATTTTCTTTATGCGTGTGGGTACCTTAATTAAAGCTAGGTACACACACACACACACACACTCACACACGTAATCATTGTTATGCCTTTTTTGTGAATTGATATTTTTGTTATAATACCTTTCATCCTTCCATTGTCTCTCATGGCAGTTCTGACTTAATGTCTATTTTGCCTCATGTAAGTACAGCCACACCTGCTCTGTTTGTTTACTATTTGCATGAAGTATTATTTTCCCTCCTATCACTTTCAGGCTCTGTATGTCCTTAAATCTTACGTGAATCTCATGTATCTCACACAGTTAGGTCTTATTTCTTTTTATTCATTTAGCCACTCTATGTCTTTTGTTTGAGAAGTCAATCTATTTACATTTGAAGTAATTATTGTTAAAAAAAAAGGTGTTATTATTGTCATTTTGATCACCATTTCCTGTCTACCTTGTAGGGATTTTTTTTCCCTTTCTTTTCCTCTCTCACTAGCTTCATTGGTGTTTAATTGATATTTTGTGACGGTATGCTTTGATTCTTTTTTCATATTCTTTTGTGTATCTTCTATAGGAATTTTCTTTCTGGTTATCAAGAAGTTTTCATAAAACATAATTTATGATAATATAACAAACTATTTGATGCTGATAACAACTGAACTTCAGTCACATACTGTATTAGTCAGAGTCCTCCAGAGGAACAGAACTAATAGGATATATGTATTAATATATACGAAGGGGACTTTATTAAGGAGAATTGACTCACATAATCACAAGGTGAAGTTCCATGATAGGCCATCTGAAAGCTAAGGAGCAAGGAAGCCAGTAGAGGCTCAGCTGAAATCCCAAAGCCTCAAAAGTAGGGAACGCGACAGTGTAGCCCTCAGTCTGTGGCTAAAGGCCCGAGACCCGCCCCGCCCCCACCCGCGGCAAACCACTGGTTTAAGTCCCAGAGTTCAAAGACCGAAGAACCTGGAGTCTGATGTTAAATAGCAGGAAGTATCCAGCACTGCTGAAAAGTTGAAAGCCCGAAGACTCAGCAAGCCAGCTTATTCCACCTTCTACCACCTGCTTTTTCTGGCCATGCTGTCAGCTGACTGGATGGTGTCCCCTTCCCACATTGAGGGTGGGTCTTCCTCTCCCAGTCCGCTGACTCAAATGTTAATCTCCTCTGGCAGAGGAGACTAACACCCTCACAGACTCATCCAGAAACAATACTTTGCATCCTTCAATCCAGTCAAGTTAACACTATTAACCATGACACATTCAAAACCTCTACTGTGTTGCTTCTCTTTCTCACATACTTAATGTTTTTGATGTCATAAGTCATATCTTTATAAAAATATATTTATTAATGTTTTATAGTTATGGTTATTTTAAATAATTTAACTTTTATACTAGAATTAAAAGTGATTAATGCACCACTGTTACAGTATTACAGTATTCAGTATTTGTCCATATATTTATATTTACCAATGAGCTTTATTTTTGTATGATTTTGTCTTGCTGTCTAGTCCATCTTTAGTTTTAACTTCAAGGACTCCCTTTCACATTTCTTGTAAGGCAGAACAAGTGATGATGAACTCTCTCAGCTTTTGTTAATCTGGAAAAGGCTCTATTTCTTCTTCATTTTTGAAAGACAGTTTTGTCAGATAAAGAATTTGGAATTGACAGTTTTGAGTTATTTTTTTTTCTGCTAGCACTTTGAACATGTCACTCATTCCCCTCTAGCCTTCAAGGTTTCTGCAGACAAATCTACTGATAATATTATGGGGGATCCCTTTTATATGAAAAGTTACTGTTGCTGCTTTCAAAATTCTCCTTTTGCTTTCTACTTTTGACAGTTTACTTGTAATGTGTTTTGATGTAGACTTCTTTTGGTACATACTACTAGCTGTCCATTAGCCTTGTTCAATCTGGATACCCATTTCCTTACCCAGATTCGAAAAGTTTTTGGCTATTATTACTTCAAATAAGCTATCTACACATTTTTATCTCTCTTATTCTTCTGGAATTACTATACTGTGTATAATTATTTTGATTTATGGTGTTCCATAAGTCCTTTAGTATTTCTTTACTCTTTTCCATTGTTTCTTCTTTTGGTTGTTTAGACTAGATAATTTCAAATGATCTGTAATTGTTTCTTCTGCCTCTTGAAACATGCTGTTGAATTTTTCTAGTTTAATTTTAAATTTAGTAATAACAGTATAACTACAGTTTTCAGTTACAATATTGTTGTTTGGTTATTTTTTAATATTTTCTGTCTCTTTGTTGATATTTTAATTTTGTTCATGTATTGTTTTTCTGAACCTGTTGAGCATCTTTTGGTGGTAACTTTAAACTTCTTGTTTCTTCAGGCTCAATTTCTAGAGGTTTATTATCTTCCTCTATTTGAGTAATTTTTCCTTATTTCTTTGTGTGTTTTGTGTTGGACACTACACATTTAAGAAAAAAACAAAAGACAAACAAACAAACAAAAAACACTTCTCCCAGTGCTACAAACTAACTTCAAAACTGAAATACCTTCACCTATTAGCCTGGCTCAAGATTCTGAGAGCTTCTCAAATTTTTTCTGTGAATGTATTTTTTCTCAACTTGTGCTCGTAAATTCCAAGTAGAGGGTTTTGCCAGTTTCTTTTTCTCAGGAGCTTATAATTTTTTTGCTTTCTCTGGTGTGTCTGTCTGTAGTACTGCAGATTCTCTGAATATGCTGGAAAATGCTCAGTTCTCCTTTGCTCTCAGAGAGTTCCAGGCTTGTGGAGTGTGCCAGACTCCATCAACATTCTAAGTTTGACAAGACAAAAACTAGTCCGTCAAGCAGCCCCCTAACAAATTATAATATTGGACACATACTCAATTCTTCTCTTTTTTCTTTCCTTCAAAAAGGAGTCTTCTGAGATGTGTCAGCCTCTGTCTGCTATAACACAGGTCCTCTGGAGCAGCAGCAAGCTGCTTACCTCTCTCGTGTTTTCAGTGGCCCTCAGGCATCTAGAGTATGCTGGGACTTAGTACTCCAAGACAAGTGAGATAGAAAATGGTCCCTTGGGAACTATCTTGAAAAGCCAGAATGTTAGAATTATGCTTCAACTCTTACTCTCACCAGGAAAAAAAAAAAATACAGGAGTTAGGAGTTTTCTTCTCCTACTTCTGTAGTGAGGTGGGGGGAAGGACTATGGCTAGTGAGTGAATGCTAATCTAAACCACTCATTGCTTTTACTCTCAGTGGGCCTTAAACATATATCCTTTCCTCTCAGTGCTGAAATGAAAGCAAGGTAGAAGCTACCTTTTCAAGTATCCCCCTAGAAAAGTCAGAATGTTGGACATATAGTCTAGTTTTTTCTTTCTCTCCCCATTGTGTAGCTGGGAGAAGGGTTTTTTTTTTTTTTTCCACTTACAAATTATACTGTGATATGAAGGAGGGAATGGGCTCTGGTGAGTGAGTCCCCTGAATTTCCCTACCGCCTTTGATGTGACTTGTTTCAAACATACCTCGGGTAGAGAAGCCTCTTAATTTGTTTGTGGATTTCTCACAAAGTAAATTGGTCTATATATTGTTGTTGATTAAGAGTCTCCATGGATGGAAGAGGCTCTGAGGCTTTCTATTTTGCGATCTTGCTGACCACTAGTTTACCTTCTGAATTTAGACAATATCTCCTTGCAAAAGACTTCTCAGATTTTTCTCATAATTTGCTTTAGAACATTTTCTGTAATATTTTATATAAAATAATAAGAACAATAATGCTCAGAAGACTACAGAAAGTATATTGTTTTAAAGCAAACGTATAAAGTAATATTGACACTTTCTGTTGTACAGATCTGTATGTTTTGATCCAAGTACAGATTTGTATAAACACCACCAACATCATGATACAGAACAGTTGTATCTCCCCCAGAAAACTACCTCATGCTACCCCTTTTGATCATATCTTACTCTCACTTCATTCCCTGGCAACTGATACAATAGATTTGTCTTTTCCAGCATACCACGTTAATGGAATGATATGGTATGTAACCTTTTGAGACTGGCTCCAAATTGTTGCTTTAGTTTATTTCTTTCTCTTTTGATTAGTATTTTATGTATGGATATTCTACAGTTTATCCACTCACCCTCAAGTGTCGTCTGTGTCATGTATGATTTTTGATAATTATGGTTAGAGCTGCTATAAACATTTGTGTACAGGTTTTTGTGTACACAGATGTTTTCGTTTCTATAATATAAATATGTATATTTTTGTGTAAAGTTAACAAAATGTGTACAATATGATCCAGCAACTCTATGTCTAACCCTAACCATAAGATATAGGGTTGCTGGATCATATTGCACTCATAATGATAACTTTACACAAAAGGTCCAATCTGTTTTCCCAAGTGGCTGTACCATTTTTAATTCCCACTGACAATGCATGAGAGTTCTGTTAGTCAGTATCCTTGTCAGCACATTAAATTGTTAGAATTTTGTATTTTAGTTCTTCTGATAGTTGTGTAGCAATATCTCCCTGTATTAGTTCATTTTGACACTGCTCTAAAGATACTACCTGAGACTGAGTAATTTATAAATATAAAAGAGATTTTATTGACTCACAGTTACACATGACTGGAGAAGCCTCAGGAAACTTATAATCATGGCTGAAGGCAAAGGGGAAGCAATGCACATCTCACATGGCAGCAGGAGAAAAGGAGAAAGCACAGGAGAAACTTTTAAACCATCAGATCTCATGAGAACTCCCACACTATCACAAGAACAGCAGGGGGGATACCACCCTCATAATCCAATCACCTCCTACCTGGTCCCTGCCTTAACACATGGAGATTACACTTTGAGATGACATTTGGTTGGGGACACAGAGCCAAGCCATATCATTCTACCCCTGGGCTCTCCCAAACATAATGTACTTTTCACATTTCAAAACCAATCATGCCTTCCCAACAGTCCTTCAAAATCTTAACTCATTTCAGCATTAACCAAAGGTCCAAGTCCAAAGCCTCATCTAAGAAAAGGAAAGCCTCTTCTGCCTAACAGCCTGTAAAAAAAAAAAAAAAAAAAAAAAAAGTTAGTTACTTACATTACACAATAGTGATAGAGACTTTAGGTAAATGTTCCTATTCCAAATGAGAGAAATTAGCCAAAAGAAAGGGGCCACAGACCCCATGGAAGTCCAAAACCCAGTGGGGCAGTCATTCAATCTTAAACCTCCAAAATGATCTCATTTGACTCCATGTCTCACATGCAGGGCACACTAGTGCAAGGGGTGGGCTCCCAAGGCCTTGGGCAGCTCCACCCCTGTGGCTCTGCCAGGTACAGCCCCTATGTCTATTTTCATGGGCTGGTGTTGTCTTTGACTTTTCTAGGTGCATTGTGCAATCTGTTGGGGGATCTACAACTCTGGGGTCTGAAGAACAGTGGTCCTCTTCTCACAGCTCCATTAGGCAGTGCCCCAGTGAGTACTCTGTGTGGGGGTCTCCAACACCACATGTCACTTCTGTGCTACCCTAGTAGAGGTTCTCCATGAGGGCTGTGCCCCTGCAGCAGACTTCTGTCTGGACATCCAAGTGTTTCCATACATCCTCTGAAATCTAGGTGGAGGCTGACAACACTCAACTCTTGACCTGTATGCATCCACAGGCTCAACACTAGGTGAAAACCACCATGACTTTGGGCTTGCACTCTCTGAAGCAATGGCACAAGCTGTACCTTGCACCCTTTTAACAATGGCTGAAGCTGGAGCAGCTGGGAAGCAGGGCACCAAGTCCCAAGGCTGCACAGAATAGGGGGAGCCCTAGGCCTGGCCTGTGAAGCCATTTTTCCCTCCTAGGCTTCCAGATCTGTGATGAGAGGGGCTGCCACAAAGATCTCTGACATGCCCCGGAGACATTTTTCCCATTGTCTTGGCTATTAAATTTCCACTCCTCATCTTATGCAAATTTCTGCAGCTGGCCTGTATTTCTCCCCAGAAAATTGGTTTTTCTTTTCTACCTCATGGTCAGGCTGAAAATTATCCAAACTTTTATGCTCTACTTCCCTTTTAAAGAAAAGATCCAGTTTCAGAAAAATCTCTTTGTGAACCCATATAACCACATGTTTTCAGAAAAAGCCAAGTTTCCTCTTGAATACTTTGCTACTTAGAAATTTCTTCTACTAGATACCCTAAATTATCTCTCTCAAGGTCAAAGTTCCCCAGATCTCTAGGAAAGGGGTAAAATGCCAACAGTCTTTTTGCTAAAGCATAGCATGAGTAACCTTTTCTCTAGTTTCCAATAAGTTTCTCATCTTTATTTGAGATCACCTCAGCCTGAACTTCATTGTCCATATAACTATCAGTATTTTGGTCAAAGCAATTCAACAAGTCTCTAGGAAGTTTCAAACTTTTCCAAATCTTCTGATCTTCTTCTAAGCCCTCCAAACTGTTCCAACCTCTTCCTGTTACCCAATTCCAAAGTTACTTCTACATTTTCAGTTTATCTTTATAGCAGTGCCCCACCTCTGGTCCCAATTCTCTGTATTAGTCTGTTTTCACACTAATATAAAGATAACCTGAGACTGAGTAATTTATAAATAAAAAAGGTTTAATTGACTCACAGTATGCATTGCTGAAGAGGCCTCAGGAAACCTACAATCATGGTGGAAGGTGAAGGGGAAGAAAGGCATGTCTTACATTGTGGCAGGAGAGAGAGAGCACAGGAGAAACTATCACTTTTAAACCATCAGATCTCATGAGAACTTCCTCACTATGGAAATAGCATGGGGGAAACCACCCCCATGATCCAATCACCTCCCACTAAGTCCCTCCCTTGACACATGGGGATTACAATTTGAGATGAGATTTGGATGAGGACACAGAGCCAAACCACATCACTCCCCTTGATTTTTCTCTGCATTTCCTTGAGGGGTTTATTGTGTTGAATATAGTTTGATGTGCTTATTTGTCATCTGTGTATATTTTTTGGTGAAGTGTTGGTTCAAGTCAGGTAGTAACTTTTCTGTTGCCACTGGGTACACTTTAATCCCACATTTGTGGTTGTACTGTATGTGAAGGAAGTATGTTGTTATTTAGTACATCTGTACATAGCCAGGAATCCCACAGATTCCCTTTTTTCATTAACCAACATGGGCAGTTCTAGGTATCTGATTAAGGTATGTACTTCATAATTCAAATCCTCTTTTAAGGTAGTCAGTGGGTCTTTGAGTGAGCCTCTGTATTATTCACTTCAATTATTTCTTTAAATTATCATAGAGACTTTCAGAGTAGTCCATAAATGACTATTTTCTCCAATTATGTTGGGCCCATTTTCTTCACTCCACTGCAAGGCCAGGACAAAGGCTCAAGACTCAGAAAATATCAAAAAACACCCTCAAAGGAGTCACTAAGCACTTTTTAAAATCATTATCTAAATATTACTCAGCTTTGCCCATTGTGCAGATGTTCTATTACCTTATTCCTTTAGGGCATATGACAGCTGTCTCCAAATAATGTCACATTCAATCCAGGAACTCTTGATGGTGATTCAGCAGTGTGTTCTGTCATGGCTAGGAAAGAGTTCTGGGAAACAAAGCAAGGGAGAACTGGAATGCTTCATGTTTGGTATTGTGGGGAATGAAGCAATGTACTGTTACCTGTACCTTCCCCTAAGCTTCCCTCTGATGCATGTAATATAACACACCTTTTCCATTTTACAGATGATCTTTCTTAAGCTTCTCCTTTTATCCAAAATTGTATCTGCAAACTCAAGATTTAATAGCTATTTTCATTCTCAAGATTAATTGATGTCTTTCCATGGTGACACACTTTCAAGCAAAATTCAGTGATCAATAGTGATTGTCTTTTAAGTAATCTGCAAGGCAGCATTTAATTACAGAACCACAAAAGTCTCTTCCAAGTAGTGGTGTAGTAGTCCATTTCATGCTGCTGATAAAGACATACCCGAGACTGGGCAATTTACAAAAGAAAGAGGTTTAATTGGACTTACAGAATGCAAGGAGGAGCAAGTCACATCTTTTTTTATTTTTTTATTTTTTTATTTTTTTTGAGATGGAGTCTCGCTCTGTCACCCAGGCTGGAGTGCAGTGGTGAGATCTCAGTTCACTGCAACCTCCACCTCCTGTATTCAAGTGATTCTCCTGCCTCAGCCTCCTGAGTAGCTGGGACTACAGGTGCGTGCCATTACGCCCAGCTAATTTCTTTGTATTTTTAGTAGCGACGGGGTTTCACCATGTTGGCCTTGGCCTCCCAAAGTGCTAGGATTACAGGTGTGAGCCACCGCACCTGGCCACAAGTCACATCTTACTTGGAATGGCAGCAGGCAAAAAGAGAATGAGGAAGATACAAAAGTGGAAACCCCTGATAAAACCATCAGTTCTTGTGAGACTTATTCACTACCACAAGAACACTATGAGGGAAAATTCCCCCATAATTAAGTGATCTCCCACCAGTTCCCTCCCACAACAGGTGGGAATGATGGGAGTACAATTCCAGATGGTATTTGAGTGGGGACACAGAGACATATCATATCATTCCACCTCTGGCCTCTGAAATCTCATGTTATCACATTTCAAAACTAATCATGCCTTCCCAACAGTGCCCCAAAGTCTTAAATCATGTCAGCATTAACTCAAAAGTCCACAGTCCAATGTCTTATTTGAGACAAGGCAAGTCTCTTCTGCCTATGAGCCTGTAAAATCAAAATCAAGCTAGTTATTTTCTAGATACAATGGGGGTACAGACATTGGGTAAATACAACCCTTCCTAATGGGAGAAACTGGCCAAAATAAAGGGGCTACAGGGCCATGCAAGTCCAAAATCCAGCAGGGCAGTCAAATCTTAAAGCTCCAAAATGATCTCTTTTGACTCCATGTCTCACATTTAGGTCATGCTGATGCAAGAAATGGGTTCCCATGATTTTGGGCAGCTAAACCCTGTGGTTTTGCAGGGTACAGCCTCCCTCCTGGCTGCTTTCACAGTCTGGCATTAAGTGTCTGTGGCTTTACCAGGTGCACGGTGCAAGCTGTCAGTGGATCTACCATTCTGGGGTCTGGAGGATGGTGGCCCTCTTCCCACAGCTCCAATAGGCAATTCCCCAGTAGGGACTCTGTGTGGGGGCTCCGGCCCCACATTTTCCTTCCACACTGCCCTAGCAGAGGTTCTCCATGAGGGGGATCCCCCTACAGCAAACTTTTGCCTGGGCATCCAGGCGTTTCCATACATCTTTTGAAATCGAGGTGGAGGTTCCCAAACCTCAGTTCTTGACTTCTATGCACCACCAGGCTCAACACCAGGTGGAAACTGCAAAGGCTTGGGACTTCCATCCTCTGAAGCAACAGCCCAAGCTCTACCTTGGTCCCTTTTAGTCACAGCTGGAGTAGCTATGACACAGGGCACCAAGTCCCCTAGACTGCACACAGCACAGGGACCCTGAGCCTGGACCACAAAACCATTTTCTCCTAGGCCTCCCAGCCTGCAATAGGAGGGGCTCATGAAGACCTCTGACGGGCACTGGAGACACTTTCCCCATTGTTTTGGGGATTAACATTCAGTTCCTCGCTACTTATGCATATTTCTGCAGCCAGCTTGAATTTCTCCTCAGAAAATGGGTTTTTCTTTTCTATCACATTGACAGTCTGCAAATTTTCTGAACTTTTATGCTCTGCTTCTCTTATAAAACTAAATGCCTTTAACAGCACCCAAGACAACTCTTGAATGCTTTGCTGCTAAGAAATTTCTTCCACCAGATACCCTAAACCATCTTTCTCAAGTTGAAAGTTCCACAAATCTCTAGGGCAGGGGCAAAATTGTGCCAATCTCTTTGCTAAAACATAACAAGAGTCACCTTTGCTCCAGTTCCCAAAAAGTTCCTCATCTCCATTTGAGACTACCTCCGCCTGGACTTTATTCATATTACTAACAGGCTTTTGGTCAAAGCCACTGAACAAGTCTCTAGGAAGTTCCAAACTTTCCCATATTTCCCTGTCTTCTTCTGAGCCCTCCGAACTGTTCCATCCTCTGCCTCTTACCCAGTTCCAAAGTTGCTTCCACATTTTCGGTTATCTTTTCAGCAGTGCCCCACTCTACTGGTACCAATTTCCTGTATTAGTCTGTTTTCACAATGCAGATAATGACATACTCAAGACTAGGCAATTTACAAAAGAAAGAGGTTTAATTGGACTTACAGTTCCACATGGTTGGGGAGGGCTCATAATCATGGCAGAAGGCAAGGAAGAGCAAGGCACATCTTACGTGGAATGGCAAAGAGAGAATGAGGAAGACACAAAAGTGGGAACCCCTGATAAAACCGTCAGATCTCGTGAGACTTATTCACTACCATGAGAACAGTATGGAGCTAACTGCCTCCTTGATTCAATTATCTCCCACAGAGTCCCTCCCACAACATGTGGGAATTATGGGGGTAAAATTTAAGATGAGATTTGGGGGGCAACACAGAGTCAAACCATATCAAGTGGCATTCTAGTTTTGCTAATGACTTGATTCTATATGCCATGTAAAATCATCTGAAGGTTAGTTTATAGCCAAGGCCATAGACCATTGTAAGTCCTTTAATGCTTATTTTTGCTTCATCGATCTTTCAATTTTAAATTTTGGTGAATTAATGAATGGGGCAGCCTAACTCATGGAAAGAATGAGGTTTTATCAAAATGAATGAGTATCATGAGTTTCTAGGCTTCCTTTTTAGTGAAATATCAGTAAAAAATAATTTATTTTTCTAATTTGAAGGATATTTCTCATTTCTCTGGTCCACATAATTCCAAAAACTTTCCACTGAGCCAGGTCTTGCTGGTTTCATTAGCTGACCTCTCCTCATTATACAGGTTGCTATACTCTTTATCTACTCCATATATATTTCTTGAGGAGAAAATTATAATACCATCAATAAGTGCACTGAATTACCCATAATTGTTATTAATCTCATCATTCTGCAATACTGTATTATGATAGTATACCAGTGAACTTAAGTATCTCTGTGGGAAAACCACAAATATGTATTTTGAATGACTCCATAAACGTTAAGCCATGAAAATGCAAATTATACCTATCTGAGCACCCAGGTGGAAACCAAAAAGTTGGAATCAGCCAAGTCTTTCATGGATTGTTAGTGTCTGAGCTATTCTTGAATAAAAATCTGCTATAAATCTGGTATAAAAGAAACACTGCATTTGAGATAATTTAAATTAAAAATTAAGGTTCTGAACATTTTTGATGAAAAATCAGGTTGAAAATTCATTTTTGAAAAACTAAACTGCAAGAGCTAATTTAGATGATACAAATCACATTTCTGAGCTATTTTGATACAAAATCAGCTATAAAATTATAGTTTCAGAAATTGCTTTGTGATAATTTTAATGATAATCCTAATTCTTAAAATTCCTGATGAAACACAATGTATAAAAAGCAGTGACTAATCACATGGTTTTTAAACTACTAGTTTGGTTTCTGGAAACATTTACTCTGCATGAGTTTTTGCTCTTGGCAAGGTAATAAATGATGAATAGATGGCATTGATGACAAATAAATGACAATGATGACTCGTCAACAGTATTTGAGACAGCTCCTCAAAACTGTTGCTGAAAGTATTTTCTTTACTTCAGCATTTTAAACATTCTCTTGGTTGATACTCTGCTACCACTCTAGTCCACCCTATCAAAATCTTTCTCCTGTGTTACTCGAATACACTTCAAAATAGTACCTCTACTCCTTCCTTTATTCACCATCCTTAGTCTCTTCATAATACAGCCACCAAAGTGAGTCTGCTAAAATATGTCAGATCTTGAGATTTCTTGTTTCAAAACCTAGCAGCTTCCATCTCTCTAAGAGCAAAAGCCAGTATCCTAAAAATGATCCATAAGTAAATATATTTTCTAGCCTTCTGTTACCTCTTTGACCTCATCTTCTATTATTATCTCTCCTTTTTCTGTTGAAGCCATAGTGGCCTACATGCTGGTTTATAAACATACCAGGCAAGCTGCTACCTCAGAGCTTTACACTTGCTGTTTTCCTTCATTGCAATTTTATTTCTCCTGGTATTATTATGGCCTGGTCACATACTTACTTCATGTTGCCACTGAAATGTCATTTCTTTAATATATCTTTCTCGAGGTATCCTATTTTTCTCCTTTGCTTGATTATTCTTGCTCTCCTTTCCTTGTTTAGTTTCTTTGTATTTATTATTCTTTTGAAAACTTACATATTTTGCTGATTTTGTGTTGTATTAGGGTTTCCTATCTAATTTAATATAATTTATGTTTCATGTGAGTAAAAGTTTTTCTTTACATGATCACTGGTAAATTAGCACTGCCTCGAGTAGTGAGTAACATATATAATATACACACTTGTTTTATAAAGAAATTATTTTAAGACATTATGACTACGCCATAGAAATGTATATGAAGGAGCCTTAGTGGGGACACGTTAATGCTTAGAGAGGGTAAAAGATTTGAAAATTATTTCTACTCATTTATAATTTATGCACTAGCAGAAATAATGGTAATTGTAATAGAAATTTATGGATGTATGGTTCAGTGTATGCGTTACTTTTCAAAGGCTTCTTAAATCTATGATATTACTAAGGAATCAACAAAAATGTTAGAAGGTAACACACCCTTCAAACAAAGAAAAACGGTACTCCCTACATTTTGCTACTTTCACTGTGGTGGGCTGCCTTCCCCTTCTGAATACCTCTCATGACCAGTTGTTTAATGGTAAAGATTTGTTCCATTCTAACTTTGAAAGGACATTTTTTGTTTGCTTAGTTTATTTGCAATATTTATTAAGGTTGTTATAAACATAACCAAAAATTAAGCACGTAGATTTGATTTTTTTTTTTATAATCTCAGGACTGCAGGTTAGGGTATAAATATAATATTGTTTAACTAGACACAATTATTAAGAATATTAGCATAAAAATACTCTTTGACTTGGGAAAATTTTGCAATGTGCTAGAAACTATGGTTTCTAACTTTCATATGATTATTCTGTAATTATGAAAGCATTTTTATGCATATTGAAAAACACTTTTCAAGAAGTTTTAAAGTAATTTATTGCTTAATATTAGGTAACTATTTGTACCACTATATCCAACTGATATTCTAAATAATTGAAACAAATATTTAGCTCATATTGTCCATATAATGAATAAAAACAAAAATATTAGGAACTGATAATAACCCTCTACAATGTAATACATTTATGGGACTCTACATGAATGTGTGCATTGGTGTAGAGCATCTCTTTGAAGTTTGTGACATATATTAGTTCCTATTTTTGTATGATTTCAAAAATCTTAAGCAGTACTCAGTTCTATGTGGGATATAAATGAACAAATATTTTAATTTATCTGACTCTGTTCCAGATATTCTTCATTGTATTGTGTTCAGACTACCAACATATTTGTTAGCGTTCCACAGTTGCTCATATTACCAGCCTTATGCACTTGCTCTTGCCACTGTGTGCCTTTCTGTTAATTAAGGGTGGAATACAGGTTTTTTTTTTTGCCCTGTTTTGGAATTGTATTTACAGCACAACATTATGACAATGGTTTAACATTTCTGAAAGCCTATATTCATCAGAAGTATGCTTCATCACTTTATGTTAACAAAGCGCAAGGAAGGTAAACGTTTGATCTGGTACAGATAAATGATAGAACAGAGAGTCTATCTATAAATGAGAGTCCAAACGTTTCTATTTTCTAAAACTTAAATGGCATAAGCCATTTTTAATAGTAATGCCATAAGAGATACAATGCGTGAAGTCATATTTTTATTTATCCTTGGACATTAAAAATTGTGCTGGCTGTATACTTCTCATTTTAATACTCTTATATTTTCATTTAGCTATCTGATACCAGCACTCTCTGAAACAATGCTAATACCAAATTAATGTAATAGTCTCTAGAATTGTAGAAAAATAACACCATGAGATAGGGACAGTGCCTATCTTGCTCATTGTTGATTTTCTATTCCCTAAGCCAGTACATGGTACTGTGGAAAAGACAGATAAATTTTGATTAACAAGTAAATACCACCAACCTGTATATTAAAAGATGTGAGAGAGATAAATGTCAGTCAAAAACACAGAAAAAGTTAGAAAGCAAATTATCATTTTAAAATGCATTTAATACTGCACAAATCAAATGGCTGAGTGTGGAACATGATTAGAAGTGTCTTCACTAAGAAATATTAGTTGTATTCACTTTATGTTCCATGGAGAGTAGGACAGTGAGAGAGAATTAGACAATATGTGATCTTAAAACCAATTAAAATGAGAAAAATTACTATAAACTGTCAGAAGAATTTGGTAGTGTTAATACCAATTCTGATTTATAACCAGGATTTTTTTTTCTATTATAACAGGGTTGTGACTGAAGCCCTATGTTGAGAGAAAAGTTCTTAATAGCCAAAATCAACATTTGGAAAGTCACTAACCATTGGGCTCAGCCACTTTCATACAGGTCCCCTTTGAAAGGTGCTCACGCTAGTTTTACCATCATCATCATAAACATTCCTCAATCAATAGAAAGGAAGGCTAGAAGAAAGGTAGTCACATTTTGAAGAGGAATTTCAATCTGTACAGAACTGAGGTAGGCATAGAGAAGATGAGTCAAAGCAAGTTCTTCTACATCAAAAACTGTGCAAAGTGGAGTCCCACACAGGGTCTTCCAAAGTACTCGCAAATACATTTGAAAGTGAAAACAAATTCAGAATCCAGCCCTTACAGATTTTTGAAAGCCAGCCCTTGTCACAAAGCAGCAACAGCCTTAAAAAGGATTAACTATTTGCCAAACAAGTAAAGGAACCTTTATCCTTTTCACTTTCCCTCTTATGCCCCTCAGTACTAGTGGATTTAACACATTAAAGAGAGCTGATTAGATGAATTTCAAATACTAACCATGTCTCTCTTGCTATCTGGTGAGCTCTAACAGTGTATTAGGGTTGAAGAGAGAATCATTAAAAATAGATTCAATTTAGTCCTAAAAAATGTTTAAGGTCATTTTAATAAGCCAAGGTGCTAAAAAGGAGAGTTTGGACAAGATGCAAAGTTAAAAGTGTCTTTAACTTTTGAGGAAATTTAAAAACAACAGAACAAAAAATTTCACGTATAATTTTATAAAAATTCTTAGTAAGATATACACTTTTTTGCATAATTGAACCTGTTTACACAAAGCAAGAAGCTCGGTCTGCATAAATAATTTTCTATCAAAGATGTTTCTAGGAGGTGGAGCTTGCAGTGGGCCAAGATCGCACCACTGGAAAAGATGTTTCCGAAATCACAAATGGGTAAACAGAACACAGAAAGTGAATGAATTGTAGGGGTCTGAGACATTCTATGAGATTGTTTTTTGATACTTGTGTACTTTTTTTACTCTATAGTGAAATATATAATAATAATATCAACATTCTACAAATGTTTTAGAAGACTATCTTATCCCTAGGTTTTGTCCTATCTTTTAGTACCTGTGTATTCATTTTTCTACATAACTACATTGATGCCAAGTATAACTTCTCTTGTTACTGCAAGCAAATAAGAACAAGAATTGTTTTAATATTTAAAAGACAGGTCAGCCTCTAACACTTAAATGATAGTGATGTCACTATATGCTGAAATTAAAGGTATCTCAATAGTTAGAATACAGAAAATCATTGGGAGAATTAAGTCATCACAAACACACATGGTAGTACAGGCATGCCAGTTGTAGACAACCTATGGAAACATGAATCAGAATTATGTTCATGTTATCCACAATGATTTGGTATCTACAAAACAACATCAATATTCACCTTAATTTAATGTTATTATTTTAATATGTATTTAAAGTTTTAAAAATTACTTTATTCACTTGTATAAAAAATTTAAAGTTGCTAAAATAAGTAAAATACAGATATGTAGAGAATGTATTAGCAATTTTTCTGACATTTACTTTTATTCCTGAACCACACACATACTCATAAATAATTAATTTTAAAAAGTTGGTGCATTGTCATTTATATATTTCTTTGTGTTCATAATAACATAAAGCGCTATACTGATATCTGTAAATAGTTTCAGATGTTTTTGTTCTGCCATTTGGGACAAAAAATGGAAAAAAAGTACACATTATTTTCATTATTTATGCATTCTTGCTTTTATTTTGACAGCATAGATTTCCTAAAGTTAGAATTTTGTATTAAAAGGATTTTAAGTCATTCTACTATAAAGACACCTGCACACATATGTTTATTGCAGCACTATTCACAATAACAAAGACTTGGAACCAACCCAAATGTCCATCAATGATAGAGTGGATAAAGAAAATATGGCACATATGCAACATGGAATACCATGCAGCCATAAAAAAAGAATGAGTTCATGACCTTTTCAGGGACATGGATGAAGCTGGAAACCATCATTCTCAGCAAACTAACACAAGAACCGAAAATCAAGCAGCGCAGGTTCTCACTCATAAGTGAGAGTTGAACAATAAGAACACCTAGACACAGGGAGGGGAACATCACACACCGGAGCCTGTCGGTGCATGGGGGGCAAAGGGAGGGAGAGCCTTAGAACAAATACCTGATGCATGTGGGGCTTAAAACCTAGGTGACGGGTTGATGGGTGCAGCAAACCACCATGGCACATGCATACTTATGTAACAAATCTGCATGATCTGCATATGTATCTCAGAACTTAAAGTATATAAAAAAAGGAATGTAAGAATTATAATTAATAGAATTCCTGTAATACTTGAGATGATTCTGAAACAAATTTAAATTTTAAGAAATTAAAAAAAAAAACTATTTGTACTTTTAATAGATATTGCCGGGTAATACCCTACTAATTTTACCGCAGTTCACATTCCCACAAGCAGGTATGGAATGTACAATTTTGTCACTCTTGACAATTCTCATTGTTATAGAGTTTTAAAAGGTTTAGCAAGCGTATGAATGAAAATCTCTATTTTATTTTAATTCATTTTGCTTTTCTCAAAGTACTAGCTAGATAGGACAGCTTCTCAGGTGTTTCTTAGGGAGCCTTTTATGTTCATTGTTTGCTTTTGCATTTGCCTTTTTTTCTAATGGATTGCTTGTTTTTTTCCTTATGATTTTGTAGGATTATTTCCAAATTAGTAATATGAAACCTTAGACTGTACTATAAAATATACTTCACTTATTTTGAAATTTTTTCTTGTTACTTCATAGATTATTTTAATATTAAAAATAGTATGTTTTATGAAATTAATTACGCTATTTTTCTTAAGATCTTTCTGGTTTCTTCCCTTGCTTGAAAGGCCAAACCATGCTAAAGATTTGAAAAATATTCTCCTAATTTACTCAAGAATGTATGAGAACTATATATACCACATTTAAAATACCATTGAAAACTAATGGGAGAAAATTATTTCTTAATTGGTTTTGGCATAACGAATTATATCCACCTAAGAAAAAGAAATATAGACAATTCATATAACAGTCAACAAAAGTTAAATAATTATTTATATCAAAATATTTAAAAATAAATTTTAGTAGTTGAATAAATTATTTTTTCTAGAATTAGCTTTTATTAGAATAGAGAAATCTAATGATTATTTTTAATATTTGTTCACTATCAATATTAGTATAAAAATAATATGTTTAACACTAAAACACTCATCATCCATTATTAAATCTCAACAACTTTGTCATTTAGTCTTTAGATCTTTAAATTTTATATAAATATAAAACATTAGGTATGGTGAAGTTTCTGTTTGAATTTCTCCTCTTATTTTTAATTCCTCCACATATTTTGTCCTCAGATGTAATTATTTTGGTAAATTTGATGTTTCTATTTGTCATTTCAAAATTTTATCTTTATAAAATTGTTGTCATACTGTCTCTAAACTTTTGAAACTCTTATTTATAATATTACTTTGAATATTTGGCTGTATTCTTATCTATACATATTTTTCATATTGACTGGCATATAGTATTCCATTGCATAAGCATACTTTTTTTGAATTTATTTCTACCATGCCCTTTTTATGTTATGTTTAATATCATATTTGATTTCCTTCTATTATTATCTTCCATTCACTAAATTCATAATTTTAAAATATTCATTTTTTATTTTTTGTTTCTGCTAGTTTAGAAACCTTATATTCAACTTTATTCTTTAATGGTTAATTTTAAGTTATTAACATTGCTCTTTATACATTAATTTGCTAACTAAATATGTACTTATTCTTTCCATTTTTCCTCCCCACATAAGGAAAAAAACTTAGAACGCACAACTCTCCCATTATTATTTATTTTAGAATTGCTTTTTCTTAGGGATAAATTAACTTTATATTATACGGTGGTTTATTAATTATATTTCTATTACTATTATTTCAACTTTTGTACTCATTTGTGATTTCTAATTTTTTTAATTCATGAATTCTCGATTAAAAATGTTTTTTAGTAAATCTAAGAGGTTTGCTAGAATTAACATGATTTTATAGTTCTATTAGGAAAGTCTGTGACTGATAATCTTCCATATTTGTCCATTCTGTGGAATGAGCTTGTATATGTGTATAAAATTTTTTGCATACTTGTATGCTGGTTTTGGTTTTGGGCCTTTTTTTTTTTCTTAGTACTTTGAACATCCCAAATTAACTTAATGTAATATCATCTCTAAATATCTTCTATTGTGACAACTCTGGCCAAAATGAATTTGTTTTACAGTTGTTGCTTATGTTGGCTGCTCTCTTATCATTTTTGGTTGCCTCCACCATTCGTTCCACACGCCAGTGTGGTAATAAAAAGTTTAGATATTCTGTCTTTGCTTATCCAGGAGATATTCAAAAGCCAGATACTTTGGTACAGCTCTTGGTCACGAGCCCATGTCTATACTTTTTAATATCTATTGAACCAAAAAAACAGTCCACATTCAGTGCATGAATATCTTCTCCTTTTGTTTGTTAACCTGTTATTTTTCTTCTGTCAAAATACTTGGCAGAAAGCAGGAAAGCTCAGTATTTGGATAGTAACAAAGCTCTCATTCCACAGTGCCTTGCTTTAGGCATGAGGTTGAAACACTTCCACTCCATTTTACCTAGCAGAAAACAAACTCTTGACCTCCACTGTCTATTTCTAAACATAGAGCTCAACAAACCTGTGTTTTATATTTTTTTACTTCTATATGTAGATACTATGTCATTTAGGGGCTTACATATATGTTTTCGTTTTCTTTTTTAAAATAACTATCACAATCTGTTTTGAAAAAGTTAATAACACAAGAGTAACATAATTATATTTTCTTACCTAGAATGAAAGTTTATGACTTTTTAATTTTTACATTATAACTGCCACTTTATCAAATTTTGTTAATAATTTTAATATGCTTACTAGGGTATCATTGAATTTTTAGATCATCTTTAAATTTAGAAATGAATACTTTACAAATATTTATCACATATTTTGTTAAACATCTTTAAAATGTTGAATAACTATGGGGATAGTGTATATTCCTATTTTGTAGATAATTATAATGACAATATTTTTAGCTTTTTCTCATTTAATTTGCAATTGATTACTTGTTTTGCCAGAGACTTTACCATTTTTAAACACCATTATTTGTTCTTACTTTATATATTTTAGAACTGGTATATTTGTTATTTTTGTTGATGTCATTTGGTAAACTAACAAAATATGTCATTTGATTACTAAAGTTGAAAAAAATTGCATTCATAAAATGCAAAACAATGGACGTTTCTAATTTATTATGATCTATTTCTAATACATTAATGGAATTCAGAAGCTATTATCTTCTGTAGATTTTGTGTTTTATAAAACATACTTTCAAAATACATTTCTAGAAAAGTCACATGTCAGAAGTGCAAAAATCAATACAGTATCACTAAGTGAACATAAAATAAGTAGTATAATATCATTAGCTTCCTAGAACCTTGTCTTCTTTCCCACTTCAATTATTACAACCTCTTTCCTTCCCTAAAATAATCATATCCTGAATTTCAAAGCCATAAGTTTACTTTCATTGTATTAAAACTATAAATAAATAAGATCACGTATAGTATATATATTTTTTTACTCATAGTATTTTGTATATGGATCCATGTTACTTCTTCCTGTAAAATTCCTTCATTTTCAGGCTTATGGAATACTCCATTATTTGCCATACATTAGCCATTTCCTGCTAAGACATGAAGATTTGTTGGTGTCATAATACTAATATATATCATAATGACAAAAATCATTTTGTATTTTCTTCATGAATGTTCTTGTATATAAATTAAGTGCATATATATGTGTATGTGTGTGTGTGTATATGTATGTAGGTAGGTATATATGCATTCTATCACCTATACCCTAAGAGTAGAAATGCTTCGTCATAGAAAGTTCATATGCTCAACTTTAGTAGATATAACCATATGTATATGTGCATGTATGTTTGGTGTGTGTGTGTTGTCTGCATGTAAAATGTGTGCATTCTATGTTGGGTTTTTTATATTTGGGAATATCTTTTACCCACGACATTTTTTGTCCTTGCATGCAAGTAATGGTGAACAACTTTTTAATTTTAACATACCATAATTTACATATCATAGCATATGTAAAAAAGTTTTTCTTACTTCAAAGTAGTGAAGATATTTTTATATTTTTGTCATGGCTTTTCCCTTTAGATTAAAATCTACAATTCATCTGGAATTTACTTTTATGTATTCTGTGATGTATGAGAAAAGGTTTCTTTTTTTATGCTGCTGTGTAGTCAATCCAACACTATTATTGTGTAGAATGTCTATTATAAACAGATTTATTTTCTGTAAATCAGGTACCATTTATTTGTACACGGTTTCTCAGTTCTCTATATAGATTCAATTTCATCTTTTTATTAATAGTTACATTTATCTATTTGTCATTGTGACAATACCACATTCCCTGAATTAATAAATCTTTGTAGTAACTCAATAGCCAATGTAAAATTCTTATATCTTAGCTATTCTTGGTAATTTTTCATTTTTATAAAATTTGTGATTGTCATGAAAATAACTGCTTTAATTTTTATTTTTTATTACACTGAATTATAGATTAACTTGGGAAGAATTTAAACATTTCATTTCCATTCCATGAATACATTATTGACCTCAATTCATATGTCTTTAAATTTATCCCCATGTTTAATTGTTAAGTAAAAAATAATCATATGATTTTCAGTACATTTATTCTTAGATATTTAATATTTTATGATACTAGTGTAAATTTAATTATTTTTATACATCTGACTTTAGTAATTAATCACTTATGTATGAAATTCCATAGAATTTTATATGGAATTTGTTTGCAGTGTTCTTGCTATATACACCCATTAATTGCAGTGATTTAATTTTGAACATCATGTATTTTCTGCATTCAAAATTATGTCATGTAAATAATAAGTTATCTTTCTTCCTTTTGATTTTTATCTTTTTTTCTACTTGGAATGGGGTAGGGAGAGCTTTTCTTATTGCACTGACTGGATTCTACAATAAAACGATGAAAAGAAGCTGAGATAATATGCACACTTGCCTCATTCCTGAATCTCATGAGGAAAGCTTTGAAAATTTACCTTAAGTGTAATGATGGCTGTAAGTATCTTGTAGATATTCTGAATTGTATAGAAATTTCCCATCCATGCTTTATTTGCTACAAGTTTTTATTGTGGATTAATTTTCAACATTATCAAATGTTTTTCCACATCCACTGAGTAAATCACACATTCTTCTTTATTCTGATATTAATATATTAGTTTGTTATTTAATGAAAAACAAATCTTTTAAAACCAAATAAATATCCAACATAATAACATTAACAAATAGAGCTGGTTTTTAAATAATTATATATATAATATAAATAAGTATATATTATATGATTATGGGATAGATTTTTAGTTTTTTTCATATAATGTTCTTTTAAGATTTTGAGATAAACATCATGCCAAACTTTAAAAAATTATGTAATTATTAAATTATAAAATAAATCAGTAAGTACTTCCTTAAAATCTAGAGATTTGAAGTATGCAATACACACACACACACACATCCATAATAATATGTACATAAATACATAGGTATTCATATTGTTATCAGTTTGGTAAGTTGTATTTTATATATTTGTACTAAATTTTTAAGTATAAATCTCATAATTATACACTCTAATTTTCTTTATTTCTGTAAAATCACTTGCTTTGTCATCTTTTGCATTTCTATAAATATTAATTGTTCTTTCATTTCTGCTTAGTTGATAAACCTTGTTAGAAAATTAACATTTTTACTTTTTCAAAATAAACTAAGTTTTCACTTTTGTACATTCTTTAAACTTTTTTCTGTTGCATTAATTGCTCAATATTGTTTAATTTTATCATATTTCCATTGGATTTGCTTCGATACTTACAGCTTTTGAGACAGATACTTAAATGATTGCTTTTTGTCAACTTGTTTCATACTTATATAGGTTTAGGGAGTACAAGTGTAGTTTTGTTACGTGGATATATTGCATAGTGGGGAATACAGGCTTTTAGTGTGACCATTACTAGAATAGTGTACATTGTACCAATTAGAAAATTTCTCATTCCTCACCCTCCTACCAGCCTCCCACCTTTCTAAATCTCCAAAATCTATTATTCTGCTTTCTGTGCCCATGTGAACACATTCTTTATTCCCAATTATAAGTGAAAACGTGATATTTGACTCTCCAAGTTATTTCACTAAAATAATAGCATCCAGTTCCATCCATGTTGCTGTCAAAGACATCATTTTATTCCTTGATATTAATAGTATTCCATTGTGTGTCTGCATCACATTTTAGTTATCCAGTAATTAATTTATAGACATTTAGTTTGATTTTGTATGTTTGCTATTATGAATAGTGCTGTGATAAACATACGGTTACACGTATCATTTTTACGTACTAACTTTGATTTCCTTTGCATAGATACACAGTAGTGAAACTGCTGTATTAAACGGCTTTTTAGTTCTTTAAGGAGTCAAGGAGTCTCCATACTGTTTTTCATAAAGGTTGTACTAATTTACATTGCAACCAACAGTGTATAAGTATTCTTTTTTCTCCACATTCTCACCAACATCTGTTATTTTTTCACATTTTAATAATAGCCATTCTGACTGGTATGAAGTTGTATCTCATTGTGGTTTTGATTTGCCTTTCTCCAATTATTAGTGATATTTAATATTTTTTCATATGTCTCTTAGTCATTTGTATTTCTTTTTTGGGAAATGTTTGTTCATATCTTTTGCCCATTTTTAAATGGGTTATTTGGTTTTCCTTGTTGAATTGTTTGAGTTCTTTAAGATTCTAGATATTAGTCCTTTGTCAGATGCATAGTTTGCAAATATTTTCTCACATGCTTGAGGTTGTCTCTTAACTCTGTAGATTATAATTTTTGTTGTGCAAAAGCTTTTTAGTTTAATTAAGTCCTATTTGTCTATTTTTGTTTTTGTGTGCTTTTGAGGTTTTAATCATGAATTATTTGCTTGGGCCATTGTTGAGAAGAGTTTTTCCTGGGTTTTCTTCTAGAACTTTCAGTTTCAAGTCCTGCATCTGTATTTAATCCATCTTAATTTTTTTAATATAATGAGAAGGGTCCAGTTTTTTTCTTCTGCATATAAGTATCCAATTTTCCCAGCACCATATATTAAATAGTGTACCCTTTCCCCAGTATATGATTTTGTTGACATTGTCGAAGATCAATTAGATGTAGCTTTTATTTTGGTTTTCTCTATTATGGTTCATTGGTCTATGCATCTTTATTTATATACTATATAATAGTATAATTTTAAGTCAGGTAGTTTGATGTCTCAAACTTTGTTCTTTTGTGGCAATAATATATTTGCCTATTAAGGCTCTTTTTTGGTGCCATATGAATGTCAGAATTATTTTTTCTAATTTCTAATTCTGTGAAAAATAACATTGGTATTTTGACAAGAATTACACTGAATCTGTAGATTGCTGTGGGCAGTATGGTCATTTTAATAATATTAATTATTCTAATGTAGGAGCATGGGATATTTTACCATTTGTGTCATCTATAATTCCTTTCAGTGTTTTGTAGTTTTTCTTGTAGAAATCGTTCACCTCCTTAGTTACATTATTTCTAGGCATTTTGTTAACAATTCTAAATGGGATTTTTTCTTAATCTATATCTAAGCCTGATCGTTACTGGTGTGTAGAAATGCTACTGATTTTTGTATGTTGATTTTGTATTCTAAAACTTTAATGGATTCATTGGTAAAATCTCTCTAGGACTTTTTGGAGGAGTCTTTAATAGTTTCTAGGCACAACGTGATATTGTTAGCAAACAGATAATTTGACTTTTTATTTTCTAATTTGTATGGATTTCATTTATCTCTCTTGCCTGATTGCTTGAGCATTTTTGTTTTTATGTCCGTCAGGAATATTGGTTTGTGTTTTTGTTTGTTTGTTTGTTTGTTATGTTCTTATCTGGCTTTAATATCTGGGAAATGTTGGCTTTGTAGAACAAATTAGAGAATTGTCTCATTTCCTTGATTTTTTAGAACATTTACAGTAGGATTGGTACCAGTTCTTCTTTGTACATCTGGCAGATTTTGGTTGTGAGCCCATGTAGTCCCGGGCCCCTTGTTCATTGGATAATTTTTAATTATTGGTTCAGTGTTAAAACTTGTTATCATTTTGCCCAGGGTGTCTACTTCTTTCCGATTCAATCTTGGGAGATTGTATGTATTAAGGAATTTATTCATTTAATCTGGGTTTTCTGGTTTGTGAGCATAGATATGGTCATACTAGTCACTAATAATATGTTGTGTTTCTGTGGTATCAATTATAATGTCTCCTTTTTCATTTCTGATTGTGCTTATTTTAATCTTCTTTCTTGTTCTGGTTAATTTAGGTGGTGGTCTAACAATTTCGTTTAACTTTTCAAAGAACCAACTTTTCTTTTAATTGATCCTTTGTATATTTTTGTCTCAATTTCATTTAGTTCTGTTCTGGTCTTTGTTTTTATTTTCTTCTACCAATTTGGGATCTTGTTTGTTTTTTTCATTTTTGGTTCCTTAAGGTGTGACATTAAGTTGTTAATTTATTTACTTGCTTTTGTTTTTTAAGTGTTGTCATTTAATGCTTTAAACTTTTGTGTTAGGCCTGCTTTTGCTGTATCCCAGAAGTTATGTTATCTGTTGTGTCTCAATTTTCATTTATTACTAAAAATTTTAAAATCTTCATCTTGATATCATCATTGATCCAAAGATCACATAGAAGTAGGTTGTTTAATTTCCATGTATTCCAGGTTATTTAATTTATGGTTTTGAGAGTTTCTCTTAGAATTGATTTTGAATTTTATTTCACTGTGGTCTGAGAACATACTTGATAAAATTTTCACTTTTTTAATTTACTGAAAATTATCTTGTGGCCTAACATGTGGTCTATCTTGGAGAATGTTTCATGTACTGATGATAAGAATGTATTTTCTGAGGTTGTTGGTAGAATGTTCAGTAAATTACTGTTGGGTCTATTTGGACTAAAGTGCAATTTAAGTTCTGTGTTTGTTGATTTTCTTTCTCAATAATCTGTCTAGTCTTGTCAGTGGGCTGTTAAATTTTATTGTATTACTATCTATTTATTTTATTAGGTTGAGTAGTATTGGTTTCATACATCTGGGTGCTCCAGTGTTGGGTCCAAATAAGTTTATTTAACTGATCCCCTTATTACTATATAATGACCTTTTTTTGTTTTTTTTTTAAATGTTGTTGATTTAAAGGCTGTTTTATCCAACACAACTATAGGTACTTCTACTTGTTTTTGGTTTTGTGAGGCATATCAATTTCTACCTTTTACTTGGAGTCTATAAGTTTATTGTATTGTTGTTTGTTTTTTATTTTTTTTAATTTTTTACCAGTTAGGTGAGTTTCTTCTAAGCAGCATATGGTTTGATCACACTTTGCAATTGATTCTGCCAATCTATATCTTTTAAGTAGAGAACATAATCCATTTACATTAATGGTTAATATTGATATGTGAAGTTTTGTTTCTGTCATAATGTTAACTGTAATCTGGTTTCTTGCAGTCTAATTTGTGTAATTTTTATAAGACCTGTGATTTTATACTTTCATGTGTTTTTATGATTGTCAGTATCAGCCTTTCATTTCCATATTTAGAACTCCCTTGAGTATTTCTCATAGGGTGGATCTAGTATTCACAAATTCCCATGGCATTTGTCTGGGAAGGACTTTATTTCTTCTTTATTTTTAGCTAATTTTATCTGGCTGTGCAGATTCATCCTCACTAACAATTAGATTGCAAATCTCAGTTGGGATCTAATGTGACCACCTCCTGAGGTGGCTGGCAAAGTTCCCTGAGGTCTCCTGTGAATTAGGATCAGGAATGTCTTCCTTTTATTGGCACAAGGGCCTGGAAGTGCATGCAAAACATTTCCTGATACCATTACCTCTTAAAAACTATCCTCTGTTCATCAAGTCAGATCAAGTGTTGGGTAGGGTCAAGGAGTTCCCTGTGGCTTGGACTGCCTGGCTCCCCAATGGGAATGTGTAGGATGAAGACAGTCCCTCTCCACTTTCATGCTCTGAAAACTTGCAATTTTCCACCTGGCTGCTGCCTGCCACTCCTTTCAAAGTATTCAAATATGTTTTCAATTTTTCTGTTGAGCTCCCATGTTCCTTCTCAGATAAAAGTTCAAAGTGTGACTCTCTACACACTATTTTGCTCTTTCCAAGGGGGTGAACTATGCAAACAAAGTATCCAAATCTGCCATTTGAACTAATAAACAAGTCATTATCATCACAATATACAGTGTCAACCTATAAGATTAAATTTGATTCTTAAATGAAAGCAACCAACAATTTTGTGGTCATGATGATTTTACTTTAATACTTCTTGGAGGATTATATATCAATAACCAGACAGGTAGCTACTAAATATCAGGAAATCCATGAAGGCCCATGGATGGATCTTGGAAAGGGTCTGTGAGACTCAGCTGTGGGAAGAGTTCATGTCCCTGAGGCTATGTACTCCCAACTCTTATAAATACATTTTTATGTTCTGCAATATAATTTTTTTCCTTTCGTCAAATCTTAACCTAAAGTTCTCAATTTTTTACTTCTGTGATTTAATTATCATTTATTTAGTTTTTTTTAGATAATTTCCATGTTTGAGCCCCTGATTTGTAATTGTGTTTCTTAAATTTCCAAGTAGTTGATGAGTTTTTAAAAATCCCTATTACAAATTTGTAAATTAATTGTATTGATAAAAAAAATACGTTCTATAAATGTTCATCCTTTGCCTTTTGATGAGACATGCTTCTTAGCCCAGGGTATAGTCAACAATATTAAGTGTCCCATATATACCTAAATACGGTTTATTCTGTTATTGATAAATTCTGTGCCCTTTATACAGACATTGTGTCAATTCTGTCCATGTTATTGTTCAAATGTCTTATATTCTTATTATATTTTTTCACTTTTTAAATAACTGTTTTTGAGAAAAATATCTCAAAATACCTCCATATTTTTTGGAGGATTTTCTATTTTGGTGTCGTTGTTGTTGTTTAGTTTTGTCAAATTTTTAAATATATTTTAAGTGTATGTTATTTGTTGCTTATTCATTGTGTATTTAATTTCTGGAAGATGGACTTTTTCCAAATTATAATAATTCCCTCTTTTTCTCAAATAATACCTCTTGCATTGAAGTCTACTCTGTCTAACACTATTATACTTTAATATTCATATGATATGTATTGATCATATATATATATACATATGTGTTTAAATATTTCTGTCTCTCAATTTGTAAAATTAATCTCTTAGAAGTAGAATATAATAGGCTCTGCATTATTTTTTAATTGACTCTCATCACCTTTAACTTTTGAGGTGTTTTCTCACATCTTATGTATCTACTAACATAGTTGGGTTTAGTCATCATTGTGCTGGTAAATGTTAAACAATAACCTTTTCAAAACATTATGTGTACATATACATATAAATGTATACACACATACAAACACATATATTTTTCATAAACTTTACTGATAGGCAGAATGTGCAGCATATAATTTAAAAATACTAATGAATTATAATACTAAATGGTACAGTATAATAAATTTCATATAGTCAATTTTTTTTTTTATTATACTTTAAGTTTTAGGATACATGTGCACATTGTGCGGGTTAGTTACATATGTATACATGTGCCATGCTGGTGCGCTGCACCCACTAACTCGTCATCTAGCATTAGGTATATATCCCGATGTTATCCCTCCCCCCTCCCTGCACCCCACAACAGTCCCCAGAGTGTGATATTCCCCTTCCTGTGTCCATGTGATCTCATTGTTCAATTCCCACCTATGAGTGAGAATATGCGGTTTTTGTTCTTGCAATAGTTTACTGAGAATGATGATTTCCAGTTTTATCCATATCCCTACAAAGGACATGAACTCATCATTTTTTATGGCTGCATAGTATTCCATGGTGTATATGTGCCACATTTTCTTAATCCAGTCTATCATTGTTGGACATTTGGGTTGGTTCCAAGTCTTTGCTATTGTGAATAATGCCGCAATAAACATACGTGTGCATGTGTCTTTATAGCAGCATGATTTATAGTCCTTTGGGTATATACCCAGTAATGGGATGGCTGGGTCAAATGGTATTTCCAGTTCTAGATCCTTGAGGAATCGCCACACTGACTTCCACAATGGTTGAACTAGTTTACAGTCCCACCAACAGTGTAAAAGTGTTCCTATTTCTCCACATCCTCTCCAGCACCTGTTGTTTCCTGACTTTTGAATGTTTGCCATTCTAACTGGTGTGAGATGGTATCTCATTGTGGTTTTGATTTGCATTTCTCTGATGGCCAGTGATGATGAGCATTTTTTCATGTGTTTTTTGGCTGCATAAATGTCTTCTTTTGAGAAGTGTCTGTTCATGTCCTTCACCCACTTTTTGATGGGGTTGTTTGTTTTTTTCTTGTAAATTTGTTGGAGTTCATTGTAGATTCTGGATATTAGCCCTTTGTCAGATGAGTAGGTTGCAAAAATTTTCTCCCATTTTGTAGGTTGCCTGTTCACTCTGATGGTAGTTTCTTTTGCTGTGCAGAAGCTCTTTAGTTTCATTAGATCCCATTTGTCAATTTTGTCTTTTGTTGCCATTGCTTTTTGTGTTTTAGACATGAAGTCCTTGCCCATGCCTATGTCCTGAATGGTAATGCCTAGGTTTTCTTCTAGGGTTTTTATGGTTTTAGGTCTAACGTTTAAGTCTTTAATCCATCTTGAATTGATTTTTGTATAAGGTGTAAGGAAGGGATCCAGTTTCAGCTTTCTACATATGGCTAGCCAGTTTTCCCAGCACCATTTATTAAATAGGGAATCCTTTCCCCATTGCTTGTTTTTCTCAGGTTTGTCAAAGACCAGATAGTTGTAGATATGTGGTGTTATTTCTGAGGGCTCTGTTCTGTTCCATTGATCAATATCTCTGTTTTGGTACCAGTACCATGCTGTTTTGGTTACTGTAGCCTTGTAGTATAGTTTGAAGTCAGGTAGTGTGATGCCTCCAGCTTTGTTCTTCTGGCTTAGGATTGACTTGGCAATACGGGCTCTTTTTTGGTTCCATATGAACTTTAAAGTAGTTTTTTCCAATTCTGTGAAGAAAGTCATTGGTAGCTTGATGGGGATGGCATTGAATCTGTAAATTACCTTGGGCAGTATGGCCATTTTCACGATATTGATTCTTCCTACCCATGAGCATGGAATGTTCTTCCATTTGTTTGTATCCTCTTTTATTTCCTTGAGCAGTGTTTGTAGTTCTCCTTGAAGAGGTCCTTCACATCCCTTGTAAGTTGGATTCCTAGGTATTTTATTCTCTTTGAAGCAATTGTGAATGGGAGTTCACTCATGATTTGGCTCTCTGTTTGTCTGTTATTGGTGTATAGGAATGCTTGTGATTTTTGTACATTGATTTTGTATCCTGAGACTTTGCTGAAGTTGCTTATCAGCTTAAGGAGATTTTGGGCTGAGACAATGGGGTTTTCTAGATATACAATCATGTCATCTGCAAACAGGGACAATTTGACTTCCTCTTTTCCTAATTGAATACCCTTTATTTCCTTCTCCTGCCTAATTGCCCTGGCCAGAACTTTCAACACTATGTTGAATAGGAGTGGTGAGAGAGGGCATCCCCTGTCTTGTGCCAGTTTTCAAAGGGAATGCTTCCAGTTTTTGCCCATTCAGTATGACATTGGCTGTGGGTTTGTCATAGATAGCTCTTATTATTTTGAAATAGGTCCCATCAATACCTAATTTATTGAGAGTTTTTAGCATGAAGGGTTGTTGAATTTTGTCAAAGGCTTTTTCTCCATCTATTGAGATAATCATGTGGTTTTTGTCTTTGGCTCTGTTTATATGCTGGATTACATTTATTGATTTGTGTATATTGAACCAGCCTTGCATCCCAGGGATGAAGCCCACTTGATCATGGTGGATAAGCTTTTTGATGTGCTGCTGGATTTGTTTTGCCAGTATTTTATTGAGGATTTTTGCATCAATGTTCATCAAGGATATTGGTCTAAAATTCTTTTTGTTGTGTCTCTGCCTGGCTTTGGTATCAGAATGATGCTGGCCTCATAAAATGAGTTAGGGAGGATTCTCTCTTTTTCTATTGATTGGAATAGTTTCAGAAGGAATGGTACCAGTTCCTCCTTGTACCTCTGGTGGAATTCGGCTGTGAATCCATCTGGTCCTGGACTCTTTTTGGTTGGTAAGCTATTGATTATTGCCACAATTTCAGATCCTGTTATTGGTCTATTCAGAGATTCAACTTCTTCCTGGTTTAGTCTTTCGAGAGTGTATGTGTCCAGGAATTTATCCATTTCTTCTAGATTTTCTAGTTTATTTGTGTAGAGGTGTTTGTAGTATTCTCTGATGGTAGTTTGTATTTCTGTGGGATCGGTGGTGATATCCCCGTTATCATTTTTTATTGCGTCTATTTGATTCTTCTCTCTTTTTTTCTTTATTAGTCTTGCTAGTGGTCTATCAATTTTGTTGATCCTTTCAAAAACCCAGCTCCTGGATTCATTAATTTTTTGAAGTGTTTTTTGTGTCTCTATTTCCTTCAGTTCTGCTCTGATTTTAGTTATTTCTTGCCTTCTGCTAGCTTTTGAATGTGTTTGCTCTTGCTTTTCTAGTTCTTTTAATTGCGGTGTTAGGGTGTCAATTTTGGATCTTTCCTGCTGTCTCTTGTGGGCATTTAGTGCTATAAATTTCCCTCTACACACTGCTTTGCGTCCCAGAGATTCTGGTATGTTGTGTCTTTGTTCTCGTTGGTTTCAAAGAACATCTTTGTTTCTGCCTTCATTTCGTTATGTGCCCAGTAGTCATTCAGGAGCAGGTTGTTCAGTTTCCATGTAGTTGAGCGGTTTTGAGTGAGATCCTTAATCCTGAGTTCTAGTTTGATTGCACTGTGGTCTGAGAGATAGTTTGTTATAATTTCTGTTCTTTTACATTTGCTGAGGAGAGCTTTACTTCCCAGTATGTGGTCAATTTTGGAATAGGTGTGGTGTGGTGCTGAAAAAAATGTATATTCTGTTGATTTGGGGTGGAGAGTTCTGTAGATGTCTATTAGGTCTGCTTGGTGCAGAGCTGAGTTCAATTCCTGGGTATCCTTGTTGACTTTCTGTCTCGTTGATCTGTCTAATATTGACAGTGGGGTGTTAAAGTCTCTCATTATTAATGTGTGGGAGTCTAAGTCTCTTTGTAGGTCTCTAAGGACTTGCTTTATGAATCTTGGTGCTCCTGTATTGGGTGCATATATATTTAGGATAGTTAGCTCTTCTTGTTGAATTGATCCCTTTACCATTATGTAATGGCCTTCTTTGTCTCTTTTGATCTTTGTTGGTTTAAAGCCTGTTTTATCAGAGACTAGGTTTGCAACCCCTGCCTTTTTTTGTTTTCCATTTGCTTGGCAGATCTTCCTCCATCCTTTTATTTTGAGCCTATGTGTGTCTCTGCACGTGAGATGGTTTCCTGAATACAGCACACTGATGGGTCTTGACTCTTTATCCAATTTGCCAGTCTGTGTCTTAGTTGGAGCATTTAGTCGATTTACATTTAAAGTTAATATTGTTATGTGTGAATTTGATCCTGTCATTATGATGTTAGCTGGTTATTTTGCTCGTTAGTTGATGCAGTTTCTTCCTAGTCTTGATGGTCTTTACATTTTGGCATGATTTTGCATTGGCTGGTACCTGTTGTTCCTTTCCATGTTTAGTGCTTCCTTCAGGAGCTCTTGTAAGGCAGGCCTGGTGGTGACAAAATCTCTCAGCATTTGCTTGTCTGTAAAGTATTTTATTTCTCCTTCACTTATGAAGCTTAGTTTGGCTGGATATGAAATTCTGGGTTGAAAATTCTTTTCTTTAAGAATGTTGAATATTGGCCCCCCAATATTGGCCCCCACTCTCTTCTGGCTTGTAGGGTTTCTGCCAAGAGATCCACTGTTAGTCTGATGGGCTTCCCTTTGAGGGTAACCCGACCTTTCTCTCTGGCTGCCCTTAACATTTTTTCCTTCATTTCAACTTTGGTGAATCTGACAATTATGTGTCTTGGAGTTGCTCTTCTCGAGGAGTATCTTTGTGGCGTTCTCTGTATTTCCTGAATCTGAACGTTGGCCTGCCTTGCTAGATTGGGGAAGTTCTCCTAGATAATATCCTGCAAAGTGTTTTCCAACTTGGTTCCATTCTCCCCATCACTTTCAGGTACACCAATCAGACGTAGATTTGGTCTTTTCACATAGTCCCATATTTCTTGGAGGCTTTGCCCATTTCTTTTTATTCTTTTTTCTCTAAACTTCCCTTCTCACTTCATTTCATTCATTTCATCTTCCATCGCTGATACCCTTTCTTCCAGTTGATCGCATCGGCTCCTGAGGCTTCTGCATTCTTCACGTAGTTCTCGAGCCTTGGTTTTCAGCTCCATCAGCTCCTTTAAGCACTTCTCTGTATTGGTTATTCTAGTTATCCATTCTTCTAAATTTTTTTCAACGTTTTCAACTTCTTTGCCTTTGGTTTGAATGTCCTCCCGTAGCTCAGAGTAATTTGATCGTCTGAAGCCTTCTTCTCTCAGCTTGTCAAAGTCATTCTCCATCCAGCTTTGTTCCATTGCTGGTGAGGAACTGCATTCCTTTGGAGGAGGAGAGGCGCTCTGCTTTTTAGAGTTTCCAGTTTTTCTGTTCTGTTTTTTACCCATCTTTGTGGTTTTATCTACTTTTGGTCTTTGATGATGGTGACGTACAGATGGGTTTTTGGTGTGGATGTCCTTTCTGGTTGTTAGTTTTCCCTCTAACAGAGAGGACCATCAGCTGCAGGTCTGTTGGAGTACCCTGCCGTGTGAGGTGTCAGTGTGCCCCTGCCGGGGGTTGCCTCCCAGTTAGGCTGCTCGGGGGTCAGGGACCCACTTGAGGAGGCAGTCTGCCCATTCTCAGATCTCCAGCTGTGTGCTGGGAGAACCACTGCTCTCTTCAAAGCTGTCAGACAGGGACATTTAAGTCTGCAGAGGTTACTGCTGTCTTTTTGTTTGTCTGTGCCCTGCCCCCAGAGGTGGAGCCTACAGAAGCAGGCAGGCCTCCTTGAGCTGTGGTGGGCTCCACCAAGTTCGAGCTTCCCTGCTGCTTTGTTTACCTAAGCAAGCCTGGGCAATGGTGGACGCCCCTCCCCCTGCCTAGCTGCTGCCTTGCAGTTTGATCCCAGACTGCTGTGCTAGCAATCAGTGAGACTCTGTGGGCGTAGGACCCTCTGAGCCAGGTGCAGGATATAATCTCGTGGTGCGCCTTTTTTTAAGCCCGTCGGAAAAGCGCAGTATTCAGGTGGGAGTGACCTGATTTTCCAGGTGCCGTCCGTCACCCCTTTCTTTGACTCAGAAAGGGAAATCCCTGACCCCTTGCACTTCCCAAGTGAGGCAATGCCTCGCCCTGCTTCGGCTCGTGCACAGTGCGCGCACCCACTGACCTGCGCCCACTGTCTGGCACTCCCTAGTGAGATGAACCCGGTACCTCAGATGGAAATGCAGAAATCACCAGTCTTCTGCGTCGCTCACGCTGGGAGCTGTAGACCGGAGCTGTTCCTTTTCGGCCATCTGGGCTCCTCCCCCCCATATAGTCAATTTAATCTTACTGAATGCCTTTATTAATTTTTGTCAAACTGCTGTTTTCTGTGGTCAAATTACGATTTTGAATGATAAATGAGTATTGTTCTACCATATTTTTGTTTATGTTCTGAGAAAGACAAAAGTGAAAAAGATAGATATGCATCAACATTTTACTTATTTTTCAATGTAGTGAGCATCTTCTTTCTCAATCTAATGGTAGTTTTAAATACTGGAAGAACATTTTTTTTCAAAATATTGCCACACTTCAGTTGAATTTGCATTATCGTCACTTTTAAATGCCTGGAAAATCAACAACACAATCAATTCAGCCCTGATTTTTATGTTTGGTAATTTTTGTGATGTAAATACCCTACCGAAGATTTCAAGATGATGTCAAGGCAGACATGATGTCATTGACCATGGTGTTGCAAAGATAAGTGCAGCAGCAAAGTAACATCATATTTCCACCAAACATATACAATAAATATAAATAAGCAAATGGTTATAATTAAACTACATTAAAATGTAGTGAAATAATTTAAATTAGGGAGCTTAAGTTTTAGTAATATGTGGAAGTGTTAGTGTTGCTGTGTTTTACATTTGTAAGTTTTTATGGTGCACACACCATAAAAGGATAGAGGGAGGATATTGACATTTTCATAATATAAATTTTTTTCTCTGTATGATGTTTACATGACGTACGTCATAAAGAAAATATTCATATATTCTAAATTTTTAATGAACGTCATATTATGTTTCCACTCAGGTGAGAGAAATTTTTATGCATCTGTGATGTACTGCCTCATGATTTCAGTGCAGTCTGTCACAGAGCATGCTGAGCACCTTTAAAATTTACTAACTACATCCATATTTCTTCCTTTTGTTAAAGAAGACAACATTCTTTTGCTTTTGAATGGCATTGAATTCTAAGTGACACAACAGACACATTATTATTTAGGACAATAGTGCATTTGTAAACTGTTTTAGTCTACAAAATATTTTAGTAGCACTTTGTCAGTTTATTCAATGATATTAGACATTCAATTTTATGACTATTAGCTTTCTCAAATAAACAAAATAATTAGAGGAAACAGTGAAATCACGATCTACTTAACATTCATAAAAACTTCTGTTGATGTAGATTTAAAACTAGGCAACTGAAGTAACTATCCATCTTGCTTTTAGAATAATTGCATTTTAAATGTTATCTCAGAGCAGAATAACCCTAGCAATTAACCACCTTGCTTTGTGAGCAAGCAGTGTCTTTGCAAGCAGTCTGTCATTGAAGCAGAACTAAGGAAATAAAATAATTTTCAGAATACTATTTTTTTTCCTGAAGTAGTTTGTCCCAATTAATTGGCTGAATACAGGATGCTGAATGAACCAAAGTGTTTGTGTATTTTAATGGACTAAAAACATGATTCTGTTTGCACCATTTTATATTCCTTTCAGCAAAAAGAGAGTTATTGCTGTCAACTATTTTCATAAAACTTGTGTTTTTCTGAGTGTTTTAGGGAAGATTTGATTATATTTTACTCTTACCAGTCTTGAGAATCAGGTTAATATATTATTCCCACTCATCTGAATGATTCAAATTTTTTTCTTTGTCTTCTCTGAAAATAAATGAATACTAAGTTTTGATCATCACTTACATGACAGTGATTAAATAGGCCAAACTTGCTGAGACAAAACAAATGTTCCAACTCTGACTATATGGGCACCCTGGCTGCTTGAGTTTTTTTTTTTTTTAATTCATTGGTAGCACCCTCCAGCTACTCCATGTCAGGTGTTTTGTCTAAAAGTACAATTCTGAATCATGGTCCCCAAAGTTAATAACTTTGACTTTAAATGAGCTAATAAATACATTATATTAAAAACCATTGAAAGGATTGCTTAGGGCAAATTTTAAAATAAGAGTTAAAAGAAATTACCTTTTGCCTGCTATAACATATACCAATAATAAGTATTTTTAAAATAAGTCAGTACATAAAATGTTCACATTTTCTAGAGAGAATAAATATTCAATAAAGTCTCCTAATTCAATAAAATTAATATTTGTTATTAATTATTGCTTAATTTGTTATATTTTAAAATTTCATATTGATTATTTCACAGTGAGCACCAATTTACTGAAAAAATTCTCTGTTGAAATGTTTTAGGAATTAAAATGAAGTTAATAGTCCATCGAGTCAAACATAAACTTTCAAACTGATTGATGATTTTTTTTTTTTACTCCAAAATGCTCTGATCATAGGAATATTTAACTTCTAATTTTAACATTGCATTGGTCTGTTCTCCCACTACTAAAAAGAAATACCTGAGACTAGGTGATTTGTAAAGAAAAAAGGCTTAATTGCCTCATGATTCCACAGGCTGTAAAGGAAGCATGACAGGCTTCTGGGGAGGCCTTAGGAAACTTTCAATCATGACAGAACGTGAAGGGGAAGCAGGCATGTCTTACATGGCCAGAGCAGGAGGAAGGTGGGTGGGGGAAGGTGGTACAGACTTTTAAACAACCAGATCTTATGACAGTTCTATCATAAGAACAGCACTAAAGGAATGGTGGTAAGCCATTCATGAAAGATGAACCCCCATAATTCAATTACCTACCACCAGGCCCCATCTCCACCATTGGGGATTACAATTGAACATGAGATTTGGGTGGAGACACAGATTCAAACCATATCACTCCAACCTTGGCGCCTCCCAAATCTCATGTCCTCACATTGCAAAATAAATACAATCAACCCTTCTCAACAGTCCCCAAAGTCTTAACTCATTCCAGCATTAACTCAAAAGTCTAGAGTTCAAAGTTTGTTCTGAGTCAAGGCTATTCCCTTCTGCCTATGAACCTGTTAGTTACCTCCATGATACAATGGGAGTACAGACGTTGGGCAAATATTCCCATTACAAGAAGAAGATTTTGGACAAAAGAAAGGGACTTCAGGCCCATGCAAGTCTGAAACCCAGCAAGGCAGCAATTAAATCTGAAAGTTCAAGAATAATCTCCTTTGACTCCATGTACTACACCCAGGGCACACTGATACAATGGGTAGGCTCTTAAAGCCTTGGGCAGCGCCACCCCTGAGACTTTGCAGGGTATAGTCGCCGCAGTTGCTTTCATGTGGTAGGGTTGAGTGCCTGCAGCTTGTCCCGGCACACGGTGCCAGCTGTCAATGGATCTAGCAGTCTGTGGTCTGGTGGATGGTTGGCCCTCTTCTCATAACTCCACTAGGCAGTTCCCCAGAGAGTACTTTGTGAGTGCTCCAACCCCACATGTCCCCTTTACACTGTCCTAGTACAGGTATCCATGAGGGCTGCCCCCAAGCAGCAGACTTCTGCCTGGACATCCAGGCTTTTCCATACACCCTCTAAAATCTAGGTGGAGACTCCCAAGCCTCAGCTCTGGTGCTCTGCACATCCACAGGCTTAACACCACATGGAAGCTGCCAAGGTTTATGGTTTGTACACTCTGAAGCAGCAGCTTGAACTGTACCTGCGCCCATTTGAGTCATGGCTAGAGTTGGAGTGGCCAGGATGCAGGGTGTCATGTCCTGAGACTGCACAGAGTAGTAGGACCCTGGGCCTGGTTCAAAAAAACATTATTCCTCCTAGGCCTCTGGGGCTGTGATGGAAGGAGCTGCTGTGGAGGTCTCTGAAATGCCTTGGAGACCTTTTCTCCATTGTGTTGGCTATCAGCATTGGTCTTCCTTTTACTCATCCAAATTTCTGCAGCCTGATTGAATTCTTCCCCCTGAAAATGGGTTTTCCTTTTCGACTGCATGGCCAGGCTGCAAATTTTCCAAACTTTTGTGCTCTGCTTCTCTTTTAAATATAAGTTCCAGTTTCAGTTCATTTCTTTGCTCATGCATATGAGAAAAGGCTTTTAGAAATAACTAGGCCACATCTTGAATGCTTTGCTGCTTAGAAATTTCTTCTGCCAGATCATCCCTCCCAGGTTCAAAGTTCCACAGACCCCTAAAGCAGGAACACAATGCTACCAGTTTCTTTGCTAAAGCATAGCAACAGTGACCTTTACTACAGTTCCCAGTAAGTTCCTCATTTCCATCTAAGACCTCCTCAGCCTGGACCACATTGTCTGTATCACTATCAGCATTTTGGTCACAATAATTTAACAAGTTTCTAGGAAGTTCCAAACTTTTCCTCATCTTTCTATCTTATTCTGAGCCCTCAGAACTGTTCAAACCTCTACCCATTACCCAGTTATCAAGATGCTTCCACATTTTCAGGTATCTTCTTTATAGCAATGCCCTTTCCTGGTACCAATTTTCTATATTAGTCCTTTCTCACACTGCTATAAAGAAGTGTCTGAGACTACTGATAATTTTTAAAGAAAAGAGGTTTAATTTTCTCACAGTTCCACAGGTTGTATAGGAATCATGATGACTTCTGGGGTAGCCTCAGAAAACTTTCAATCACAGCAGAAGACAAAGGGGAAGCAGGCATGTCTAACATGACCAGAGCAGTAGGAAAATGGGAGGGGTGCTACACACTTAAACAACCAGACCTCATGAGAACCTTATCTCAAGAACAGCACCAAAGGGATTGTGCTAAATCATTGATAAAGGATCCACCTCCATGATCCAACCTCTCCACCCTGGGGGATTACAAATGAACATGAGATTTTAGTGCAGACACAGAACCAAACCATGTCAAACATGTGTTAAGTAACTATCAGATTTAACCTGCACATTTATTTAGTTATTTATCAGGCCACTTTCCTTCAACAGTTAAAAATAAATCTGAGCAGTGATTTTTAGAAATTCTATTATGCTCTAACCATAATGCTGATATAGGATTGTCAAATACATTTAATTGGTTTTCCCCCTGTATGTGAGGTAACTTGCCTCCCTTCTTTTTATATTGTGCAATTGGCAGGAATTATAACTAGATACGATCTCTCTTTTCACATGGAATTTGAGAGGGAGGTATCTTTTACTCCAGAGGTATTACAATGTAGACTTGTTAAACAGGCTCTTTGAGTGATGGTTAACTAGTTCATGTATACAAAGATAAAGTAAGCACTGCCACAGGAAAAATGAATAAGTTTTTGGCCTAGCAAACAGTTACACAGAGGCTATGAAACCTAGAGAGTCATATGTATAATCCATAGACATTAGAAAAATCAGTTTTTCTCAACTCATAAATTATTACCTCCTTCCAAATATCTCAGATTTTCACTTTTCCATGGCTAGAAAATCTGCATTCCCATCCATGTTATCCCAGACATCTAAACAGTTTCATCTCACCCCACTAAACATGATTCACTCCTATACTACCCTTATTTCAAGAATCTCTAGCTATTTTTCTCACTCAACTTTTCTTTATAGAATATACCAATACTCTTTTTTAATTTATCTTCCTTTCATTTCTATTCCATTTCTGCACCACATTAAGCCCAAATTTCCTTAGCATAGTTCAAAATAGAAGAAACTGAATAGAAAGTTTAGACAATAGAAAAAGGAAAATGCATTTGTTAATATATGTGTTTCCTATGAAGGTCTTTTTTATTGGAAGGGGGCGGTTCTATGTAGTATAATTTGAAATTAAGGAAAAAATGTCAAGACTTTTTATTTGGTGACTTGTAGACAAAGGAAGAGTTATGAAACTAGCAATTTTGGGAATCCAAGTAGCTGTGCATAATGTTTATACTGCTAAAGAAAAGAGTGTCAGGGTTACTGTACTTACGTCACTCTAAAAATGAGAATATAGCTTCTAAATTCTGTAAACATATACTAGACTTTGGAAAGCTTGTTTGCAAGAAAAGAAACTAAAACAAAACATTCATTACATCTTCTGACTCTTATCACCTGTTAGTAACATAGCACAAGAGAATGAACTGCATTTTGGACCAGAAAGACTTGGTTTTAAAATGGCTTATTTTTTATGTTAACTGTGAGCTCACATGCATTTTTCTTAACCTATGTTTTCTTGTATGCTGAGATAATTTTCATTATCCTTAAAGTGTTGCTGTAAAATTAAACATAATATATATAATCACCCAACAGAGAGTACCTGGCATGTTAATATGTACTTGAGAAATGGCACTAAAAATTTCTTTGTATATTTAGTTTTATGATTAAAGATTGACATATATATGCAAATGTGTTTTATTTATTCATTCATGATGGATACATTTAGCTGACACAAAACATAGGCACAAATATTAAAAATACATTTATCTCCCATTATTACATTCACAGAGATTTTTGCCTTTTAGTCTTGCAAGAAATTCCAAATGTCTGATAGTATATGAAAAGAAAAAAGAAAGGAATAAAAAGAGCTTATTAAATATTACTAAGCAAACGTTTCATGAAAGACTGTGTCTGTGATAACTTTCAACACCTTGGCAAAAGCTGACAGCAAGATTTTCTGAAGTTAAATAATGGATGTGATTAATTCAGTGATCAATATAAGAACATTAATTAAATCTGCCACTTTGGGCTACATGATCCAATTTTTCTTTAATAAATTTCATAGGTCAAAAGTTCTGAAATGAACTAACTAGAAATTCTCGAGCAAGTGATCACAAGAATAGTCAAAGATCAATCAAGCAGTACAATATGAAATTAAACCTCATATTTACGCACACATCTTTTATTAGACATATATTTACTCAAATTACATAAAATTATTGAAAAGTTTGAATGAAACTATGTGTGTTATCTCCACTTAAAGTAAAAAAAAGTTTGCATGAATTTTTGTGGTAAATTTGCTGTCTTTCTGAGCTCTAGTAACTTCAAATTATCATCACTCTTTTATATTTGAAAGAAGCTTTTGCTCAGTTATAATTTTTCAATGTCATATTTAATGAATGAAACAAAACAATTTTATTTTTTAAAGTTGTTTATCTAGTCAGTCAAGCAAACATTAAACCTGTGTCCTGAAGTACTAGAGTGTTGAAAATACAGAAATGTTAGATGTTTTAAGTGAGAGATAGTTGCATAAATGTCCCAAGATGAAATTTTATTGGGGGGAGTTGTTTATATGCCTCAAATTGTCCGAATGCTATACCATGCTTAAATTCATGCTTAAATTTATGACTAAATATATTACAAAAATGTGTTTGAATAATTTATCTAGAAAAAATAGCTGCTTGGCACAGTGGCTAATGTCTGTAATCCCAGCACTTTGGGAAGCCAAGGAGGACAAATCACCTGGGGTTAGGAGTTTGAGACCAGCCTAGCCAACATGGTGAAACCCCGTCTCTACTAAAAATACAAAAAGTTAGCCAGGCATGGTGGTGCATGCCTATAGTTCCAGCCACTTGGAAGGCTGAGGCAGGAGAATTGCTTGAACCCAGGAGGTGGAGGTTGCAGTGAGCTGAGACTGCAACATTGCACCCCAGCCTGGGCGACAAAGCCGGACACCTTCTCAAAAAAAAAAAAAAAAAAATCACTACTTGGTTAATAAATTAATCATGCTTATGTTTAAGAATGAACAAGGTTCATCTTATTTACACTATGTTCTCTACTAGCTGAAATCTAGGACCCAAAACTATAGGTGAGCATTAGTAAGTGCTCAGTTAATATTCACCATTAGTTTATTGTTGCTTACCTGTCTTTCAAAATGTCATATTGGTTGTCTCCTCATATTGAGCATCAGTTTTTAAAGACAAATCTGTGTTAAGTGTTAAAGATAGAAAAGTTCGTCATAGATAGCTTTTATTATTTTGAGACATGTTCCTTCAATACCTAGTTTATTGAGAGTTTTTAACATAAAAGGATGTTGAATTTTATCGAAAGCCTTTTCTACATCTTTTGAGACAGTCATATGATTTTTGTTTCTAACTGTGTTCATGTGATGAATCACATTTATTGACATGTGTATGTTGAACCAAACTTGCATCCCAGGCATAAAGCCTGCTTTATTATGGTGGATTAGCTTTTTGATCTGCTGCTAGATTTGTTTTGCCAGTTATTTTCTTGAGAATTTCTTATCAATGTTCGTCAAGGATATTGACCTGGAGTTTTCATTTTTTATTGTGTCTTTGCCAGGTTTTGGTATCAGGATGAAGTGGGCCTCATAGAATGAGTTGGAGAGGAGACCCTCTTCCTCAATTTTTTGGAATATTTTAAGTATGGGTGGCATCAACTCTTCTTTGCACATCTGGTAGAATTTGGCAGTGAATTCATCTGGTCCTGGGCTTTTTTGGTTGGTAGGCTATTTATTACTGATTCAATTCTGGAGCTCATTATTATTATTAGTCTGTTCAGGGAATCAGTTTCTTCCTTGTTCCATCTTGGTAGAGTTTATGTGTCCAGGAATTTACCCATCTCTTCTAGGTTTTTTAGTTTGTATGCACAGAGCTGGTCACAGTAGTTGCTCCTGGTTGTTTGTATTTCTGTGGGGTCAGTGGTAACATTCCCTTTGTTATTTCTTTGTGTTTATTTGGATCTTCTCTCTTTTCTTCTTTATTAATCTAGCTAGTGGCCTATGCTTCTCTTTAATTTTTTTCAAAAATCAAAACCTGAATTTGTTGATCTTTGGAATGGACTTTTGCATCTCAATTTCCTTCAGTTTGGCTCTGATTTTGATTTATTTTCTTCTTCTAGCTTTCTGGTTGGTTTGTTCTTGCTTCTCTAGTTCTTTTAGTTGTGATGTTAGGTTGTTAATTTGAGATCTTTATAACTTATTGATGTAGGTATTCAGTGCTACTAATTTCCCTCTTAACACTGCCTTCACTGTGTCCCAGAGATTCAGCTATGTTGTATTTTTGTTCTCATTAGTTTCAAAGAATTTCTTGATTTATACCTTAAATTCCTTATTTGTCCAAAAGTCAATCAGGAGCACGTTGTTTAATTTCCCTGTAATCGCACGGTTTTAAGTGATGCTTTTAGTCTTGATTTCTGTTTTTTATTGTACTGTGATCTGAGAGTGTGTTTGGTATTATTTAGGTTTATATAGCAATTTTTGAGGATTGTTTTATGTATGATTACGTGGTTGACTTAGAACATGTGCCATATGGCGATGAGAAGAAAATATATTCTGCTATTTTTGGATGGAGAGTTCTGTAGAGGTCTATTATTAGCCACTTGGTCCAATGTTTAGTCCAGGTTCTAAATATCTTTGTTAATTTTCTGCCTCAATAATCTGCCTAATACTGTCAGTGGAGTGTTAAAGACTCCCACTTTTATTGTGCAGAAGTCTATGTCTCTTTGTAGGTCTCTAACAACTTGCTTTATGAATCCATGTGCTCCTATATTGGGTGCATGTGTATTTAAGATAGTTAGATTTTCCTTTTGAATTGGACCCTTTACTATTATGTAATGCCCTTCTTTGTCCTTTTTTATCTTTGCTGGTTTAAAGTTTGTTTTGTCTAAATTTAGGAGTGCAACCGCTTCTTTATTTCTGATTCCCTTTTGATTGGTAGAGTTTCCTACATCCCTTTTTTTAACATATGAGTGTCATTGAGTGTGAGATGGGCCTCTTGAAGACCCATAGCCAACCTCCCACTGAATGTGCAAACGCTGGAAGCATTCTGTTTGAAACTAGCACAAGACGGATGCTATCTGTCTCACAACTCCTATCCACATACTATTGGAAGTCCTTGTCAGAGTAATCAGGCAAGATAAAAATAAAGGGCATTCAAGTAGGAAATGAGGAAGTCAAAGTATCCCTGTTTGCAGATGACATTATTCTATATCTACAAAACCCCATAGTTTTAGCCCAAAAGCTCCTTCACCTGATAAAGAATTTTAGCAAAGTTTCAGGATACAAAATCAGTGTACAAATATCACAAGCATTCCTATACACCAATAGCAGGAAAGCTAAGAGCCAAATCAGGAATGCAATCATATTTACAACTGCCACAAAAAGAATAAAATATCTAGGAATACAGCTAGTCAGAAAGGTAAAAGATCTCTATAATGAAATTTACAAAATACTGCTCAAAGAAATCAGAGATGACACAAACAAATAGAAAAACATTGTAAGCTCATGGACAGGAAAAATCAGTATCATTAAAATGGCCATACTGCCCAAAGCAATTTACAGATTCAATGCCATTCCTCTCAAACTACCAATGACATTCTTCACAGAAATAGAAAAAACTATTTCAAAATTCATGTGGAACCAAAAAAAGTGCCCAAATAGGCAAGGAAATCCTAAGCAAAAAGAACAAAACTGGAGGCATCAATAACCTGACTTCAAACTATATTTCAGGACTACAGTAATCAAACCAGCAGGGTTCTGTTACAAAAACAGACACATACACCAATGGAACAGAATAGAGAGCTCAGAAATAAGCCCACAAACCTACAACTATCTGATTTTCAATAACGCTAACAAAAGCAAGAAATGGGGAAAGGGCTCCCTATTCAATAACTGGTGCTGGGATAACCAGCTAGCCATAAGCAGAATATTGAAACTGGTCCCCCTTTTTTCTTTCTTTTATGAGCACAAGTTAATGATAGTGATCAATCAGGTTTTTAATGCACAAGGCACCAATTAGTACTCTCTAGTGAGCAGGAAAACTTTTGAAACAAAAATGATGAGATTGAACAAAATCAGAGGTCCAATCAAGAGAATTTTACCACATCAACTAACTCCTGCAGTAGCTATTTGTGAATCACATGTTTTTTTCTCAGTCCCATCCAGATCCTCATTTGCTCTGTAAGTCTGAATCCAAGATAACAATAGTAATAATAGTAATGGCTAATAACTTCAGGTACATTTACTCTTCACAAACTCTACAATTTTAATACAAAGAAACTGAGGTCTAGACACTGAAAATAACTTGTTGAAGGATTCACATTTAATAACTGGTGGAACTTTGGAAATTTGTGTCTTTCTAAGTTGTTATGTTTATGGGCATACATTTATTTATAATGTTTTCTTGTTATGCTTTTAATATCTGTAGAATTTATAGTAATAAAACCATTCTCATTTATGTTATTGGTCATTTGTCTCTCTTCTCTCACTTTTTTTTTTCCTGGTAACTGTTGCTGGAGATTTATCAATTTCCTTGTTCTCAAGCAGCATTTGATTTCATTGGATTTTTCTCTATTGTTTTGGTTTTTATTGTTGTCTCACATTTCATTTATGTCTGCTCTGATCTTAATTATTTCCTTTTATCTGCTGATGTTGAGTTTAATTTACTCTCATTTTTCTAGTTTCTTTTTTTATTATTATACTTTAAATTCTAGAATACATGTGCACAACGTGCAGGTTTATTACATAGGTATACATGTACAATGTTGGTTTGTTGCACCCATTAACTCGTCATTTACATTAAATATTTGTCCTAATGCTATCCCTCCCCCTGTCCCCCACCCAACGACAAGCCACCATGTGTGATGTTCCCACTCTGTTCAAGTGTTCTCATTGTTCAATTCCCACCTATGAGTGAGAACATGTGGTGTTTGGTTTTCTGTCCTTGGGATAGTTTGCTCAGAATGATGGTTTCCAGCTTCATCCATGTCCTTGTAAAGGACATGAACTCATTCTTTTTTATGGCAGCGTAGTATTCCATGGTGTATATGTGTCACATTTTCTTAATCCAGTCTATCACTGATGGACATTTGGGTTGGTTCCAAGTTTCTGCTATTGTGGATAGTGCCACAGTAAACATATGTGTGCATGTGTCTTCATAGTAGAATGATTTATAATCCTTTGGGTATATACCCAGTAATGTGATTGCTGGGTCAAATAGTATTTCTAGTTCTAGATCCTTGAGGAATCACCACACTGTCATCCACAATGGTTTAACTAGTGTACACTCCCACCAACAGTGTGAAACTGTTCCTATTTCTCCACATCCTCTCCAGCACCTGTTGTTTCCTGACTTTTTAATGATTGCCATTCTAACTGGTGTGAGATGCTATCTCATTGTGGTTTCAATTTGCATTTCTCTGATGGCCATTGATGATGAATTTTTTCATGTGTCTGTTGGCTGCACAAATGTCTTCTTTTGAGAGGTGTCTGTTCATATACTTTGCCCAATTTTTGATGGGGTTGTTTAGTTTTTTATTGTAAATTTGTTAAGTTCTTCGTAGATTCTGGATATTAGCCCTTTGTCAGAGGAGTAGATTGCAAAAATTTTCTCCCATTCTGTAGGTTGCCTGTTCACTCTGTTGGTAGTTTCTTTTGCTGTGCAGAAGCTCTTTAGATTAATTAGATCCCATTTGTCAATTTTGGCTTTTGTTGCCATTGCTTTTGGTGTTTTAGTCATGAAGTCATTGGCCATGCCTATTTCCTGAATGGTATTGCCTAGGTTTTCTTCTAGGGTTTTTATAGTTTTAGGTCTAACGTTTAAGTCTTTAATCCATCTTGAATTAATTTTTGTATAAGGTGTAAGGAAGGGATCCCGTTTCAGCTTTCTGCATATGGCTAGCCATTTTTTCCCAGCACCATTTTTTAAATAGGGAATCCTTTCCCCGTTTCTTGTGTTTGTCAGGTTTGTCAAAGATCAGATGGTTATAGATGTCTGGTGTTATTTCTGAGGCCTCTGTTCTGTTCCATTGGTCTATCTCTCTGTTTCGGTACCAGTACCATGCTGTTGTAGTTACTGCAGCCTTTTATTATAGCTTGAAGTCAGGTAGCGTGATGCCTCCAGCTTTGTTCTTTTTGCTTAAGATTGTCTTGGCAATGTGGCCTCTTTTTTGGTTCTGTATGAAGTATAAAGTAGTTTTTTCCTACTCTGTGAAGAAAATCATTGGTAGCTTGATGGGGATGGCATTGAATCTATAAATTACCTTGGGCAGTATGGCCATTTTCACCATATTGATTCTTCCAACCCATGAGCATGGAATGTTCTTCCATTTGTTTGTGTCCTCTTTTATTTCGTACAGCAGTGGTTTGTAGTTCTCCTTGAAGAGGTCCTTCACATCCCTTGTAAGTTGGATTCCTTGGTATTTTATTCTCTTTGTAGCAGTTGTGAATGGGAGTTCACTCATGATTTGCCTCTCTGTCTGTTGTTGGTGTATAGGAATTCTTGTAATTCTTGCACATTGATTTTGTATCCTGAGACTTTGCTGAAATTGCTTATCAGCTTAAGGAGATTATGGGCTGAGACGATGAGGTTTTCTAAATATACAGTCATGTCATCTGCAAACAGGGAAAATTTGACTTCCACTTTTCCTAATTGAATACCCTTTTTTTTTCTCTTGCCTGATTGCTCTGGCCAGAACTTCCAACACTATGTTGAATAGGAATGGTGAGAGAGGTCATCCCTGTCTTGTGCCAGTTTTCAAAGGCAATGCTTCCAGTTTTTGCCCATTCAGTATGATATTGGCTGTGGGTTTGTCATAAATAGCTCTTATTATTTTGAGATACATTCCATCAATACCTAGTTTATTGAGAGATTTTAGCAGGAAGGGCTGTTGAATTTTATCAAAGGCCTTTTCTGCATCTATTGAGATAATCATGTGGTTTTTGTTGTTAGTTCTGTTTATGTGATGGATTATGTTTATTGATTTGTGTATGTTGAACCAGCCTTGCATCCCAGGGATGAAGCCCACTTGATCGTGGTGGATAAGCTTTTTGATGTGCTGCTGGATTCAGTTTGCCAGTATTTTATTGAGGATTTTCGCATAGATGTTCATCAGGGATATTGGTGTAAAATTCTCTTTTTTTGTTGTGTCTCTGCCAGGCTTTTGTATCAGGATGATGCTGGCCTCACAAAATGAGTCAGGGAGGATTCCCTCTTTTTCTATTGATTGGAATAGTTTCAGAAGGAATGGTACCAGCTCCTCTTTGTACCTCTGGTAGAATTCGGCTGTGAATCTGTCTGGTGCTGGACTTTTTTTGGTTGGTAGGCTATTAATTATTGCCTCAATTTCAGAGCCTGTTTTTGTTCTATTCAGAGATTCAACTACTTTCTGGTTTAGTCTCAGGAGGGTATATATGTCCAGGAATTTATCCATTTCTTCTAGGTTTTCTAGTTTATTTATGTAGTGGTGTTTATAGTATTCTCTGATGTTAGTTTGTATTTTTTGTGTGATCGGTGATGATATCCCCTTTATCTTTTTTTATTGCATCTATTTGATTCTTCTCCCTCTTTTTATTAGTCTTGCAAGCAGTCTATCATTTTTGTTGATGTTTTCAAAAAACCAGCTCCAGGATTCATTGATTTTTTGAAGGGTTTTTTGTGTCTCTATCTCCTTCAGTTCTGCCCTGATCTTAGTTATTTCTTGCCTTCTGCTAGCTTTCAAATTTGTTTGCTCTTGCTTCTCTAGTTCTTTTAATTGTGATGTTAGGGTGTCGATTTTAGATTTTTCCACTTTCTCTTGTGGGCATTCAGTGCTATAAATTTCCCTCTACACACTGCTTTAAATGTGTCCCAGCAATTCTGGTACGTTGTGTCTTTGTTCTCATTGGTTTCAAAGAACATCTTTATTTCTGTCTTCATTTCGTCGTTTAGCCAGTAGTCATTCAGGAGCAGGTTGTTCAGTTTCCATGTAATTGTGTGGTTTTGAGTGAGTTTCTTAATCCTGAGTTCTAATTTGATTGCCCTGTGGTCTGAGAGACAGTTTGTTGTGATTTTTATTCTTTCACATTTGCGGAGGAGTGCTTTACTTCCAACTATGTGGTCAATTTTGGAATAAGTGCAATGTGGTGCTTACAAGAATGTAAACTCTGTTAATTTGGGGTGGAGAGTTCTATAGATGTCTACTAGGTCTGCTTGGTGCAGAGCTGAGTTCAAGTCCTGGATATCCTTGTTAACTGATCTGTCTAACATTTACAGTGGGGTGTTTAAGTCTCCCATTATTATTATGTGGGAGTCTAATTCTCTTTGTAGGTCTCTAAGGACTTGCTTTATGAATCTGGGTGCTCCTGTATTGGGTGCATATATATTTAGGATAGTTAGCTCTTCTTGTTGAATTGATCGCTTTACCATTGTGTAATGGCCTTCTTTGTCTCTTTTGATCTTTGTTGGTTTAAAGTCTGTTTTATCAGAGACTAGGATTGCAACCCCTGCTTTTTTTGTTGCTTTCCATTTGCTTGGTAGATCTTCTTCCATCCCTTTATTTTGAGCCTGTGTGTGTCTCTGCACATGAAATGGGTTTCCTAAATACAGCACACTGATCAGTCTTGACTGTTTATCCAACTTGCCAGTCTGTGTCTTTCAACTGGGGCATTTAGCCCATTTACATTTATGGTTAATATTGTTATGTGTCAGTTTGATCCTGTCATTATGATGTTAGCTGGTTATTTTGCCCGTTAGTTGATGCAGTCTCTTCCTAGCATCGATGGTCTTTACAATTTGGCATGTTTTTGTAGTGGCTGGTACCAGTTGTTCCTTTCCATGTTTAGTGCTTTCTTCAGGAGCTCTTGTAAGGCAGGCCTGGTAGTGACAAAATCACTCAGCATTTGCTTGTCTGTAAAGAATTTTATTTCTCCTTCACTTATGAAGCTTAGTTTGGCTGGATATGAAATTCTGGGTTGAAAATTCTTTTCTTTACGAATGTTGAATATTGGCCCCCACTCTCTTCTGGCTTGTAGAATTTCTGCTGAGAGATCCACTGTTAGTCTGATGGGCTTCCCTTTGTGGGTAACTTGACCTTTCTCTCTGGCTGTCCTTTACATTTTTTCCTTCATTTCAACCTTGGTGAATCTGACAATTATGTGTCTTGGGGTTGCTCTTCTCGAGGAGTATCTTTGTCATGTTCTCTGTATTTCCTGAATTTGAATGTTGGCCTGCCTTGCTAGGTTGGGAAGTTCTCCTGGATAATATCCCAAAGAATGTTTTGCAACTTGGTTCCATTCTCCCCATCACTTTCAGGTACACCAATCAGACATAGATTTGGTCTTTTCACATAGCCCCATATTTCTTGGAGGCTTTGTTCGTTTCTTTTTACTTTTTTTTCTCTAAACATCTCTTCTCACTTTATTTCATTCATTTGATCTTCAATCACTGATACCCTTTTATCCACTTGATCAAATCAACTATTGAAGCTTGTGCATGTGTCACGTAAACTTCTCGTGCCATGGTATTCAGCTCCATCAGGTCATTTAAGGTCTTTTCTACACCTTTTCTTCTAGTTAGCCATTTGTCTAATCTTTTTTCAAGATTTTTAGCTTCCTTGTGATGGGTTCAAACATCCTCCTTTAGCTCAGAGAAGTTTCTTATTACCGACCTTCTGAAGCCTACTTCTGTCAGCTCGTCAAAGTCATTCTCCATCCAGCTTTGTTCCATTGCTGGCAAGAAGCTGCAATCCTTTGGAGGAAAAGAGGCACTCTAGCTTTTAGAATTTTCAGCTTTTCTGCTCTGGTTTCTCTCTATCTTTGTGGTTTCATCTAGCTTTGGTCTTTGATGTTGGTGACCTACAGATGGAGTTTTGGTGTGGATGTCTCTTTTGTTGATGTTGATGCTATTCCTTTCTGTTTGTTAGTTTTCCTTCTAACAGTCAGGTCCCTCAGCTGCAGGTCTGTTGGAGTTTGCTGGAGGTCCACTCCAGACCCTGTTTGCCTGGGTATCACCAGTGGAGGCTGCAGAACAGCAAATAGCAGAACAGCAAATATTCCTGCCTGATCCTTCCTCTGGAAGCTTCATCCCAGAGGGGCATCCGCTTGTGTGAGGTGTCAGTCAGCCTCTACTGGGAGGTGTCTCCTAGTTAGGCTACACAGAGGTCAGGGACCCACTTGATGAAGCAGTCTGCCCATTCTCGGAGGTCAAACACTGTGCTGGGAGAACCACTCCTCTCTTCAGAGCTTTCAGACAGGGATGTTTAAGTCTGCAGAAGTTTCTGCGGCCTTTTGTTCAGCTATGCCCTACCCCCAGGGGTGGGGTCTACAGAGGCAGCAGGCCTTGCAGAACTGTTGTGGTCTCTGCCCAGTTCAAGCTTCCTGGCTGCTTTGTTTACTTACTCAAGCCTCAGTAATGGCAGACGCCCCTCCCCCTGTCAGGCTGCTGCCTTGCAGATCGATCTCAGACTGCTGTGCTAGTAGTGAGCAAGGCTCCGTGGGCTTGGGACCCACTGAGCCAGGAGGGGGATATAATCTCCTGGTGTTCCATTTGCTAAGACCATTGGAAAAGTGCAGTATTTGGGTGGGAGTGTCCCAATTTTCCAGGTACAGTCTGTCACAGCTTCCCTTGGCTAGGAAAGGGAAATCCCCTGACCCCTTATGCTTCCCGGGTGAGGCTATGCCCTGCCCTGCTTCAGCTTGTCCTCCGTGGGCTGTACCCACTGTCCAACCAGTCCCAATGAGATGAACCAGGTACCTCAGTTGGAAATGTAGAAATCACCGTCTTCTGCGTTGATCACGCTGGGAACTGCAGACCAGAGCTGTTCCTATTCGGCCATCTTGAAACGGACTCCTCTCCTTTTTCTAGTCTCTTAAGTGAAAACTGAGGTCACTGACTTAAGACCTTTCTCCTTTTCTTTTTCTTCTTCTTTTTTTTTTTTTGAGACAGCGTTTCACGCTTTTTGTCCAGGCTGGAGTGCAATGGTGTGATCTTGGCTCACTGCAACTTCCGCCTCCCAGGTTCAAGTGATTCTCCTGCCTCAGCCTCCCAAGTAGCTGGGATTATAGGCACCCACCACCAGCCTAGCTAATTTTTTTGTATTTTTAGTAGAGATGGGGTTTCACCATGTTGGCCAGGCTGGTCTCAAATTCCTGACCTCAGGTGATCCACCCCCCCTCAGCCTCCCCAAGTGCTGGGATTACCCCCCTTTTGTTATACTATATACAAAAATCAACTCAGGATGGATTAGACTTAAATGTAAAGCCAAAAACTATAAAAACCCTGGAAAACAAGCTAGACCATACCGTTCTGGACATAGGAATGGACAAAAACTTTATGATGAAGATGCCAAAAGCAAAAGTTGACAAACGGGATTTAATTAAACTAAAAAGCTTCTTCACATCAAATGAAACTATCAACTGAGTAAACAGAAAGCCTACATAACCTACATAATGGAAGAATATTTTTTCAAAGCATACATCTGAAAAATGTCTAATATTCAGTATCTATAAAGATCTTAAACAAATTTACAAGAAAAAACCTTATTAAAAAGTGGGCAAATGACATGAACAGACTCTTAAAAGAAGATACATGCAGGCTGCAGGTATATATATAAAAAAGCTCAATATCACTGACCATTAGAAAAATGCAAATCAAAATTACAAGATACCAACTAACACCAGTCAGCATGGCTATTATTATAAAGTAAAAAAAAAAAAAAAATACTGATGCTGGTGAGGTTACAGGGAAAAAGGAACACTTCAACACTGTTGGTGGAAATGTAAATTAGCTCAACCATTGTGGAAAACAGTGTGGCAATTCCTCAAAGACCTAAAAACGAAACTACCATTTGACCCAGCAATCACGTTACTGGGTATACCTACAAAGAAATAATAAAATATTCTATTATAAAAACACATGAAAACATATGTTCATTGCAGCACTTTTCACAATAGCAAAGACATGGACTCTACTTCAATGCTCTTCAGTGGTTGACTAGATAAAGAAAATGCAGTATATATACACTATGGAATACTATGCATCCATAAAACAGAATGAGATCATGTCTTTATCAGGAACATGGATGGAGCTGGAGGCCAGCAAAGACATGGACTCTACTTCAATGCTCTTCAGTGGTTGACTAGATAAAGAAAATGCGGTATATATACACTATGGAATATATGCATCCATAAAACAGAATGAGATCATGTCCTTTTCAGGAACATGGATGTAGCTGGAGGCCATCATCCTTAACAAACTAACACAGAAACAGCCAGTCAAATACCACATGTTCTCACTTATAAGTGGAAGCTAAACAATGAAAACACAGAGACACAAGGAGAGGAACAACAGATACCAGGGCCTGCTTGAGGGTGGAGTTTGAGAGGAAGGATAGGGCCAGAAAAAATAACTATTGCCCATTAGGGTTAGTACCTGGGTGATAAAATAATCTATACGACAATCCCCCATGATATGCATTTACCTATGTAACAAACCTGCACATGTACCCCTTAACATAAAATAAAAGTTAAAAAAGAAATACAAATTAATAATTCACCAAATAAAATATAAACTCCCAAAATGTCCTAAATAATTTTTACCCCAAAGTATTCTGACCATGGAAATATTTAATTTCTTAATTTTCCACAATCTGTATAGGCTGTCATAACATGGTTTATAAAACCTTAGTTAGAAAAAAAGGTTTTTGGAAGAGGGATTTGTTAAAGTCGCTTTAGAGTCTCCATCAGTGTTAAAGCAGGGTTAAGTTCATCATTTTTGCTTTCTTCATTTTAAGTTTACTAGGACTTAATATTTTGAATCATATAAGCTTTACGCTTCATATTCTCTCTTGGTTTCACATTGGTTCTATTTTGGTCATTGAGCCTATCTGTATTTTAACATCTGCATAAACAGATTGTCCAAAGTAAACAGGTTAAGTGATTCTGAATAATGATTAGCATGGAAATTATGTTTAACAACAAATTCCAATAGCACAATTTGGCCTCCACAACCCTTATCTTTTTTTATTCATATGTCAAATAACTCTTTTGGATAGAAATATGACTTATTGTAGAATATTTTACCAAAATGCCCTGAAATAAGGGACAATATTGTAACCCTTAATAATCTTAATTTTCTAATAGAAAAATTCTCTCAATATAAAATATATATACATAAAACTTTGTTTAGAGAAACAATGAACAAAAATAGGCTAATAGTTTGAAAGAATAGACTCTATATGTCAATTTCACAATAATAATGTGTAGATTCAATTCAATGTCAATCAAAACAACAGTCTATTTTGCAGAAATTGAGAAGTATTTCTAAACTTTATTGTTAGAAATGCTTGCTCCCTCTCATTATTTCACTCCTTGGATTAGAAAACAATGAGAATCTTTGTTAAGTTTATTTGCAGACAACAAAACAAAACTCAGATGCTGCCACCCCTTTCACAGAAAACTTGGAAGACTACCAGAATTTCTGTACAGCAACAGGAAAATAGCAGTAGCTGAGACACTTCACAAGTTGCTCATGACCCAGAATGCTATAAGAGATTATGTAACTATTTCTGTTAAACAAACAGAAATATCTGAGAGGTGATTAGGGAATCTAGGAGGACTCATGTCTGAGATGAGAATAAGGCATAGTGACTTGCTTGGATACACGATTTCACATAGAAATATCAATCAAAGGGAGCAGTGAAAGAAGATGATGACCGCTTGTCAGTTGCCCCTCTATATCCAAATCACCCAGAACTTCCACTCAAGCACAAGAATATGAAGAAAGGGAATAGCAAATCCCTAAATTTATTTAAAACAAAATAAAAACCCTGAGGATTCACTGGTTTATTTGCATTGATAAAAGTTTTGGCCACAAGATAAACTAGAGCATTGAAAGTATTATACTCGATTATAGAAAATAAAGCTAGTTTTATTTATTTTCATACTTTTTTCCTGGGGTTAAAAAAAATTTCTACAAGTGATACATAATTAATTGACTCTTGTTTCTATGCAATCATATCTTTTTCACCAAAACAATTATTTATCTTATATACCGAGTTCATTCATATGTTTTCTTTATTTGCCTCAAAGAGTAACAAAATTAGTTCTTTTTTTGTTTCTTATAGGCTTTATTTACTAAGTCTTTAATCATAAGCACTATGTGGTTTGTGGAACCTCATAGTTGAATTTTAATTTTTAAAATGTACAAAACATACTTATTCATGATACATCATATTATGATATATATTTTATATTTATAAAATATTATATATGTATATATATACTTGTGTGTATATATATGTGTGTGTGTATATATATATATATATATATATATTTTTTTTTTTTTTTTTTTTTAATGCAGGATCTCAAACTAGGCCATTACTGTCTAAGAATTGTCATGACAGCTAAAGCACAGTTTGGCTTATTTCAGACTTTACTAGCAGAAACGCCCGCCTATTTTTAGTTTTCTAAAGAACATGTCCAGTACTGACTCATACTCTCTACCAAGAAGATGCTGTATTTAAACCATCTGGACATTTAAAAAAAAAGCATGGATCTTTTTACATACCTAAGTGTACTTTTTTTGTCCATCTTTCTGTTCTCAACTTGTTAAATTATTCCAGTTTAAAAATCACCTTTAATATTTTCTCCTGACCTGAACTTTGGTTTTTCTGCTAGTTGGATAAATATACCCTCTTAACTTCAGAGAGAATTAAGAACATAATTGCTGCTTTGGATCAGGGTCAATCAATAAAATCCATGGTCTAAAGCCTGCCAGAATGTATACAAAAATTCAAAGAAATGTCTGCTTCTTAAATAAAGAAAATGAAGATGTAGGAAAAACATGTCTTTTAGACATATATTTGTTTTTGTATGGTGTTTAGATAATTAAATATAGAGTTAACAGTAATTATCTATGGGCTTGTTAAGCTGAAGAAAGATTTCTGAAATGCGTTAAACAAACAAAATAATGCTTTGTTCCTATTTCATTAATCCACTATTAGAAGACAATGTTAACAACTCTGCTTAAACACATGATTGAAATTTCTAAAAATAAAGAAAAAGTAATTTTAGAGATGGTGATTGGTCACACATTGATGTCTGAGTGGCACTTACTAAATGCTCTGAGGGTCTTTTATTAGGAAATGAAAGTCCAGGGACACCTCCAGTGTAGTATTTCTAGTGCACTGTTTTCTACATATCAGCAAGCAAGTTGAGGTTCTTGGACACTGGGTTACCAGAGTAATCATCCATTTCATCTGTTCTATGTTTCAATAATAAGTACTTATGAAATATTGGACAGCTCAAAATAGCAAGTAGATAACCTTTAAGATATAAGCTTGAGAACTAAAGCAACTTTAAGAGAATATAGTTAATATAGATTAAACATTGCATAAATAGCCAAGCAGCATCAATTTGGCCTTCTAGCAGGAAACTAGCACAGAATACTACAGGCTGATTGATATCAGGATTTACTCTATGTATTTAAAAAGTTTTGCTTAACAAATAAACACACTTTAGATTAACATTTATTAACCCACTTAGGACAATAAAAAAAGTCTAAATATTTTAGGGGGTTACATATCATACATAAAGCATATGATATTTACTGATAAATACAATTGCATTAAAAATGTACTTTTTCAAATATCCTATAAGTTAGAGCTTTTAGAATCACAGATATTTATGTTCTTCTTTCAGAGATCTTTTGCTATGTTACCCACATTTTACCAGATTTAATATATTTTATTTTGCTAACTGATGACAATAACTCATTAACATTAGTTTACCATATGTGCATGTTTTGAAAACTATTTAGGTGGAAAAATAATTTATAATGCAACAGAAAGCAATATGACCACAATCCTTACATTTGATTTCATAAATTTTCAAGAAAATATATTAATAGAATAAACTCCTAAGCCGAGTGTGGTGGCTCACTCCTGTAATCCCAGCACTTCGTAGGCTGAGGCAGGCAGATCATGAGGTCAAGAGATAGAGACCATCCTGGCCAACATGGTGAAACCTCATCTCTACTAAAAATACAAAAAGTTAGCTGGGCAGAGTGGTGCACAACGTAGTCCCAGCTACTCAGGAGGCTGAGGCAGGAGAATCACTTGAACCCGGTAGGCAGAGGTTGCAGCGAGCTGAGATCGCACCATTGCAATCCAGCCTGGTGACAAAGCGAGACTCCATCTCAATTAAAAAAAAAAACAAAAAAACAAAACTCCTGCATCTAAATATACCATAGATGATACCAATTATTTAAAAGCAATGCCTTTGTAGCTTATTCTGTAATTTACTAACCTATTGTTAGAAACAGACTAGTCCTTTGATAATAATTCGTGAAACTTAATTTGAATAATTCTCTTGCTAACTTATTCATAAAGCAGAAAGATGATAATGATGAATCCTGCTTAGTGTTTTTCATATGCCATTCAATACTTTGATGTATTTAAAAAGTAATGATGAAAATGGATAAATATTCATTCTGGTTTTGATCTCCTAAATACAGACATTTTCATATCATTTTAAAATGTTAAAAAGGGAACTGTGTTTATATATTATTTAGATTATCCTAACATAAAATAAATTTCAAATAACATGTAACTCTTAAAAGGCCTAGAAATTTCCCCTGATACATGAAGCAAACTTTAATTTAAAAAGTCATAATTTTTTAAAATAAAAGCTGAAAATTTAATAGGATGACCCAGTAAATTGCAAAGAAAATTAGAAATTATTTAAATCATCATATAGGAAAAAGATTATCCATGTTAAACATAGGCTTGTGGGTTCTTTAGAAGCAAATATTTCAAACTCAGTAATTTGATGATGGAACAACTTTCTGTTGCTCTTGTTAATTCAGCATCTACAAACAAGTATGCTAGTTATATTTATTATACAGATTTTCAAAAATTGAAACTAATTAGCTAATTGTAAAGGTATTAGGAGTGTCTTCAGTCTATTTTGTGATAATCATTACATGTAATTCTTTTGTGGTTTGGGTAAAACTCTATACATATTCTTCTATTAGCTACTTGAAACTGATCAATGGCCTCAGTTAATATGAGTATGCTGTTTTTTGAGCAACCTTCAAAATCAACCCAGGACCCTGGCAAGATAAGTGTCAAAGAAATTACTCCTTCTTTTTGGTGCCTTTCTGTGATACATGCCTCACTTATTTTGAGCCTTACATCTCATCACTCAGCCAAATGATGGCCATGGCAATTAAGTAATGTCAGGCCTCTGAGACCAAGCTAAGCCATCATATCCCCTGTGACCTGCATGTATAAATCCAGATGGCCTGAAGCAACTGAAAAACCACAAAAGAAGTGAAAATAGGCAGTTCCTGCCTTAACTGATGACATTCCACCATTGTAGTTTGTTCCTGCTCCACCCTGACTGATCAATTAACCTTGTGACATTCCTTCTCCTGGACAATAAGTCTCCCGAGCTCCCTGTGACCCCCGCCGCTGCCGGCAAGAGAACCACCCCCTTTAACTGTAATTTTCTACTATCTACCCAAATCCTATAAAATTGCCCCACCCCTATCTCCCTTTGCTGACTCCTTTCTTGGACTCAGCCCACTTGCACCCAAGTGAATAAACAGCCTTGTTGCTCACGCAAAGCCTGTTGGCGGACTTTCATCTCACAGACACGCGTGACAATAACATATTTCCAAATGAATGGCAGGGTGATATGGTTAGGCCTTGTGTCCCTACCAAAATCTCATTTTGAATTATAATTCCCATAATCCCTGTATTCCCCACATGTCAAGGGAAAGACCAGGTGGAGGTAGTTGGATCATGGGGGTGGTTTCCCCCATGCTATTCTCATGATAGTGAGTGAATTATCATGAGATCTGATGGTTTTATAAGTGTTTGATAGTTCGTCCTGTGTTCATTCTCCTTCCTGCTGCCTTGTGAAGAAGGCTCTTCGCTTCCCCTTTGCTTTTTGCCATGATTGTGTTTCCTGGGGCCTCCCCAGCCATGCTGAACTGTAAGTCAGTTAAATCTCTTTCCTTTATAAATTACCCAGTCTCAGGCAGTTCTTTATAGCAGTGCAAAAACAGACCCTACTAATATACAGGACAAATAAGAAATATAAATAGAAAATAATAAAAAATCATTTTCAACTGAATGTAAAAATGGCCTAGCAAAACTCTGCAATTTGGCTAAATCTTTACAGTGAAATGTGTATCATCATAAGAAAACCCTAGAAAAGGAGGGAGACTTAAAAAATTAATCATGTAAGTATGTACACAAAAAATCAGAAAAAAGTAGCAAACTCAAAGCAAAGAAACTAGACAAATTATATAACAAATCTGCCAAAATTAATGAAAGAAAAAAACAAATCTACATAGAAAATTGTGCTTCCCACAGAAAAGCAGCAATCCCAAAATCTAAGAAAAATATAATTCATCAAAATTGTAAAAGGACGTGAATACTTTGAACAGTCTGATAAGTAATATAGAAACTATGACTGTGATTTTGAAAAAAAAATCTAAAGACGTATTTAGAACAAAATCCCTCTCTGGTAAATATATATACAATATTAAAATAGTTAAGAAATAACACCAATTTTCAAAAAACTCCTTCAGAGAATATATAAAAAAAGGGACTTTCCTGCCGGGTGAGGTGGCTCACAGCTGTAATCTCAGCACTTTGGGAGGCAGAGGCGGATGGATCACCTGAGGTCGGGAGTTCGAGACCATCCTGACAAACATGGAGAAACCCTGTCTCTACTAAAAATACAAAATTAGCTGGGTATGGTGGTGCATGCTTGTAATCCCAGCTACTTGGGAGGCTGAGGCGGGAGAATCGCTTGAACCCGGGAGGCAGAGGTTGCAGTGAGCTGAGATTGCACCATTGCACTCCAGCCTGAGCAACGAGAGCAAAACTCCCTCTCAAAAAAAACAAAGAAGTGACCTTCCCAATTTAGATTATCAAATATTATAATAAGGATTTTTATTCAGGAAATAAATAACATCTTTCATGCAGATAAAAGTAACAATAGTAAATAAGATATTAATCAAGTTATAACAAGAGAATATGCCATGGCCATGTGGTACTAATTCTATAAATTCAAAAATAGTTTAGTATTCAGTAACTAAGTAAATAAAGAGAAAATAATATAATAAAATTAATAGACTGATGTGAAAATTTCTTTTATTATATATATTTAATGTGTATAGCATGATGTTTTGATATATGTAAAAAAAGACTACTGTAGCCAAGCAAATTAACATATCATCCCACATAGTTACCATTTAAATATATTATTTTAATTGGCAAATAAAAATTTTATATAATTATGGCTAATAATGTGACATTTTGCATATGTATACATTGTGCAATTAATAAATCAAGCTTATTAATATATCCATAACCTCTCATACTTATCATTTTTTGTGAAGAGAACACTTCAAATTTCTCTTAGCAATTTTCAAATATACAACACATTATTTTTTACCATAGTTGCATGCCATACAATAGATTTCCAGAATTTATTCCTCCTATCTAACTCTTAAAGAGTAACTTGTACTTTTTAACCAACAACTCCCCAGTACCCCCATTCTTCATGTCCAGGCCCTGGAAACCATCATCTACTCTCTGCTTCTATGGGTTCAATTTTTAAAATTCTACAGATACGTAAAATTATGCAGTATTTGTCTCTCTGGGCTGGTTTATTTAGTTAAGCATAGCATCCTCCAGGTTCATCCACGTTGATGCAAATGACAAGATCATCTTTTATATCATGGCTATTATAAATAATGCTGCCATGAACATGGGAGCACAAAAATCTCTATGAGCTGCTGATTTAATTTCCTTTGGTTAAACTTAGAAGAGGGAATTGTGAGTCATAGGATAATTTCATTTTTGATTTTTTAAGAAACCTCCATACTCTTTTCCATGCTGACTCTACTAGTTTACATACACGCCAACAGTGTACAAGGGTTACCCTTGCCCCACATCCTTGCCAAAATTTGTTATCTCTTGTCATTTTTATAGTAGTCATACTAACAGGTGTGAGGTGGTATCTAACTGTGGTTTTGATTTGCATTTCTCTTATGATTAATGATGATACTTCTCAAATGAAAACATAAAATTGTTCAACTGGTATATGACAAGGCATATGTAGGCCTTTTCATACACCAGTTGAACATTTTTATGTCTTCATTCAAGAAATGTCTATTTAGGGCTTTTGACTTTTTTAATCAGTTTATTTATTTTTGCTATAGAGTTGTGTGACTTCCTAATATATTTTGGATATTAGTCTCTGGATATACAGTTCACAAATATTTTCTCTTATTTCACGGACTGCCTTTTAATTTTGTTAACTGTTTCCTTTGCTGTGCAGAAGTAGTTTGTTTGATGTAGTCCCACTTGTTTATTTTTGCCTAAGATTTTAGTGTGATATCTAAAAATAAATCAGCACTAAGGCCAATATCAAGATGCTTCTCTCCTATATTTTCTTTTAGGAGTTTTATGGTTTCAGGTCTTAGAGTTGATGTTTGTGGTATGATGTAATATAGAGGTCTAATTCCATTCTTTTGCATGTGGATATCCGCTTTTCTCAATTTAAATTATTGAAGAGACTATTCTTTCTCCATTGTGTCTTATTGACGCCCTGGTTAAAAAATCACTTGACTATATATGCTTGAGTTTATTTGTGGGATCTCTATTGAAAATTTAATCTTTTGATGTATTATGACAAAGAGATTGTAGGAAAGAAAAATAAATGTCAATTTATTTTATGACCTTGCATGCCAGAGCTCTTTGTTGAAAAATCTCCCAAACTAAATATAGCAAATCATACCTGATGACATATCAAAAAAGAACAGTACATAACAACCAAGTAGGGTTTATTCAAATAATATAAGGATAATTTAATATTCAAAGCTTGAACAACAGAAGTCACAATTTAATTTAAAAATGGGAGAAATATTTTGGTTACCAAAATAAATTTGGAAAACATGTTTATAAAATCTCATTATATTTTTATGCTTAGAGTCTTAGAAAAGATCTCCCTTAAAGTGGAAGTCTATTAGTCTGATAGAGTATATGTAAGACTCTGAATAGATATCATAAAGTTAAAATATTGAAAGTTATACTCCTGAAGTCAGTAATGACACCAGATGTCATTGGCATGCCTTCTAGTCAAAATTGTTCTAGACACCATAGCCATGCCCCTCAAAAATGCATTACAAGATATCAACATTTAAAATCAGCAAAAAAGCTGTAACTTGGCAAAATTACTGTATATGCTGAAACCATAAAATAATCTACACATAAACTGAGAATTAAATAATGAACTTTTCAACATTGTTGAATACAAGGACAACCTATACACCTTTGTGGTATCTCTATATGCCAGAAAGAGACAAAAAAGTGAATTAAAAATACCATTCACAATAGCATCAAAGGTATCAATAATTCATACTAAATGTAATGCAAACTGTGCACAACTACTTCCTTAATAACAACAATACTGAAAACCATTAAAGAAATTCTAAATAAATTGAGGGGTATGCCAAGTTTACAAAATAGGTGAAATTGTAAATGTGCTTCTTCTATATAAATTGATGCAAAAATATTGTGCAATCTGAGTCAAAATCCCACCAGTTAGCCCTATGGGAATTAAAAAGCTGCATTAAAAATTTAGGTGACAAATATCACAGCTGAAGACTTAATGCAATGGTAAGTAAGGCAGTGATGCCTTGACACAAGGCTAAAGAAATTGAACAGTATGACAGATTGAAGTGTCCAAAAGCATATCCACACTTCTAGAGTCACTTGATTTATGATCTAGGTGATAACATGGTGTAGTGCATTGGAGCAATCATTATTTTTTCAATAAATCTTACTGCATCAAAAGGATAAAAATATGGACAGAAAGTGGATTTTAAAAGCTATCATATTATACAAAAAAAAGCTCCAGGTGGATTATATATTATTTTAAGTGCAAAACCTTTAGATGGTGAATAATGTGAAAGTAAGAAAAATCAAGGTTGCCTTTTTTGCCATTCTGAATTGAATAACCAAACAGAACTCAGCCATCAGAAGTAAACCTCTATACTTTACCTCTCAGTTAAGCAAAAATGGAAAATCTGTGACCAAGGATTTATTTTTAGGAGGAGTGAAAAGACAAGTGTGAGAACAGAGTAAAAATGAAGATATGTAAGTAAATCCCAAAGCCATAGGGAAAGCCAAAAGACACTGGACCAAGAGAAACATCAGAAAAAAACTGCAGTTTTGGGACAGAAGATGGAGACAAGAAATATCAGTACACAAGATGAGTCTTTTTCAGGGCACCTTTGAAGGGTCCTAAGTGCAAACATGCGTCTTCTAAGGAGGCTGAACTAGTTTTGACAATAATTTGCTTTAGTCATGTTATTGGTTAGTTAGTGGCCTATGTGGTAAAAGCAAAAATATTTTTCAAAATATGTATTTCAGCTCTGAAAATATGTGCTCATTTCAATGCTTTGATTCAAATAACTATGACAGCAACTAAATAAGAGATGTAGACAGCTAAAGGAGAAAATATAACTCTATGTCATAAAGTCTGAAATATTTAAAAAATACTTACATCTTATTTAGTTTAATAATTTTTAAAAAGATAGGTATGCAAAAAAATTTAATTGTATCCTACCAGAAATATTTATTTTTAAGTAATAATTGCTTTAATAAATACATTACATTTCTACTGCATTCTAATGCCAATAGACAAAGCTGAAGGGGAAAAAAAAATAACTTCATAAAAATGCCTGAATGAAGAGGCAGACATGCAGAAGAGTCAGGTATATAGCATATTAGAACAACTCAGAATTTTCCCTGTCATCACATGAAGCACAGCTCTAAAATAAAAAAGATTGACGATACCAAATGTGACCAAATGCAATCCTCATATACTGCAGTTGAAAATGTAATGGTGATATTATACTTTGGAGCTGTCTTTTTGGCAGTTTCTTTTGAGTATATATTTACACAGTGATTCTGCAATTAATCTCCACACCAAAAAATAATAAATAAATAAATAAATAAATAAAACACTTGTACAAGTACACTTATAGCAGCTTTGTTCCCAAAAGCTAACAAATGCAAAACCAATAAAACAAAAAATTTTCTATCTATGAGAATGAATAAATGTGTGAATAAGTGTGTGATCATACAACAAAATACTATTCAGCAGCATAAAATAATGAGCTGCTGATGACTGAATCTTGCTACCTAAAGACACAATCTGAATGAAAATAAGCTAAACAGGCCAGGCGTGGTGGCTCACACCTGTAATCCCAGCACTTTGGGAGGCCGAGGCGAGTGGTTCACTTGAGATCAGGAGTTCCAGGCCGGACTGGCCAACATGGTGAAACCCCGTCTCTACTAAAAAAAAAAAAAAAAAAATTAGCCAGGCGTGGTGGCAGGTGCCTGTAATCCCAGCTACTCGGGAGGCTGAGGCAGGAGAATCACTTGAGGTAGAGGTTGGAGTGAGCCGAGATAGTGCCACTGCACTCCAGCCTGAGTGATATAGCGAGACTCCATCTCAAAAAAAAAAAAAAAAAAAAGCTAAACATAAAAAAGTTGGTGAAATGTATTATTGGTGATAGAAGTTAGAATGTTGTTGCCACTGGAGGGACCAGGATAAGAAGAATACCTATACAGGGACACTGGAAAATTCTGGGGAGGTGCAGAGTCTTTATTTTGTTTTACATGGTACATACATAAGTCTATTTAATCAGCAATTTTGCCAAACTGAGCACAAGATCTGTTTATTACTTAGAAAATATTCCTCAATTACAAAAAATAATAAATTATAAATTTTTCCAGTTTTAAAAGATAAGGGCACTATGTTGTACATTTTGGAAAAGAGATTGGGTCAGGAAAGAAATCACATTGATATCCGTATCCATACTTATATACTTTGGGACTCTAAGAAGATACCTAGTTTGAGATTTGTAGATTATTTATTTCAGATATGGTAAGCTTTAAAAGGATAGCTAGAGTGGAAACATGACAAAACTATTCCCTTGAAGTAAATTGACAGACAGATTTATTTTTCCTTGAGAGCTGATGATGAATATACTATATTATTTAACTTTATTTACTGTTGTTAGCTGTTTTAAAGAAATATTGCCCTATATTATTGTTCAACTGTCTGCAAAGGTTCCAAGAATGGGACATAATAATTTTCTCAACCAAATTTAGGTTCTCAATATAATTTGACCATATGCCAACATTTTATCATTCAGATACACTTTATTGGCAAATTATTTTGATATATCTTTATAATCTATTAGAAAAAAAGCAGTGTTGCTTATGAACAGAGACAAAGAACTTAGCATGCTTCATTGTCTGTGTGGGTTACTCTTGCCTGTCTCATTTACCATACATCTTTGTCAATGGGTAAATATTTGGAACTTCACCCAGCATATCACAGTTTAATGTAAATAAATAGATGAGTTATGTAGCTAATGGAAATTGAAGGAAGATTTTTAAAAATGAAATTCAGTAAATCAAGGTGAATTACTGGTTTCCCACAAATTTGTTGTGTATTAAAGATTGTAAAAAATTATTATACACACCAAACTTGAGCCAGTCTATCATTAATTCTAAACTGATGACAGCTTTGGTATAAAAAGGCTTCAGATACCTTTGCTGATGGATCTCAACACTGGCTGAATGTTAAAGAGAGCTTTTGAAATCTGTGGATATACAGGTCTTATTTCAGAAGAATAATTTCTGGATGTGGGCTAACCATATATAATTTTGAAAGTTCTGCTCAAGTGCAGTGGCTCGTTCCTGTAATCCCAGCACTTTGAGACACTGAGGTGGCCGATTGCTTGAGCTCAGGAGTTCAAGGCCAGTCTGGGAAACATTGTCAGATGTCATCTCTACAAAAAATATACAAAAATTAGCCAGGTGTGGCAGGCACACCTTTAATCCCACCTATTCAGGAGGCTGAGGTGGATCACTTCAGCCCAGGGGGCAGAGGCTGCAATGAACTGAGTGCATGACAGCCTTGGCAACAGAGGGAAAGCCTGTCTCAAAAATAAAAATAAAATAGTTTCTCAGGTGATTCTAACATGCAACTAATTTGTGGAATTCCCTGGTAACTCTGAGGGCTTTTGAAGTGTCAATTCTAATCCCCAAGCTCAGGTAAAGAAAACTAAGATAAAGTTTGGGTGCTGCACTAGTTAGGTCAAAAACAACTCTGTGGCTTGTTTCCCTCATAGGTAACTGACAGTGTCAGATTTATTAATCACTGGATTCTTCTCTCACTCTAATTTTTTTTTTTTACTAAATGTTTATCTTTCTATGATTTTTCATGAGATGTGAATAAGTTTGGCTTTCTTCCTTTGTTTTTCATAATGTCATCTGTTCTTGGAAAGAGAGTACAAGAAAGCCAAAATTATCATGAGTATTGTCCTTTCGTATAGAGGGACTACTTTCAATTTTTGTTTTAATTAACTCCAGTAGAAGTAAAATAAAATGTCTAAGTATAGTGAATGTGCTTCTAAATATTGGTATGCTTAGGCTTACTATACATTTTTATTTAAGATACTTTCATCTTAAATTTGGGAATGTTTCTCACTTTTGTTTGGAGACAGTAAACACACTGAATGAAGGGTTAAATGGCAAACTTATGTCCCTGTATCCAAAAATCATAATTTTCTTTTAAATGTTCTGCTATTGCCTCATTGATGTTGAACAGGGGTCTTGAAAGGCAGAAACCAAGCAGTATCATATATAGGAAGCTTGGTCTCAAGTTTGAGGGACAGTTATCCTAGTGACCTTGCTGGAAAACTAGTTCTTTTATAAATTTCAACTACGAAGTCCCTTTTTTGTTGTCATAGACAATATACTGTGGCGACAATTACATATACATTTTATCTATTAGTTAAGCTATTGTTAGAAATATCCAAAGATGAGTCCTAGATGTGGAAGAAGGTAGAGAAAGGATAAACTTTCAACAATGAAGAGCAATATCAGCAGTAATTGGGGTGGCCAAAATGGTAACGCTTTGTCTAGTCTGAAAGCTGACAGGAGACACAGAATCAGATCACAGAACCATACTGGTACACAAGTACTTAAAAGCCATGGTTAAAAGACAGCCAGTGAGGAGAAAAGATTGAGGATGTACAGGATTTAAATGACAACAGTTATGCCTTAATATAACTAGATTTGACCATACAGCTACAAAAACAAAAACAAGGTCCAGAAAACCAAATGCACAAAAGGAAAGGAAATGCTGACTTTGTTAGTCTTCACTGCAGAGTATATTGCCTATACTGTTCTCAAAGAAATGTCTTTTTTAATAACCTTAATTTTATAATGCTGTGTATGTTATTTTTGTTTTGGGTTCCTTTCTTTGAAGGATCAACGTTCACATCTAATGAAATGAATGCTAGGTAAAATAGAACATGGTTATGCTCTTGAGAAAAGTGTTACAGATATCGATGTAAACCAAAAACAAATTAAACATAAATTTTAAGGTGAACTTTTAGGTTAACATTTATATTGATTTACATAAAAAGTTGCGTGTGTGTGTGTGTGTGTGTGTGTGTGTGTGTGTGTGTTCAGTCTTATTTCTCTTGTATTTGTTCATGCTTTCTTAGTGCCATCTTACCCTTTGTTCTGGATCTTGAATAGATGAGGGTTATTTATCAGACTTCAAAACAGGTGTATTCTTTCAGTATTCTGCTTTTCGTTTCTAAGGAGAAAGTCTAGAATCATTATTACTTCATTTGCTTCACAATGTAACTCTTACATAGAAGAAAGCCAGCAAGAGGAACAACTCCCTCTCTATGTCTTGGGTCTACTCAGAATTACCAACATTAAACTGAAAGTAATACTGCCCAAATTGAAAAGCAACAACTATTATTTTATCAATATCGACAAAAATGATGTCATTTTTCATCCTATAACCATAGTGCTGCTGATTATAATTAAAATCATATTTATATCTACTCATGTTAGAAAAATGTATACAATCATTAATTTTTATTTGTATTATACATAGTTTCAATTTCAACATGAATTTCCATACTTGTTTAACTCGGTTACAAATCAATTTTTTCTTTTCTTAGAACTTGAAATTTATCTTCTTCATATACATGTGATGTTGATAAGAAAAATAAAATCACACTACCATTTTTTACTCTGTTGCTAGAATATATTTGAAGCATTTATTTTGTTTTATCAAAGTCCGGAAGTGGAATAATAGCTGTAAAATTATTTCAGACTCAAGCAAGGCATTGGAAAAAGCATAAGATCAGTGAATTCATTGCTGTTTGTGATTTCAACTTTCATTAACTGCCACCTATTCACAGCAAGTGCATGCATAGACTGAAAAATTTTGACAGCTAGATCCATGAAACTGCTCATAAAGGTTGCTTTAGAAAACTAGGCACAAATATTTCCAAAGTCTATAATACAGTGGATTAATACAGTAAAAGAAACATCAGTCTCTAGTTTTAAAATTTTGATAAATCAGAATTTTTGACAGGGCCACCAACGTAGCCTGACCCCATTGATGTTCAGGGACTGGTTGAGGATGTGGTGCAGGGAAGAGGGGAAGAAGGACACAGAAAGGTATGTCTTTACTGTGTACGTTGTGACCTTAATTTGACTCTCTAAATTTAAGGAATTGAGGGCATAAACGGACTGAAACGATTTTATGAATAATTCTGAGGAAATTCGTTCCCAGTGATACTGTATAACACAGAATAGTGAGAGGACCATGTGAGAGAAAATGGAAGTCTAAAATTCTACTATGAATAATAATACATTTTATATTTTTCTGGTGCTAAAAGAGAAAGAGAACACTCCATTCCTTTTCGTATTTACTTGAGATAACTTGATATTCTGAATCTTTCCTCTGTCACTTTAAGATGTATGCAAATCTTTTTAAGAGCTAAATAAGACTGTTGCTAGTTTTGCATCCCAGAAATGTCTTACTTGGGGGACTTGGAGTCGTCTCTTTAAATACAAACATCAAGGTGATAGACACCCTGTCTTCTGTCACTTTAGCTTAGCTTAGATGCCTGGCTCAGAGTCATAACCTGATACTTGTCACAAAGATACAATAAATTTTACTTTTTCTTTGGATAAAGATACTTCACACATATGTAATAGATTGTATCTGCCTAATTATATAAAAGGATGAGATGTATTTTTCTCTTTGTAATCTCTTTAGTAAATGGCCTGTGATATGCATCACAGTCTGATTTAATGCTAATTTAACAATAAAACTATTTTACTATTTGCTACATTTTTGTGGAGAGGTTTTGCTGGATTGCAGAAGATATCATATTTAACTACTTCTTCAAAACCTACACCTGTCAAATTTTCATATTAGCTCTAAAAGAACCCGGAGCCAAAGAAATAGCTGTAGTAAGAAAGAAAATGCATTGTCAAAGTTAGCATAATGTAATGACTGCAGCTGACCTGTAGAAGTATGAACTGTCTCTGGGGACGCTCCCAAATAAAAGCGAAGCTTTTCTGTTTGAATAGTTTTAATTATAGAAGCAACTAGTTTCAAATAATTATAATGTGCCTTATTTCATATTGAAACACAACCAAAGATTATAAGTATTAATCATAGATACAATAATCATATTCTGAATCAAAAGACCTTGGGTACGTCTCTTCTGTGTTTCCTCGAAATTTAAGAAATCTCTTTTACCCCATTTGTAACTTATTCTTAGAGAGTAAGATAAATAATTTGTAAAGTACAATAAATCTTTCACACTACCTGAATTAAATAGTAGTCAAGCAATCAGAAACTTTTATTACCAGAGTAAATTTTATTTTGACAGATTTACATTGTTATAGCTATTCTCTATTTCAATAACGGGCACCATTAAAATGACATTTACTTTCTATGACTTGATAATCCATACACAGAGACATTCAATAAATATGACTATGACTGTCTCTTCTTTCTTTTCTCATTTTTTTCTTTTACAAAATAAATAAGCTATTTGTGAAGGTGTAAGATGAAGACATTGATAGAAAAGACGACAGAGGTATTAAATCAGTTATGTAATGTAACAATATTTTCAGATATCAATTTATAGTATAAAGAGATAAAATAGTTGAGTAAGCAAGAATTGAGAATGGAAAACATACAGTTAAGCAAAAGCAAAAAGAGTAGAAAAAAATCTGCTGTCAATTTTAAGGTAGAAGAAGAAGCAGATTTGGTGTGAATCAAAACCAGTGAAAATATGTTTCCTTCTTGATATTTTTTGATTGTCTTGTATATATCTTTAAAACTCAATTTCTCTCTTTCAAGATAAATTGATAGACCAAACACAAACTATCATACAATAATTATAGTATTTGCAGCCATACACAATAATAATATAATCCTGTTACTTACGGATTCTGAGGTACAGATGGATATCTAATTTCCTGCAGTCCAGCAATCCCCAGAGCGAATTAAATATAACTATTTGTAGATTTAAGCAGCCCTTGGTAGACCAAGGATTTGTGGTCTTGTAATTTGTTTGTATTAAAACTGAATTTTACATACATCAAAAATGAAATAATCTGAATTATAAAAGTGGATAAATTGTATGCATTAAATAGTTTTATTTTTATGGAATAAATACATTTCCACATAAAGGGAAATGAATCAAAGACCTTAACTATGTTAATATTAATTTACTGGAAAATATAAAATTAACTGAGAAATTTAAAAATGGCTTCTCCTAAAAACAATGTAGGGTTATATGTTGACCAAAGCCGGCTGTCTGGATGGTATATGTATTAGCCCGTTCCCACATTACTGTAAGGAACTGCCCAAGACTGGGTAATTTATAAAGGAAAGAGGTTTCATTGACTCACAGTTTCACATGGCTGGGAGGCCTCAGGTAACTTAACAATCTTTGCAGAAGGGGAAGCAGGCATCTTTTTCACAAGGCAGCAGAAGAGGGAGAGTATGTGAGGGAGGAACTGTCAAACACTTACAAAACCATCAGGTATCCTGAGAATTCAGTCACTATCACAAGAACAGCATGGGGGAAACTGCCCCTATGATCCAATCACCTCCCACCAAGTCCCTCCCTCAACAGGTGGGAATTACAATTAGAGATGAGATTTGGGTGGAGACACAGAGCCAAACCATGTCAGTATAGTACCTTCTTGCTAAACAGACTAGTTACTCTATGTTCTCACTTATAGTCACCGGATAGCATTCAATATTTTTAAAGATGTCAGCCAAAAAGGTTATGAAAGATAGCTGTTTGATCTATTTTTCAAAAGGATAATTTGACATTATTAACAAGTACTATCCTGTTATCTTCCACACACAGAGAGATAAAATGAATGAGAATACCTTCTTGCTTTTAAATAGTAACACAAATATTCCATCCTTTGAATATTTATGTTAACTGCCACAAATTAGTAAAAGGAAATGTGTATTTCCCAAGTACTGAACATAGTGTGCTCTTTGTCAGTCAAATCCATACTTAGCTATTACACAGAATTACACATGAAGACATTTTCTTTAAAGGTGTCTCATTTTTTTCTAAGATTTTATTTTACATTTGATTGAAATGTACTAACTTTTTGAAATGAAAGCTTATGGGAAACCTGTATCAAAAAAGCGCTGTACATTTGCATTCACTTACTCCAGATTATAATAAGAAACGTATTTATTCTAATGCATAAGGAATATGTTGAAGTGGAGTACAAGATTCCATGCAGTTTCCAGAAGCATAACATAATGACTTCAGGATACTCAACTCATAAATATTTTGATGAATTACTTTAAAACATTTGTCATTAAAATTTCTCATACTCTTATCTAAATCTCCACACATCACCAGATAAAGTAAGACATAACCATTTTTTTGTTATTCATATATTGATTTCTTTATTTCTTTTTAAATAATTCTTACTTCTCTCACTACTTGCCAGAACAAAACATTAACTTCTTAATTAAAATTTCTGGCCTATGTATGAACTATAAAGCATCTGAAATTTGTTCTGTTAAATCATCATAAGTGTAGTTACTGTCAATAAAAGTTTAATATCAAAGAAAGAGATTACTGTTCTAGCAGATATCAGACTATGAAAGGCTGGGCATGGTGGCTCACGCCTGTAATCCCAGCACTTTTGGAGGCCGAGGTGGGCGGATCACTTGAGGTCTGGAGTTCAAGACCAGACTGGCCAAAATGGCGAAACCCCATCTCTACTAAAAATACAAAAATTAGCCAGGCGTGGTGGTGCACACCTGCAGTCCCAGCTACTAGGGAGGCTGAGGCAGGAGAATCACTTGAACGCAGGAGGCAGAGGTTGCAGTAAGCTGAGATTTCACCACCACTAATGGAGTGTCGGAAATAGAAAAGTTTACTGTGAATCACAGGTGTTACAGAAGGTTTTAGAGTAAAAGTTGATCTTTATCTTATTTGAGTATGCAAAGAATTTATGACTAAGACCTCAAAAGCAAATGCAGCAAAAACAAATCTAGACAAATGGGACTGGATTAAACTTAAAAGCTTTTGCACAGCAAAATCAATCATCAAGAGTCAACAGACAATCTACAGAAAAGGAGAAGACATTTGCAAGTTATGCATCTGAAAAAGAGCTAATATCCAGGATCTACAATAAATTCAAACAACTAAATAAGAAAAAAAAAAAACCCTATTAAAAAGTGGGCAAAAAACATGAATAGACAATTCTCAAAAGAAGACATACAAATAGCCAAGAAGCCAACAAACATGAAAAAATATTCAAAATCATTAGTCATCAGAAAAATGTAAATTAAAACCACAATGAGCTACCATCTCACACCACTCAGAAAGACTTATTAAAAGCCAAAAAACAACACATGTTGGCAAGGATAGAAAGAAAAGGTAATGTTTATATACTATTGGTAGGAATGTAAATTAGTACAACCTCTACGGAAAACAGTACGTACATTTCTCAAAGAACGAAAAAAACAGAACTACCATTCGGCCTTGTAAATCGGCTACTAGATATCTACCCAAAGGAAAATAAATCATCACGTCAAAACTATGACTGCACTAGCATGTTTATGGCAGCACTATTCATGATAGCTAAGTCATGAAATCAATCTAAGTGTCTATTAGCAGATTATTGGATAAAGAAAATGTGGTACATACACATTATGGAATACTATATAACCTTAAAAAGTTGTACTATATTAGCAACATTTTGGTGTCTTTTGTAGCAACCTGGATGGATCTGGAGGCCATTAACCTGAGTGAAATAACTCAGAAACATAAAACCAAATACTTCATATTTTCATTTATCAGTGTGAGCTAAATAATGGATATAGATTGACATAAATAAAATAATAGACACTGGGGACTCCAAAAGGGGAGAAGGCAGGAGGCCAGGTGAGGCTTGAAAAATTACCCACTGGATACAGTGTTCACTATTTGGGTGATGGGTGTACTAGAAACTCCAGCATCACCATTACTTGATATACTAATGTAACAACCCTTCACATACACCCCCTGAATCCATAATTTTCTTAAAAAATTGCAGAAGTAAAAAGAAGAAAGGAAAGTACAATAGGTAGGATTAATGTCTTCAGAGCAATACAAGTTTTATTTTAAGAAGATACTAAGAAACTGGTTCTCTAAGAGCAAGGAATTTACTAGGAAATTTGGCAGAATGAGACTAGATTTTGTATTACCTCAAAAACATTCAAATTAGTTTAAATCTGAAGTGGGAAATAGGATCTCAGTTCTTTTTTTTTAATTTTTTTTAATTATACTTTAAGTTTTAGGGTACATGTGCACAACATGCATGTTTGTTACATATGTATACATGTGTCATGTTGGTGTGCTGCACCCAGTAACTCCTCATTTAACATTAGGTATATCTCCAAATGCTATCACCCCCTCCCCCCACCCCACAACAGGCCCCGGTGTGTGATGTTCCCCTTCCTGTGTCCATGTGTTCTCATTGTTCAATTCCCACCTATGAGTGAGAACATGTGGTGTTTGGTTTGTTGTCCTTGCGATAGTTTGCTGAGAATGATGGTTTCCAGCTTCATCCATGTCCCTACAAATGACATGAACTCGTCCTTTTTTATGGCTGCATAGTATTCCATGGTGTATATGTGCCACATTTTCTTGATCCAGTCTATCATTGTTGGACATTTGGGTTGGTTCCAAGTCTTTGCGGTTGTGAATGGTGCTGCAATAAACATATGTGTGCATGTGTCTTTATAGCAGCATGATTTATAATCCTTTGTGTATACACCCAGTAGTGGGATGGCTGGGTCAAATGGTATTTCTAGTTCTAGATCCCTGAGGAATCGCCACACCAACTTCCACAATGGTTGAACTAGTTTACAGTCCCACCAACAATGTAAAAGTGTTCCTATTTCTCCACATCCTCTCCAGCACCTGTTGTTTCCTGACTTTTTAATGATCGCCATTCTAACTGGTGTGAGATGGTATCTCATTGTGGTTTTGATTAATGAGCATTTTTTCATGTGTTTTTTGGCTGCATAAATGTCTTCTTTTGAGAAGTGTCTGTTCATATCCTTCGCCCACTTTTTGATGGGGTTGTTTGATTTTTCTTGTAAATTTGTTTAAAAAGAGCCCGCATTGCCAAGTCAATCCTAAGCCAAAAGAACAAAGCTGGAGGCATCACGCTACCTGACTTCAAACTATACTACAAGGCTGCAGTAACCAAAACAGCATGGTACTGGTACCAAAACAGAAATATAGACCAATGGAGCAGAACAGAGCCCTCAGAAATAATGCCTCATATCTACAACTATCTGATCTTTGACAAACCTCACAAAAACAAGCAATGGGGAAAGGATTCCCTATTTAATAAATGGTGCTGGGAAAACTGGCTAGCCATATGTAGAAAGCTGAAACTGGATCCCTTCCTTACACCTTATACAAAAATCAATTCAAGATGGATTAAAGACTTAAACGTTAGACCTAAAACCATAAAAGCCTAGAAGAAAACCTAGGCAATACCATTCAGGACATAGGCATGGGCAAGGACTTCATGTCCAAAACACCAAAAGCAATGGCAACAAAAGCCAAAATTGACAAATGGGATCTAGTTAAACTAAAGAGCTTCTGCACAGCAAAAGAAACCACCATCAGAGTGAACAGGCAACCTACAGAATGGGAGAAAATTTTTGCAACCTACTCATCTGACAGAGGACTAATATCCAGAATCTACAAAAATCTCATTTCTCAATTATGTTTTGTTTTGGTTTGTTTTGGTTTGGGTTTGCTTTATTTAAACCTCTAGTAATTTTTTTTATGAGAGAGGGGTTTAATGATCAAATAATCAGTTTTTGAAATGGCGACTACTATATTCAAAAATTCAACCGATAATAATTTTGTATTTAAATATACAAAAAACAAGTATGTTTAAACGAATGTACCTGTGTTTATTCTAGACAATTATTAAGCTAAAGGTTTCACATGCATTAACTATTTCATTTATAGCCAGAGTTATATGAAATAGGTAAATAATTATTATATCTATTTTATAAATGTTGAGACCAAAATATGGATCAAAAAATTTCCTCTAACTCATAAATATAGGAAATAATAGATACGAGATTGATAGTCACATCATTCTCTTATTCAGAATATGTTACTTATTTCTAATTAGTATTATTCTTTTGTGGAGATTTGTATCTCCATATTTATTGAGCATGAACTTTTTAGTAGGCATTGGGTAAAATGACAAATTATTGAGTGTTTTCCCTCTGAGTTTGCTCATGTGACAAATATTCTTTCTACTCTCACTTTTTGAAGAAATATTTTACTGTAGTAAAACTATGTAAAGAGTCAGTATGTCAAGAGGAAGAAATAAATTATTGACAGGGAATAGATAAAATGGTTATTATTCAAAAATGCTATAATTAAGAATAAAGAAATTCAAATTAAGCTAAAATATATTATAATTAATAAAGATGGAGAAATGGGTGAATCAAACAAAATTGAAAATTTAGAAGTAAATCATATATATAAAATCACCTGATTTATGATAAAAGTGCCATTAATATCTGGGAAGTAAGGATAGTCTTTCAAAAATTATTTTGTGTCATTTTGATATTCATATGAAAAAAGAGTATGGGAACACATAGAACTATTTTCAAGTCAATTGTAGATGGATTGCAAATCTAAACATGAATGTTAAGAGAATAAATATAGGAGAAATATTTAAGAATATTTTTGTTACCTTGAAATGAGCAAAACCCTTGCTATGAAGGAAAAAAAAAAAGTTATCATAGTCTACATTAAGATTTAGAAGATCTGTTCATCAAAAGACTATTCAGACAATGAAAAAACAAACAACAGAGTGAAAGAAGGTATTGGCAATATGTGTATTTGGTACATAGAATACAACAGATTGGTATCCACAATAAAGAGAAAATTCTTACAAATCAATTAAAAAGAATAAAGAAATCAATAGAAAAATAGACAAAATAACTTCTAAAAAATTCACCAGATGATAACCAATGAAAATTAACATAGTATAACATAGTGAAACAATGTTTAACTTCATTCATCATTAGACAAATGTAAAATAAAACCATAATAAGAACTACTAGACACTAGACACCTACCAGAATGGCTAAGTGAAAAAGACAGGCAATACCCATTATGGAGCAGCTCAAACCCTAGTACGTTGCTACTGAGATTGTAAATCATACAAACATTTTGAAAAACTGCTTGATGGTATCTGCTAAATGTAAATATGTTGGCCTATGAAACACCTATTCATATGCACGTGAATATGTTCATCTTTACCAAACTGTATATACAGTAATCACATATTAATCATCTTTCCAAGGAAATGTAAGCTAGAAATAAGCTAAATGTCATTACAGTATTAATAGAATAGATAAACGAATGGTGATATATCCACATAACTCAATATTCTTCAACAATAAGCATTTACAACTACAAATACAACTGGCACATATATCAACAAATACAATAAGCAAAACACAAAAAAAGTATTTATGGCGTAATTCTCTATTTTTAAACTTTCATTTTAGGTTCAGGGGTACATGTGCAGGTTTACTATTCTTTTTATATAATGTTTAACAGTTAGCCAAATTAATAAATGGTGTTAGAATTTAGGAAGTCATTGTCCTTGGAACAGCAAGCCAGGCAGTGACTGAAATGTGGCAGGAGAGGGCTTCTCATGTTGTGGTATGCGTAATTTCTTAATCTGAATCTTGGTTATGTGGGTATGTTAACTTTGTGAATATTCAACAAGCTATCCAATTTTTTATTACTTAAGTTATGTCTGTTTATATGTCTTATAACTTGTATCTTAAGTTATATCTGTTTATATGTCAATATAAATGTTTACATTTAAAAATGCAAGATTCTGCCAAGTTCTTCAGGACAGACATGGCCTCGTTGCATAGTTTACCCATTAAGTTTTATCCTTATTTCACTTTGGCCTGAGGATTTCTTTCATATTGCCCAATTTTTGCTCCTATGAGAAGGAGTCTTTTATATATATATATATATATATGTATGTATATATATATGTATGTATATATATATGTATGTATATATGTATATGTATATTTATATATATTATGTATTTGTATATTTATATATTATGTATTTGTATATTTATATATTATGTATTTGTATATTTATATATTATGTATATATTTATATATAATAATGAACTATAGGTACTTGTAAATGTGTGTACATATATATATATATATATTCATTATTCATTACTGTGAGTACTAAGCCATAATATTATTTCATTTATTATTGCTAGGGACTACATCAGAATTTATTAATCCATTTATTGCTTGATAGACATATAGGTTCTTTACAAGCTGGATATTATGAGTAAAGCTGCAATAAATATTCGTGAACAGTCTGTATGGATATATATTTCATTTATCAGGCAAATACCTGGTTGTAAAATTGCAGTACAGACATGATGGGAGATGTTTACCATCCAGTTTTCTGGATGGCAAGAGAAAGAGAAAACTTTGATTTGTCGGGGTTGCTGGTTGTCATAGTGTAAATATTTTAACCGTGACTGATATCAATCTACAAACATTACATCCCTGAAGACAGAGTTGAGAAGATGTGTATAAAAAGCTCTCATAAGGCCAGCTTGAGTGAGCTCTGGAACTCACATCATCAAACTGCTGATTTAAAGGGTAAAAAGGGTAAAGTCTCTGTCTTTAAGAAACTTCAAAACTGCTAAAATGGTTGTCCATTTTCACATGTTCACAAGAAGTACATGAGAATTCTACTAATAGTTAGTGGGGTCAGACTTTAAAAATTTTAGCCATTATAGCATGTAGCGTTTTCTCATATTTGCCTGATGACTAATGATGGTGAGCACCTTTTAATTAGCCTATTAATCATTTATATATCATCTTTAGTTAATTGTATTTTAGTTAATTGTATATCATATTTTTGCTTATTTTAAAGTTTAGATTGTTTGTATTTTATATTAAGTTACAAGAATTCTTTTTAAACCCTTATTTTCAGCATGAAACCAACTCCAATTAATACGTAGCCTTAAGCAGAGAATCTCAGCTGATCCCAGTCTTGATTGACTGACTTGATAGAATTCTGCACACATGTGAATGAAATATATATCTTGTTTTATCATTGCAATACTTGAAGTTCTTTATTTCACCAATTATTTTTGCAGTAATAAATTATTAATACAGGATTTGGCACTTAGAAATGAGATACTTAAATAATGAAAAAAAATACCGTATTAAGTTTGCAATTAGATGGGCGTTAACAAGGAAACTGTTACAAGAGATTGAAAAATTAATTACTCATATTACATAGCGGTGAAGCAATTGGTATAAATATTACTCGTGACAATTCAGAAGGAATAAAAATGCATTTAATAAACTTGTGCTAATGGACAAGTAAGTTTTGAAGCAAAATATCAGTGGGGGTTGACTTTTATCAAATTGTGTAAGGTGTTAAAAGAAAGTGATGAGCTCTCAGAAGTGACCAGTTTGCAAATATAATTGTAAAATAGAATGCTAAATAATTCCCCAAATTTCAGTGTTAAAAAGTGAATATGCTTCTCACTAAAACAAACTTGCCTGAAAACACAGCTTTAAGACAAAGAGAACCCTAGAATATTGCCATTAAGAAAAAGCCCCATGACAAAAAGAGAAGTTAAGTGAGTGCTGTAACCTCATTGTTTAGAGCTCTGAACGAATTATTTTGCTACTAAGTTATTTAAGATCTTCAGAGAGATTCCAAAGAGGGAACTGAGAGTCTATGTGCCTTACAGTCATCCCTCAGTATCCATGGGAGATTGGTTCCAGGACCAGGATATAAAAATCCATGGATGCTCGAATCCTTTATATAAAATGTGCTACTACTTGTATATAAAAATGAGGCTATAAAATAAACTAAAAGCATGGAAGTAAGAACAAAGAATACAATTTCTCCTTTATTTGCAGATTATTGGAATAAGTCATTAAAAATCCCAAAGAATGTAGAAACAGTGCTGGAAAAAATAATTATATTAATGGAAAAAATTAATCTTAAAATCCCAGACATTACAAAAAGCAACTTGAATTATGAACTTATGTAAGAGCTGAAATGATAAACTTGCTAGAAGAAGACATAAGAGGAAATTCTTGTAAACTTGGAATATGCAAAGTTTTTAAGGGAAGAAAGATCACATCTATTTAGGTGGATAAATTGAACTTTAACCAAATTACCATTTTTGCTCTTCAGAAGACCAATAGTAAATTGTAGAAACAACAACATATCTTTATAAAATATTCACAATGCGTGTATCATGCAAGGGACTTATACCTACAATAAAAAAAATTCAAACTCAAAAATCACAAGACAAAAATTTGGGAAATAGTTAAACAAACATTTTACAAAAGTTACACAAAATATAATAAGCATATAAAAATAATAATCAGAAAAAAATGCAAATTAGAACTTTATCTAGAAACCACTACAGAAACTTTAGAATGACTAAAATTTAAACATCTGACCTATATGTAGAGTATCTGGAATTCTTGTTATTTCTTAGTGAGAATGCACAATGGAAAATCGGTTGTGAAAAGATTAGACAATTTCTTGTAAAGTTAAATAAACATCCAACCCTAGGCATTTATAAAATGAGATGAAATTATAACTCCATGGGAATATTTGTTCAGAAATATTCATAAAAGTTATATTTATAATTGCTAAAATTAGAAACAAACATGGAAATAAATTAATCAACATATGAAAGAACTTAATGCATCTCAAAAATATGCTTGGTAAAAGAAAGCAGACACTAAATATGCTATGTGATTTGACTTTTATTAAATGATATAAAAGAAAAACTTAATTTATATTGAAATAAAGCAGAAAAGTGTTTATGTGGGTCCTGAGGCTTATGATATTTGGTGGCAAAGAGGAAAATGAAAGATTTGTGGTACTAGAAATGTTCTGTATTGATTTAAGTGGTAGTTATACAAGTGTATGCATTTTGCAAACTCATCATCATGTGCACTTAATATATTAACTATAAATTACATCATAATAAAGTTATTTTTAATTTCTTTTTAAAATATAAAATAAGAAAGAATTTGTAAGCTGGCAGAAAAAATAGAAAAGTCATAGTATGAAAGCCATAGTATAACAAATTTGACCTATGAGAATTGTTTTAATCTCTTAAGAGTATTAAACCCATTTCAAAAATATTTCCTCAGAAAAAAATCTCAAACCCTGATGGCTTTATCCATAAAGTCTTCCAAATGTTAAACATTGAATTTGAATAAAATGAAACTTTCCCAAATACTGTTATGAATCCATTAGAATCTTAAATCTGAAAATTATGTAAGAAAACAAATACTTAAAAATATAGATACAAATATCCTGTAGAAAATATTGTCAAATTAATCCCAGTGATAAATAACAGTTATATTATGGTAAAATTAATTTGGATTTATTCTAAAAAGTCAAGAGTTGTTACACAATAAGAAATTTTTTAAAAACTCAAAAGATAATGCAAGACTTAAAAATTTGATAATCTAATTAAAATATACTTGATTTTAGTTTCAAATAATATTTATGATAAAAACTGTACAGCCTAGTAATATAAGAAAATTCCTTTAATTTACCAAAGACTAACAACAGAACACTTGAAGCTACTTTATACTTAATATTAAAATAATGAACAATAAGATTAAAAATGAGACAAAAATACTTTTCTTTTACAGTATCCTGAAAACACTAGTTTGTGAACATAAGGGAAATAAAGTCACACCTGTAATCCCAGCACTTTGGGAGGCAGAGGTGGGTGGATCACCTGAGGTCAGGAGTTCGAGACCAGCCTGACCAACATGGTGAAATCCTGTCTCTACTAAAAATACAAAATTAGCCAGGCGTGGTGGCACATGCCTGTAATCCCAGCTACTTGGGAGGCTGAGGCAGGAGAATCACTTGAACTCAGAAGGCAGAGGTTGCAGTGAGCTGAGATTGCACCATTGCACTCCAGCCTGGACAACAAGAACAAAACTCCATCTCAGAAAACAAAACAAAACAAAACAAAAACAAAAGCAAAAAAAAAAAAAAAGGAAAAAAACTCCAATTTTTTTAGAATGATTTTCAACATACTAAATACAGAAGTATTTATACAATATTAAAATTAATCCATACTTTAACAAGGTCAGAAAATTCTGAAGTTATTTCCATGTTTGTATAAGAAAAGGTAAAATTAAAATACTATATACAATTATATTTAAAACATTGCATTCCTCTAAATTTTTCAAAAATGTGTAAGATATTTACACTAAAAAAATCACAAAATATTATTGAGAAAAATTAGAGACCTAAATAAATGGGAGAATAAACCATGTTTATAAATTAGACGATTTAGTAAAATAATGGTAATAACTCTCTCATAATTGTTCTTCAGCTCCAATGCAATTTCAATGTAGATCTCAGCAGGTTTTTTCACAGATATTGTAAAATTATTTTTAAATGAATGTGCATTGTAAAAGGCAAAAGTGGGCAGGACAGACTTGAGGAAGGACATCAGAGTTGGAGTACTTACACTAACAAATATCAAAACTTACCATTAAAACAAAAAAGCTGTACTATGGCATAAAGGATGGCATATTGTAGAACCAGTGGTTTCATTCATCCAAGAAGTCAACAAATACATGGTAAAATGGTAAAAATCACTTGTCATCAGAGAAATGTAAAACCATCATAAGGTACTATCTCACACCAGTGAGAATGATTATTTTTAAAAAGTTGGCCAGGCGTGGTGGCTCACCCCTGTAATCCCAGCATTTTGGGAGGCCAAGGCGGGCGGATTACCTGAGGTCAGGAGTTCAAGACCAGCCTGGCTAACATGGTGAAATCCCGTTAGTATTAAAAGTACAGAAATTAGGGCCAGGCACAGTGGCTCATGCCTGTAATTCCAGCACTTTGGGAGGCTGAGGTGGGGAGATCACTGAGGTCAGGAGTTCGAGACCAGCCTGACCAACATGGTGAAACCCTGTCTCTACTAAAAATATAAAAATTAGCCGGGTGTGGTGGCGAGCACCTGTATTCCCAGGTAGTTTTGAGGCTGAGGCAGGAGAATCACTTGAATTTGGGAGGCGGAGGCTGCAGTGAGCCGAGATCACGCCATTGCACTCCAGCCTGGGTGACAGAGCAAGACTCCATTTAAAAAAAAAAAAAAAAAAATTAGCCGGACATGGTAGCCCGTGTCTATAATACCGGCTATCTGGGAGGCTGAGGGGGAGAATCGATTGAACCTGGGAGGTGGAGGTTGCAGTGAGCCTTGATCGCGCCACTGCACTCCAGCTTGGACAACAGAGCAAGACTCTGTCTCAAAAAACAAAACAAACAAACAAACAAAATGTCAAAAACAGCAGATGTTAGGAAGGATACAGAGAAAAGGTACCATTTATACACGTTTGGTGGAAATGTAAATTATGACAACTTTTATGGAAAACAGGATGCAGATTTCTCAAAGAACTGAAAATAGAACTACCATTCAACCTGGTAATTCCACTCGTAGGTATTTCCAAAGAAAAAGAAATCAGTATAATAAAAAGACACCTGGACTCATATGTTTATTGCAGCACTATTCACATCAGCAAAGTCAAAGAAACAACCATGTTCTATCGACAGATGATTGGATTAAGAAAATGTGGTATGCAGACACTATGGAATACTATGCAATTATAGAAAAGAATGCGATCGTCTTTGCAGCAACATAGATGAAGCTGGATGTTGTTATCTCAAGTGAAATAAGTCAGAAGCAGAAAACCAAATACCTCATATTCTCACTTATGTCAGAGCTAAACAGTGAGTCCACATGGACATCAACATGGAAGTAAAAGACACTCGGGACTCAAAAGGGAAGAGGATTGGAAAGGGTGAGGGTTGAAAAAGTACCTTTTGGGTACAATGTTTACTATTCAAATGATGGGTACACTAGAAGCCCAAACCCTACCACTACACAGTATATCCATGTAACAAACTGGCCGTCCCTCCGAAAATGAACAAATAAAAATATATTAAAAAATGAAAAAAGGAAAATACAAAATGGCATATTTGAAAACAAATATAAAGACCTGCCAAAAAATGCTTGCTTCTCAGATACCTAGAGCTGCAGTTTAACTGAAACATCGCCCTATGATGGATTCATTTATGGGATATGTAGTTTTATTCAATCTTATTGTAGAAAGATATATTCAACTAATATTCACCATGTGTATTCAAATTAGTTGGAGGATTCTATCATTTTACAATCTAATAAACCTAAGCAATCCAGTAGTTAATAATGAAACATCTTTTAGAGAGGAATTGGGCAAATAAGGCATAAGATTACACAGAAGTAAATGCTTTATTTCAATGTCTTGCCTTGAAAAAGTATATTGCCAAACTCATATGTATTATGTGAATAAAAATATTCGCATAATTTTTATCATATTGTAAATATATATCCAAATCCCCATTAATAATTTACAAAATCATTTTCAATTAATATTCTGTAAGCTCCTACATAATGCCATTATTGAAGGATTTTAATTGCCTGGGTTGTCAGAAGGTAGAGAGGTTATATATACTTCTTCAAAAAAGCACAGATATGTATGAGGACTCTCAAAGTTCTCTGTCAACTCTATGAATCTGTAATGTGATGCTTTATTTTGGAAAATATTGGTGACAAATTATTCCCAACAAACCACTTTGCATAAATACAAGTGTTGACTCTTAAGTAGCAAAACCAATTACATTTGTCACTTGTATACTATTCCAAATGTCATTTCTTATTTCATAAAAGTATCCTAGCATTCTAACTATGTAACTACATAGTTGCTACTGAATTAATAATTAAATTTATTTTTAAAGTATCAGATATTTAATTTTCAAAAATATTTATGCATATATATATCTACATTAGTGTGTGTGCATGTGCGTATGTCAGAAGTAAGATAATCTGTAAGTCATAATTGAGTGATAGAGGATAGACTATCTACCAATTATTTCTCATGTTTTTTGTCTGAAATATTGTCTATTAACAACCAAATAGATAAATGGACATAAGTACAGAAAAAGAATTTAAAATAGTGGTTTGGTTAACTCTTGCTGTGTAATTAACCACTACTATGCTCAATGGCTTTAAAACAACCATTTCATTTACTAGCTCATTATTATAGAAATGGGTCAGGGTTCTATGGAGTTACCTTGTCACTGCTTCACTTTGCCTTATCAAGGGTGGCTCAACTGAAGCTGTAGGATCCACTTTTGAAGTGAGTTCACTCATACGGTTGACAAGTTGGTTCTGGCTGATGAGTGGGATCTAACCTTAGGCTTGTTCTGAGCTTCTTTTGCACAAGGACTATATATGTGGGTAATTTGAGATTCTCACTGCCTAATTGTCTCTGGATAACTAAACTTATATTAAGTGGTTGCCCATAGAAAGCAAAAACAAGCTGCTGGACTAACTAATTCTAAGTAAGTCTTTCTTAAGACTTACTTTAGAAACTTGTACAGTATTGTTTGTGCTATTTGCTATTGGTTAAAGAAGTCACTTATCCAGGGGATGGTTTAAACTATTGTGTGAAGACCAGGAAGCATGTTTCCTTAGGGGCCAACAAAACAAGTTTATTTCAGGCTAAGATACAGCCCCTAATGATTCATGTTTTTCTTACCTTCTTTCCAATATCCTCAAAGTACCATTTCGTTATGGCATCAGCTCCAGCTTGAGGCCTGTGATATTATCTAAATCAAGTACAGGTATCAGAGAAAGTTCCTCAATCACAGATTCTTTTGACTTAATGGCCAGTGAACTTAGGAGAAAATTAATCTGCCTTCCAGAAATACAAAATAAAATGTTGAGCCAGTGACAACGACAAAAATATGTAGTTCCATTCAAAATGGCAGACAACAGGGCACCTGTAGCAGTTGGTTCATAAGGATTCTGAAAAGCAGTCACCAGCTTTTTTTTTTTTTCAGGCACAGATCTATCGCCAGAGAATTGTTCTTCAAGATGACCAGCTTGACCTCTGAGTAATCCTTCATTTTCAGAAAGAAATGACCCATGTTTCCAGATGAATAGTAGCTTTCTTAACCTGTTTTTTAACTACGAAAGTACTGAAGAAAAATATAGGTGACAGTGGGAGGAAATGGGCGTAAATATTCATTCCATCAATTTCATGAATACATCAATATGTATTCATTCCATCAATTTCGAGAGTTGAATTTTCAAATAAAATATTATGAAGAAAAATATAAACAGCAGGATAAAATAAATGTGGAAATTGCTAAAAGAAGATATAAAGATAAGTTATATTTAGCAAAAATAAATTCATTTTATAAATCAAATTATAAACCTAAAATAATGTTCTTGTAAGCAGAGACTCTTATTATTGCACTTCATCAAGTGCTGAAGATGTCCCAGTGATTTGAGTTGAATAGAATTAAGAGGAAATTAGTCAAGGTAAAATAAATTCTAACAGAAAACAAAATAGTTCTCTTTATTTTGTCTCTAAATGAAATGTGATAAGAATTTTTTGGTTTTGCTTTTATTTTTCTCATCAATGATACCAAAATGAAGTGCTGATATATTCCCTAGCTACTAGAAAAATTTGAAGTGTTGATGTGCTTGCTTTTGACTGCTTCTAAAACACAATGAAAATGAAAATCTGCCTTTACAAACCTGATTTTTAAATTATTCAATAGACCTTTAAAATAGTATAATTTGCAGTTTTTTTTAACTTGTATTTGATGTTCAGGGATACATGTGCAGGTTTGTTTCATAGGTAAATTTGTGTCAGAGGAGTTTGTTGTACAGATTATTAATATTTCATCACCCAGGTATTAAGCCTATTACCTATTGGTTATTTTTTTCTGATCCTCTCTTTCCTCCAACCCTCTACTCTCTGATAGGCCCCAGTGTGTGTTGTTCCCCTCTATGTGTCCATGTGTTCTCATCATTCATCTCCCACTTATAAGTAAGGATATGCAGTATTTGGTTTTCTGTCCCTGTGTTAGTTTGCTAAGAATAATGGCCTTCAGTTCCATCCATGCCCTGCAAAGGACGTGATAGCATTCTTTTTTATAATTGAATAGTATTCCACAGAGTGTATGTTCCACATTTTATTTATCCAGTCTATCATTGATTGGAATTCGGGTAGATTCCATGTCTTTGCTAGTGTGAATAGTGCTGCAATGAATATACGTGTGCATGTGTCTTTATAATATAATGATCTATATTCTTTTAGGTATCTACCCAGTAATAAGATAACTATGCATCTGACAGAGGTGTAATATCCACAATCTAAAAGGAACTTAAACAAATTTACAGAAAAAAATCAACCGCATTAAAAAGTGAGAAAAGACATAAACAGACACTTCTCAAAAGAAGATATACATGTGGCCAAAAATCATGAAAGAAAGCTCAACATGACTGATCATTAGAGAAATGCAAATCAAAACCAAAATGAGATACAATCTAACACCAGTCAGAATGGCTATTATTAAAAACAAAAAATAACAGATTCTGGTGAGGTTGTGAAGAAAAAGGGACTCATACACTGTTGGTGGGAGTGTAAATTACTTCAACCATTATGGAAGACAGTGTGGTGATTCCTCAAAGACCTAAAGAGAGAATTTGCAATTTTTAAAATAAATTTGCTCGCATAAATATTTTGAATACTGATATTTATATGCGTATATTAGCTAGATATAGCCCTCCCAATAATCAGCTTTTTACATTCAAAAGAAAGATCACATCCAGGCCAATCTTTACTAGCCATAATACTATTAAGATAAATAGGTAACCAGAATTTCCTGTTCATTGATTTTGGGAAGCCTATGTATTAATTCAGGAAAATGAATTTCAACAGCTTTAGTTCATTTTTCTCTACTAATGATATATAATGTATTTCAATTTTCACATTTCAATTAAAGCCAATGATAATAATTAAATTCATATTTTAATTAATCAATAATAAATAATTACTATTTCTAATATAATTACATTCTGTACTCTGTATAATTACATTTATTCTTTGCTGTGTATAGTTTTTCCCTCAGTCTAGTGAAAATGCCCACTTTATAAAAACAAAGGGGAATTATTTATTTAGAGTCTCAATATTATTATTATTATTATTTGTTTTTTTTCAATGTACTACCTGACTTCAAACTATACTACAAGGCTACAGTAACCAAAACAGCATGGTACTGGTACCAAAACAGAGATATAGATCAATGGAACAGAACAGAGCCCTCAGAAATAACGCCGCATATCTACAACTATCTGATCTTTGACAAACCTGAGAAAAACAAGCAATGGGGAAAGGATTCCCTATTTAATAAATGGTGCTGGGAAAACTGGCTAGCCATATGTAGAAAGCTGAAACTGGATCCCTTCCTTACACCTTATACAAAAATCAATTCAAGATGGATTAAAGACTTAAACGTTAGACCTAAAACCATAAAAACCCTAGAAGAAAACCTAGGCAATACCATTCAGGACATAGGCATGGGCAAGGACTTCATGTCTAAAACACCAAAAGCAATGGCAACAAAAGCCAAAATTGACAAATGGGATCTAATTAAACCAAAGAGCTTCTGCACAGCAAAAGAAACTACCATCAGAGTGAACAGGCAACCTATACAATGGGAGAAAATTTTCACAACCTACTCATCTGACAAAGGACTAATATCCAGAATCTACAATGAACTCAAACCCATTTACAAGAAAAAAACAAACAACCCCATCAAAAAGTGGGTGAAGGACATGAACAGACACTTCTCAAAAGACGACATTTATGCAGCCAAAAAACACATGAAAAAATGCTCATCATCACTGGCCATCAGAGAAATGCAAATCAAAACCACAATGAGATACCATCTCACACCAGTTAGAATGGCAATCATTCAAAAGTCAGGAAACAACAGGTGCTGGAGAGGATGTGGAGAAATAGGAACACTTTTACACTGTTGGTGGGACTGTAAACTAGTTCAACCATTGTGGAAGTCAGTGTGGCGATTCCTCAGGGATCTAGAACTGGAAATACCATTTGACCCAGCCATCCCATTACTGGGTATATACCCAAAGGAGTCTCAATATTATTATCTCTAAAAACTCTACCTAACCGAATTGAATTCAGTAATATCTACATCATCATCTCCAACTTGAAGGAATATATTTCCTTACCAAGTGAAGAAAAAAGACATCCTTAGTAGTACACTGTTCTTAAAGATAAATACAAGTTGGAGAAGACTTGGTGTTGTTTTTTTTTTTCCCATAGCCAGTAAGATGAAAAAACTGCTCACAAATGTCTCTTAAGATTTCTCCTTTACTAGTTACTCCAAATATTCAGAGTTTATATGAAGACATTTAATTAAATATTACTCTCTAGATGCCTGTTTGTATCTCTACATGTGAATTGCTGATCAATTTCTTTTAAACCATGGTCTCTGACTCAAATATAAAAGTAGGTACGTTGGTTATGTTAGTGTGACTGTGGTTATCATTTCACAATGTACACATACATCAAACCATCATGTTGGAAATCTTATATATGGTTTAATTTGTCTGTAATACCTCAATAAAGCTGGAAAATAAAGAGTGTTGAAGTTGCTATAAGGGTTACAGGAAATGTCATCCCTTGAAAAGGCTTGCAAACTCTGGCAAGAAATATATACAATTAATGAGTTAAACTAAGAAATAAGTACAATAGAAACCAGAGCATAAAGTGCAAAATCACATTAAATATGAAACTTTAAAACATTAATATATCTGTGTAGTATGGGGGAAAATAAAATATTAAAAAATATAAAACTTTAAGTGACTTCAAATTTAATATGAAATGATTTATATATCTTAATGAAGATTAAGTTATCTGGGAATTGAAAGGATTTAGTCAGGGAAAAAAGCATAGAAAAGGCAAGCGTGCAGAGACAAATAATAGCATTTGCTTCCTGTACCATGCAGAGGAGAGTCTGTGCAATGGGCATTTGCAAAAACAAGACTCTAAGACTGGGCACATTTAGTTGTGGTACTTGGGGTCATTCCACACTGAAATTATGTCATTAAGTCCTTTTTGCTCTGCTTCTATACTCACCAAATGTGTCAGTTTCAAGTAAAAACAGTTTAATTCAACTGCTTTTTGCTAAAAAGGAAGAAGAAGGAGGAGAAGAAAACAATGTCTTAGAGAACAGAGCTGAATTTTAGTTCTCAGGAAAAGCTAGATCCAGCTGACTGTTCTCCAGTCGTCTCCATTTAGCCAGCCTCTTACTGTGTGGCTGTAAGAACATTGGCTTATATTCTGTCATACAAACAATAAATAGAATGACCAAGGTCATCTCATTTTCCCATGTTTCCATGAGAAATTTCAGGGTTTCATCTCATTTGCCTAGCTTGAATCAAATGCCCATTCTGGAAACTACAGCTAGGGTTGGAAATAGGCAAAAAGAGTAAAATGCACATCTAATACAATACACATAATCTTCATGAGATCAGTGGTCATATCTTTTTACAGCACTGTACCCCAAACATCTTAAAAAACTGCTTTTCACATTGTAGGCACTCCATAAATATTTTTGTAAGGGATAAAATTTAAAATATTACTGTCCAAGTCTAGGTAAATGATTCACTCTTGAATCTGGGAAATTGGATTGGTCACTCTTACAATAATAGAAAAAGAAATGGTGGGATGTTCTTAAGGACTCAAAATATTGTTATGAAAAATAAAAAGTGTGCAAGGTTTACTGAAATAAAACAACTAATACTCATTAAACTAAGAATAGAGATTGTCCTATGCAGAGAGAATGGCTTGATCACTCATTGGTAAGAGAACACACCCATTGCTTATATTAAAAATTGCCTTTTACTAAAAAGCAAATGTAGGCATTCCATTTTCTTCTTATACATTACATTATTATTTTTGAGATTAATTTATCTTGAATCAGTTTCTATTAACTTTATACCATTGAATATATTAATGATAAACATGTTCCATTTAATAGAGTTGAAACACTGACACTGACCTACATACAGTAAGCCAAGGACCTGCTAGAGTGATTAGGTAAGGACCAAAGTTACTAAGTGCTTTACAATTCAACATAAATAATGAAATATAAGAAATCCAAAAGCAGTTAAGTTCAAAATGAATTATCAAGAATTTTAGTGAATTTTTAAATTTCTTTGTGTTTATTAATGCTGGATATAAAACTGTCTTTGAGTCCAAATTCTCCCTTTGTTAAGTGCGCAGGAAGATTCATTCAAGACAGGAAGAGAAGCTCAGAAAAAAAAACTTTAAAATAAATATTTAGGCAAACACGTATGTATATAACTTTATGGAGAACAAAATTGCCCAGTTGGGTAGAAAAATTATGGATATTTATATTCTGTATCAGAGGCTCATGATATTTATAAAGTTTGACAGTATTGTCAGTTTTAATGTATATTCAGGGAAAATTACAGAAAATGTAGCATAGATATTGTTCCAGGTCTGCCACTAGCCCTTTGACCTTGGAATCATTTAGCCTCTCTTCCATTTTCCCTACGCTGTCAAGCGCAAGTGAATTGTTACCCATCATCTTTTACTTTCAAAATATGAAAGAATATAACTAAAATGACATTTATAAATTGTAGAAATATTTGCAACATCAGCACAAATTTTTGTTACAATAGGCAAAAAATTTTAAGTCATGTCTATCAAGGAGATGTCTGAAGTATACATTTTTATCTTTGAAATTCTAATAAAATATTTGCAGTTATGTCAGTTAGGAATTGAAATTTCTGACCCTCTACTGTCAGCTTTGACCCATTTAAATTAAAATTTACCTAGGCACAAGAATGACATATCAAAAACTTGATATCTTACAAAGAAAATATGTACTATATCTTTGATTATGTTAATTAAGTCACAAATAAATCTTATTTTTCAAATATATAATTACCAATTATTTTGGAAAAAACAAACTAAAATGAAAATCAAATGACACAATCCCAACATAGTTTTAAACTCTATTTTAAAAAACATAAGACTTTTTAAAATAACCTATAAAAGATAGATATTTTCCCAAGTGTTCTCTAATGTTTCTAGATTCATTAATATTTCTGATACTATGCTTTTCTGTTTTAGCATCAAATTACTAAAAAGTAGTCACATTATCCTACATTTATAATAGTATATTTGTATATATGTTGCAGTTTTAAAATAATTGTACAATCAGTTCTAAGCACTAAGTTTTGAGCCAAAATAATGGCTTCAAACTTTGTCTCATAAACATATATCTGTTGAGTCTGGATTAAAATCCTGAGTTGATGAGGCTGTTTATTGTAATAAATTCAGCATTAAAAACAAAGAAATTATGTCATTTGCAAAAATGTAGATGAAATCGGACATTTACCAAGTGAAATAAGTCAAACACAGAAAGACTAATACTGCATGCTCTGACTTACATGTGAAATCTAAAACAATTAAACTCATGGAAGCAATGAATAGAATAGTGTTGATATGGTCTGGCTCTGTGTCTCCATCAAAATCTCATCTTGTAGCTCCCATAATTCCCACATGTTGTGGGAGGGACCTGTTGGAAGATGATTGAATCATGGGGGTGGGTCTTTCCTGTGTTGTTCTCATGATAGTGAATGGGTCTCATGAGATCTGATGATTTTAAACACGAGAGTGTCCCTGCATAGGCTCTCTTTTTTGCCTGCCACCATCCACATAAGATGTAACATTACTCCTCCTTGCCTTCCACCATGATTGTGAGGCCTCCCCAGCCAGGTGGAATGTAAGTCCAGTTAACCTTCTTTCTTTGGTAAATTGCCCAGTCTTGGGTATGTCCTTAACAGCAGTGTGAAAATGGACTAATAGAGTAAATTGGTACCAGGAGTGGAGTACTGCTGAAAAGACACCTGAAAAATGTGGAAGCAGCTTTAGAACTGGGTTTCAGGCAGAGGTTGGAACAGTTTGGAGGGTTCAGAAGAAGACAGGAAGATGTGGGAAAGTTTGGAACTCCCTACAGACTTGTTGAATGGCTTTGACCAAAATGCTGATAATGATACGGACAATGAAATCCAGGCTTAGGTGGTCTCAGAACCTTTTGGACACTGGACCAAAGGTGACTCTTGTTATGTTCTAGCAAAAAGACTGGCAGCATTTTGCCCCTGCCCTAGAGATTTCTGGAACTTTGAACTCGAGAGAGATAATTTAGGTTATCTGGAGGAAGAAATTTTTAAGAGGCAAATCATTCAAGAGGTGAGTTGGGTGCTATTAAAGGCATTCAGTTTTAAAAGGGAAACAGAGCATAAAAGTTTGGAAAATTTGCAGCCTGATAAATTGATAAAAAAGAAAATCCCATTTTCTGAGGCGAAACTTAAGCCTGCATATATTTGCATAAGTAACAAGGAGCCAAATGCTAATCACCAAGGCAATTGGGAAAATGTCTCCAGGGTATGTCAGAGACCTTTCAGGCAGCCCATCGAAGGCCTGGCGGTTTAGGAGGAAAAATTGGTTTTGTGGGCCAGACCCAGGATCCCTCTGCTGTGTTCAGCCTAGGGACTTGGTGCCCCCCATCCTAGCTGCTCCAGCTGGGGCTGAAAGGGGCCAATGCAGAGCTTGAGCCATGGTTTCAGAGGGTACAGCCTCAAGCCTTGGCAGCTTCCACGTGGTGTTGAGCCTGTGAGTGCACACACATCAAGAATTGAGGTTTGGGAACCTCTGCCTAGATTTCAAAAGATGTATGCAAACACCTGGATGGCCAGGCAAAAGTTTGCTGCAGGGGTGGAGCTCTCATGGAGAACCTCTGCTAGGACAGTGCAGAAGGGAAATGTGGGGTAGAGCCCCTATGCAGAGTTCCCACTGGGGTACCACCTAGTGGAGCTGTGAGAAGAGATCCACTGTCCTCCAGACCCCAGAATGGTAGATCCACCAACAGCTTGCACCGTGTGCATGGAAAAGCCACAGACACTCAACATCAGCGGTGAAAACAGCTGGGAGGGAGACTATACTCTGCAAAGCCCCAGGGATGAATCTGCCCAAGACCATGGGTACTCACCTCCTGCATTAGATTTGACTGCCCTGCTAGATTTTGGCTTTGCATGGGGCCTGTAGCCCCTTTGTTTTGGCCAATTTCTCCCATTTGGAATGGCTGTATTTACCCAATGCCCATACCCCCCATTGTATCTAGGAAGTAACTAACTTGCTTTTGAATTTATAGGCTCATGGGCTGAAGGAACTTGGCTCATCTCAGAAAATACATTGGACTGTGGACTTTTGAGGTAATGCTAAAATGAGTTGAGACTTTGGGGGACTGTTGGGAAGGCATGATTGGTTTTGAAATGTGAAGATCTGAGATTTGGGAGGGGCCAGGTGCAGAATGATATGGTTTGGCCCTGTGTCCCCACCCAAATCTCATCTTTTTATTCCTATTATTCCCACATGTTATAGGGGGGACCTAGTGAAAGATGATTGAGTCATGGGGGCAGGTCTTTCCTGGGCTGTTCTCATGATAGTTAATGGGTCTCATGAGATCTGATGGTTTGTGTATTGGGGGTCTCCCTGCACAAGCTTTCTATTTTTGCCTGCTGTCATCCATGTAAGACGTGACTTGCTCCTTCTTGCCTTCTGCCATGATTGTGAGGTCTCCCCAGCCATGTGGAAATGGAAGTCCATTAAACCTCTTTCTTTGGTAAATTGCTCAGTCTTGGGTATGTCCTTATCAGCAGTGTGAAAACAGATTACTACAGGTATTTATCAGAGACTGGGCCATGGGGAGAATGAGGATACAGTCAAATGGTAGAAGCCTTACTTAGATAGGAAAAATACATTTCATTTCTTTTCCTCTTTTTGAAATCAGTTACACAGCATGAAGAATAAAGCTAATAACTGAATACCGTACATTTAAATTTCACTAAAAGAGTGAATTTCAAAAGTTCTTATCATAAAATTGTTAAATATTTGAGGTGATAAATATGTTAACTCACTTGGTTTAACCATTCAACATTGTATTCAAATATTATGACACTATTTTGTACCCCCATAAACATATGCATGTATAATTTATCAATTAAAAAATGTTTAGAATTGTATTCTTAGAATGAGTTGAAACTCCTTTGTTTCCTTACAGAATTATCTTTGCTAATTTACTTAAGACACTTCATTCTCCTTCCACATAACTCAACAGGAGACATGTGTTATTGCTACATACCTGTCATTTTTCTAAGATGCCTCCCTTAATACATGTATTTTTGTAGAAATATGTTTTCCTACAAAAATAATTGTCACCCATCAATTGGTTCTTTCACATCATAGTTCTCACAATTCCAGTTTAGATCAGATGTTCATGTTTTTATTTTGTTTTGTTTACATTAACCATTCAACACATTACTTATTTTAATTATAGTGATCCATCTTTCTGGTTGTATGTTTTTAAAAGGTGTTTATAAAATTTTCTCCTGTTACAAATTTTGAAATGCATTTCATGGTTTATTGTTTTCACAGATGGTTAAAAATTTTCCTCCTACTACCTTTTATTATGTGACTTTGCTACACTTCCATTGGGAAATGGAGTCTACTTAATTCTCCCTTGAATCCGGATTGATTTTCTGTCTGCTTGGACCCAGTTGAATGTGGGAGAAGTAAAGTCCTATCTTTTGGGCCCTGGTCTTATGATGACTTATATTTCGTCTCCTTGAGGGGTGCACTGAGAGTGTTGTTTAAGGTAACTGGCTAATCCACTGGATCTTTACAAGCTATGTGAAGAAGAACCAATCTTTACTAGTTGATAACTCAGCAACAATTTCCAGACAAGTGAGTCTCTTAGCTCATCCTCTGATAAATGCAGGCAAAACAGGAGAGGAGTCATCCAACTAACCCACAAAATCATGATAAATAATAGATTATTGTTATTTTAAGCCACTAATTTTAGAATGGTTTATTTTGCAGCTTATGATATTTAAAAGAGAAATACTGAATAAAAATATCACCATATCACACCAACCCAAAGAGACAATGACATTTGTGAGTATAATGAACTTACATAGGCATTTACATATGAACATATATTTAGGTGTTAAGGGATAAAGAATTTTAAGTAAATAAAATATTTTTAAATGTTTCATTTTATTAATACATTTTAAAGTTAATCTTTTGGTTTGACTCATAAAAAACAAAAATAAATATTAGGTAGTCAGGCCTATTATACATTATCTAAAAACTTTTATAAATTGCCTTTTTTTACTAACACATACCCTACTTAAAGAAAACTGTGCAGCTCAAGGACTTAACGTATACTATAGCTAGGTTTAATGATGCCAATTAATCTTTCATTCCCAAGAGAGCCTAAGATCAGTATAAATTTTATTTATTCTCAGTCTTTTTATGCAAATACAAATGATGTAGGTTTAATTCATTAAATATACTATAGTCAGCTCTCCTATAACTCTAGATATGCAGTGTTAAAAATTAGCAGCTGTGAAAAAATGAATAAGGAAATATTCTGGGTTTATGGAAAAAATAGAAACCCATAAAAATGACAGTACAGTTTTGTATATGTTAAGAGGTTAAGAACTGCATAAATACTTAATAAATATATCAATTTTCCTTGAAAATTACCTGAAGTTCGGTTGTATGAAATTAATAACATCAGATGTGAACGGATGTGGCTCATAACACACGTAGTGAATTGAGGTAGCTTGTACGTGTGTGTGTTTGTGTATTGCTGTGCCATTGGGTTCAGCTTGGTACAGTTTTCAGTGATTACTTTGGATTTCTCGTGAATGAAATCACACAGAAGCAAATGTAAAATCTGTTATGTTTAAATTGTTCCTATATATCAATTGCATTGCAACAAATGTTATTTTTGAAACAAACATTATTATATAACTGATTGTGCCTTAAAATACTTATTTTTGAAACACTTTATTAATTATTTTATTAAGGTTAGACAAAAACTGCATTTTGCATTTCTGCTATTTTTACAGTTGATGTTCAGAATCCATAATTCTAGAATAAAAACTGTCTAATGTGAAATCTTCCTTCAAATTAATGGAAAGTTACTAAAAAAGAACTATTCTTGTATTTTAGAATATTTCAGATCATATAATTTTAATTTCTCCTCTAAGGAATAAATCTGGGGAATTGGCAAAACAAATGAAGATGTATTTTTAATTGTTAGAATGCATAATCTATTGCCCTCTCACTCCTTGTATAGATAAGAACTTAAGATCTTTCACTAACCTGCTTTAATACATTTACCAAATAGCTTTTCTTATCCACTGTCCCAAGCATCTTAATCTTAATGGTGCTTGAAATTTAATGCATGAAAAAAAAATGCCCAGGTGACATTTTTTAGCTTTCTAATGGGTGGAGAGAAAAGATGAAAGGAGGTCTTGACCATGAACTGTGTCCATTTTATCATTGTCTACTATTTTAAAAATGATAATAGTAAATGAATTACTTTTATCAATTCATCCTAACATATAAGTAAACTGTGTTAAATAAAGGTTTTGTGGAACTCAATTTCTTCTTTTCACAATGAAGTTCTTGCCAGAATTTAAAGATATATGATGATAATATACTGTCAACATCCTTCATAATAACTGACTGGAGGGAAAACTGAACCTTTTATAATGGTTGCTTTGGAATTTGGATTTGTTCTCATATCTGGCTAAAGATAAGCAAGTAAGACATTAAACATTATTAATATTTTACATATTTTTCAATACTTATGTCATTTCAGGAGCAGGGGCAAACAGAGGCTCTGGCACTTTTATCATTTTTTTCCATTTTTATGTAATTATCTGACTTAAGCAGCTGAAACTTTGGTACTTGCTATGTACTCAAAGATTATCAATCCAATCCTCCAAAACAGGGAAATGTTAACTGTATCAAATCCAGTATAACTTACCTATATAGGTTAGATGGAATTTCAAATAAATAGCACAACTGCATACTATATTTAGAAAGAAATCCTGAGTCATTCATAATATAATAATTTAATAATGGGACGATACCATCTATTGCATATGTGGATTCTATAGGTACTGATATCTGCTTAACTAAATGGATTTTAACTCTAAGGTTAGAGGAAATTTGGGACACTGAAATATTGATTCAATATTTGAATCAAACTCTATTTTTTCCAATAATTATTATAAATAACATTTTGAAACCATGTGTTTTATTTGCACATACTTTTTAGTGCAGGGATGTGAAAAACATTCTTTTCCTATAAATTCTCATTTTCCATTGTAATGTAGACTAGTGATAAAAATAATATGTAAAAATCCTTAAACTTACCTGTATTAGTCCATTCTCATGCTGCTAACAAAGGCATACCTGAGACTGGGTAATTTATAAAGAAAATAGTTTTAATGGACTCAGTTTCACATGACTGGGGAGGCCTCACAATCATGGTGGAAGATGAAGGAAGAACAACAGGACATCTTACATGGCAGCAGGCAAGAGAGCTTGTGCAGGGGAACTCCCATTTTTAAAACCGTCAGGTCTTGTGAGACTTGTTCACTACCACAAGAACAGTATGGAGAACCTCCCTCATGATTCAATTATCTTCATCTGGCCCTATCCTTGACATGTGGGGATTATTACAATTCAAGATGAGATTTGGGTGAGGACACAGCCAAACCATATCACTACCTATCCAAAATTGTGTGTTGATCTTGTATTTTAAAACTGGTATTACTTGCTCCAGGAGATAAAAAAAGTTTACTGGACAGCAAACAATTAATTATTTTTAATTAAAATGTATTTCCTTTCAAATAAACAATAGTATATACAGAAATATACATTACAGCCTAAAAGAAAGATTCTGAGTATGTCACTGACCTATAAATATATTTAATCAGAGAGACCCTAATTTATGTCAAGTTTACTAAATTATATATTTCATAGTAGCTTACAAGATTTGCCTTTCCTCTTTTCATAAGATACAAGCATTTAATGTACTTTCAGATTCAAAATAAATTTGATGTTTATATTACAAACAAAATGTATATTCTGTAGAGAAAATGAAGAAAATAAAATAAGTTTAACAAAAAAATTTAAAAAAAACAAAAAAAGTCTCGCAATTCAACACCTACAAATATCAACTTCACTATTTTTCTTAAATTTATTATTTCAATGCATGGATAGATTTGAAAATAATCTATTAAAGATACGATATTTTACTCTTTGCTTTGTGAGCTTAATATATAATGAATAGTTTTAAACATCAATTCAGAATCATAACATTTTTATCTAAATCACACTTGTCTTGACTTTTAGTTTAGGCTGATTGTTTCTCCTCTGCCTGATTTCTATAGGTTGGAGTTTTTGTTTTTTGTGTTTTTTTTCAAAACTTTATTCTGTTTCTCATCTAACGTTCCACTTGCTCTTCAAGATCTCATCTACTCCATAGCTTAGAATACTATTCATAATCTGACCATGCCTACATTTACATATTTGGAATAGAAGTATATAATTCTCTTCAATATTTTGTATTTTATTTATATAGTCATGCCCTGCATAATGACATCACAGTCAACAATGAACTATATACACGATGGTGCTCCCATAAACTTATAAGGTTATCATATCATATTTTTACTGTACTTTTTCTATGTTTAGATATGTTTAGATACACAAATACTTACCATTGTGTCACAATTGCCTACAGAATTCAGTACAGTACTATGCTACACAGGTTTGTAGTCTAGGAACAATAGACCATATCATCTAGCCTAGGTGTGTAGTAGGCAATACTCTCTAGGTTTGAATAAGTACACTCTATGATGTTTAAACAATGATAAAATCCCCTAATGACACATTTCTCAGAATGTTTTCCCATTGTTAAGCAACAGAAGACCCTCTCTCTATGTTTATGTACATATATGCAATCTCTATTGAATGTTCTTATGTGTGATTTAAATTTAACTATCTAAAATTAAACTGAAAAATTTCAATTCTGCACCTCTTACATACAGTAAGTCACCACTCCATGCATGTTTTGAGTACCATAAATCTGGAAGTCACTAATCTTATTACTTCCATTATGCCATAAATATTCAATTTATTACCATATGATATTATACTACATTCTTACTATATCCCCAATCTTTCTGCACCCCCATTTTGAGTGACCATGCCTTCTCTGCTGGTCTAGGAGATGGTTTCCTAAGTTGTTTCTTTGCTTCCGCTGTCCCATTCCAAACTATTTTTCCTTGAAAAACCAAAGTAATGAATTTAAAAATTAAATTAGTCATTTCTAATTCAGTCTTCTTTCAGGTCATTTAATATGCTTTAGTCTTTTCACCTTTGCACATGCTGATTACTATCAGAGCTGTTCTTTCCTGGAACGCTTCCAAGACTTCAATTCTGCATTTAGATTTCAATTTACCTTTAATTTTCTCAGGGAACCCTTTGCTAATCCCACACTTTTTCTTACACTGGGAGTTTTTCATTTATTAGTATTTATTACACCAAATATAAGTGATCAACAATTAGCTCTCATTTGTTCACTTATATCTGGCCCCTAACACAGTATCTAGAACAACAATTCTTTGTTTAATTAACAGTATGAGGTCATTATTTATTGAACGCCTAGAAAGAGAGATCTAGGATGATTTCTCAGTCATTATGTGATACATAATTTTTCAGATTTTACAAATACAGTCCAATGGTTATCTGCTGTAGACTGAATAGACAAATTCATATGTTGAAGCTTTAATACTGCCTTTGTGACTACATTGGAGACAGGGCCTTTAAAAAGGTGATTAACAGGCCAGGCATGGTGGCTCATGCCTGTAATCCCAGCACTTTGGGAGGCTGAGGTGGGTAGATTACCTTAGGTCAGGAGTTCGAGACCAACCTGACCAACAAGATGAAATCTCATCTCTACTAAAAATAGAAAAATTAGCCGGGTGTGGTGGCAGGCGCCTGTAGTCCCAGCTACTCGGGAGACTGAGAAAGTCCCAGCTTGAACCCGGGAAGTGGAGGTTGCAGTGAGCCGAGATTGCACTGCTGCACTCCAGCCTGGGCGATGGTGCAAGACTCCATCTCAAAAAAAAAAAAGTGATTAACATTAAATAGCATCGTAAAGGTGGAAACTTCATCTAATATAAAGATTGTCCTTATCAGAAGAGATGAACTTGCTGTCTCTCCTCATATGCACAAATATGTATCCAATAAGATGGCAGTGACCTGTAAACAAGAATGAAAAATTTCACTGGAATTTGACCAGGCTGGGACAATGATCTTGGAACTTCCAGTCTCTAGGCTATAAGGTAATGAATTTCTGTTGTTTAGGCCACACAGTCTATGGTGTTTTGTGATAGCAGTCTGAACTAACCCAGATAGGTTTTGGTACTGAGAAATGGGTTACTGCTGTGGAAGCAGTCTTTGAACTGGATAATGGGTAGAGGCTAAAAGAGTTTTGAAATACATGCCAGAAATATGGATGTTAATGGTGATTCTGGTGAGGTCTCACATGGAAATGAAGAATAGGTTATGGAAACTAGAGAAAAGGTGATCTTTGTTATAAAGTGGCAAAGAACATGGCTGAACTGTGTTCTAGTGTTTTGTGGAAGTAGAACTAGCAAGCAATGAAGTAGGGTAATTAGCTATGGAGATTTGTAAGGAAGTGTTGAAAGAGCAACTTGGATCCTTCTGACTATTAATAGTAAAATGCAAAAGGAGAGAGATGAATTGAAGAGAACATTTTTCACAATGACAACAAAAGACAGAACATAAATATTTGGGAATGTTTCAGCCTATCTATATTGAACAAAATGAGAAAGCTTGTTCTGAGAGACAACACTAAGGTGTGCCTGAGCAATCATTTCATAAAGACATTACAGGTTCAACTCCTGGAGTAAACCATTTCAGCAGAAGCCAGGAATAGAAATGGGATTAACCACTGGCAAGTGCTGCCAGTTTGAACTAAAGAAGACAGAGAATGTGGGAAGAACAAAGAAAAACTTTCAGACTTTTTGGGTACTACCACAGTAGATCACAGAGCTATTAGGCTGGAAATGCAGACTGTTCTTCAAAGAAAGGAAAAGTAATCCCTAAAAAACTCCAACCTATAGAAATCAGCTAGAAGAGAAATAATCAGCCTAAACTAAAAGTCAAGAGGGGAGTGATTTCGATGAAAATGTTATGATTCTGAACTGAGGTTTAAAAATATTCATTATATATTAAGCTTACAAAGCAAAAATTTCAGTTTAATTTTAGATAGTTAAATTTAAATCACACATAAGAATATTCAATAGAGATGGCATATATGTACATAAACAGAGCAAGAGAGGCTCTTGTTGCTTAACAATGGGAAAACATTCTGAGAAATGTGTCATTAGGCAATTTCATCATTGTTTAAACATTGTAGAGTGTACTTATTCAAACCTAGAGACTATTGCCTACTACACACCTAGGCTAGATGATATGGTCTATTGTTCCCAGGCTACCAACCTGTACAGCATAGTATTGTACTGAATTATGTAGGCAATTGTAACACAATGGTAAGCATTTGTGTATCTAAACATATCTAAACATAGAAAAGGTACAGTAAAAATATGATATGATGACCTTATAAGCTTATGGGAGTCCCATCATGTATGCAGTTCATTGTTGACTGTAATGTCATTATGCAGGGCATGACTATATAAAATACAAAGTATAGAACAGAATTATATAATTCTATTCCAAATATGTAAATGTAGGCATGGTCAGATTATGAATAGTATTCTAAGCTATGGAATGGATGAGATCTTGACGAGCAAGTGGAACATTAGATGAGAACCAGAATACAGTTTTGAAAAAAAAATGAGTCAAGACCCATCAGTGTGCTGTATTCAGGAAACCTATCTCACGTGCAGAGACACACATAGGCTTAAAATAAAAGGATGGAGGAAGATCTACCAAGCAAATGGAAAACAAAAAAAAGGCAGGGGTTGCAATCCTAGTCTCTGATAAAACAGACTTTAAACCAACAAAGATCAAAAGAGACAAAGAAGGCCATTACATAATGGTAAAGGGTTCATTCAACAAGAAGAGCTAACCATCCTAAATATATATGCACCCAATACAGGAGCACCAAGATTCATAAAGCAAGTCCTGAGTGACCTACAAAGAGACTTAGACTCCCACACATTAATAATGGGAGACTTTAACACCCCACTGTCAACATTAGACAGATCAATGAGACAGAAAGTCAACAAGGATACCCAGGAATTGAACTCAGCTCTGCACCAAGCGGACCTAATAGACATCTACAGAACTCTCCACCCCAAATCAACAGAATATACATTTTTTTCAGCACCACACCACACCTATTCCAAAATTGACCATATCCTGGGAAGTAAAGCTCTCCTCAGCAAATGTAAAAGAACAGAAATTATAACAAACTGTCTCTCAGACCACAGTGCAATCAAACTAGAACTCAGGATTAAGAATCTCACTCAAAACTGCTCAACTACATGGAAACTGAACAACCTGCTCCTGAATGACTACTGGGCACATAACGAAATGAAGGCAGAAACAAAGATGTTCTTTGAAACCAACGAGAACAAAGACACAACATACCAGAATCTCTGAGACACATTCAAAGCAGTGTGTAGAGGGAAATTTATAGCACTAAATGCCCACAAGAGAAAGCAGGAAAGATCCAAAATTGACACCCTGACATCACAATTAAAACAACTAGAAAAGCAAGAGCAAACACATTCAAAAGCTAGCAGAAGGCAAGAAATAACTAAAATCAGAGCAGAACTGAAGGAAATAGAGACACAAAAAACACTTCAAAAAATTAATGAATCCAGGAGCTGGTTTTTTGAAAGGATCAACAAAATTGATAGACTGCTAGCAAGACTAATAAAGAAAAAAAGAGAGAAGAATCTAATAGATGCAATAAAAAATGATACAGGGGATATCACCACCGATCCCACAGAAATACAAACTACCATCAGAGAATACTATAAACACCTCTACGCAAATAAACTAGAAAATCTAGAGGAAATGGATAAATTCCTCGACACATACACTCTCCCAAGACTAAACCAGGAAGAAGCTGAATCTCTGAATAGACCAATAACAGGATCTGAAATCGTGGCAATAATCAATAGCTTACCAACCAAAAAGAGTCCAGGACCAGATGGATTCACAGCTGAATTCTACCAGAGGTACAAGGAGGAACTGGTACCATTCCTTCTGAAACTATTCCAATCAATAGAAAAAGAGGGAATCCTCCCTAACTCATTTTATGAGGCCAGCATCATTCTGATACCAAAGCCAGGCAGAGACACACACACAAAAAAGAATTTTAGACCAATATCCTTGATGAACATTGATGCAAAAATCCTCAATAAAATACTGGCAAAACAAATCCAGCAGCACATCAAAAAGCTTATCCACCATGATCAAGTGGGCTTCATCCCTGGGATGCAAGGCTGGTTCAATATATGCAAATCAATAAATGTAATCCAGCATATAAACAGAGCCAAAGACAAAAACCACATGATTATCTCAATAGATGCAGAAAAAGCCTTTGACAAAATTCAACAACCCTTCATGCTAAAAACTCTCAATAAATTAGGTATTGATGGGACGTATTTCAAAATAATAAGAGCTATCTATGACAAACCCACAGCCAATATCATACTGAATGGGCAAAAACTGGAAGCATTCCCTTTGAAAACTGGCACAAGACAGGGATACCCTCTCTCACCACTCCTATTCAACATAGTGTTGGAAGTTCTGGCCAGGGCAATTAGGCAGGAGAAGGAAATAAAGGGTATCCAATTAGGAAAAGAGGAAGTCAAATTGTCCCTTTTTGCAGACGACATGATTGTATATCTAGAAAACCCCATTGTCTCAGCCCAAAATCTCCTTAAGCTGATAAGCAACTTCAGCAAAGTCTCAGGATACAAAATCAATGTACAAAAATCACAAGCATTCTTATTCACCAATAACAGACAAACAGAGAGCCAAATCATGAGTGAACTCCCATTCACAATTGCTTCAAAGAGAATAAAATACCTAGGAATCCAACTTACAAGGGATGTGAAGGACCTCTTCAAGGAGAACTACAAACCACTGCTCAAGGAAATACAAGAGGATACAAACAAATGGAAGAACATTCCATGCTCATGGGTAGGAAGAATCAATATCATGAAAATGGCCATACTGCCCAAGGTAATTTACAGATTCAATGCCATCCCCATCAAGCTACCAATGCCTTTCTTCACAGAATTGGATAAAACTACTTTAAAGTTCATATGGAACCAAAAAAGAGCCCGCATCGCCAAGTCAATCCTAAGCCAAAAGAACAAAGCTGGAGACATCACACTACCTGACTTCAAACTATACTACAAGGCTACAGTAACCAAAACAGCATGGTACTGGTACCAAAACAGAGATATTGATCAATGGAACAGAACAGAGCCCTCAGAAATAACGCCGCATATCTACAACTATCTGATCTTTGACAAACCTGAGAAAAACAAGCAATGGGGAAAGGATTCCCTATTTAATAAATGGTGCTGGGAAAACTGGCTAGCCATATGTAGAAAGCTGAAACTGGATCCCTTCCTTACACCTTATACCAAAATCAATTCAAGACGGATTAAAGACTTAAACGTTAGACCTAAAACCATAAAAACCCTAGAAGAAAACCTAGGCATTACCATTCAGGACATAGGCGTGGGCAAGGACTTCATGTCTAAAACACCAAAAGCAATGGCAACAAAAGACAAAATTGACAAATGGGATCTAATTAAACCAAAGAGCTTCTGCACAGCAAAAGAAACTACCATCAGAGTGAACAGGCAACCTACAAAATGGGAGAAAATTTTTGCAACCTACTCATCTGACAAAGGGCTAATATCCAGAATCTACAATGAACTCAAACCCATTTACAAGAAAAAAACAAACAACCCCATCAAAAAGTGGGCGAAGGACATGAACAGACACTTCTCAAAAGAAGACATTTATGCAGCCAAAAAACACATGAAAAAATGCTCATCATCACTGGCCATCAGAGAAATGCAAATCAAAACCACAATGAGATACCATCTCACACCAGTTAGAATGGCAATCATTCAAAAGTCAGGAAACAACAGGTGCTGGAGAGGATGTGGAGAGATAGGAACACTTTTACACTGTTGGTGGGACTGTAAACTAGTTCAACCATTGTGGAAGTCAGTGTGGCGATTCCTCAGGGATCTAGAACTGAAAATACCATTTGACCCAGCCATCCCATTACTGGGTATATACCCAAAGGACTATAAATCATGCTGCTATAAAGACACATGCACACGTATGTTTATTGCGGCATTATTCACAATAGCAAAGACTTGGAACCAACCCAAATGTGCAACAATGATAGACTGGATTAAGAAAATGTGGCACATATACACCATGGAATACTATGCAGCCATAAAAAATGATGAGTTCATGTCCTTTGTAGGGACATGGATGAAATTGGAAAACATCATTCTCAGTAAACTATCGCAAGAACAAAAAACCAAACACCGCATATTCTCACTCATAGGTGGGAATTGAACAATGAGATCACATGGACACAGGAAGGGGAATATCACACTCTGGGGACTGTTGTGGGGTGGGGGGAGGGGGGAAGGATAGCATTGGGAGATATACCTAATGCTAGATGACGAGTTAGTGGGTGCAGCGCACCAGCATGGCACATGTATACATATGTAACTAACCTGCACAATGTGCACATGTACCCTAAAACTTAAAGTATAATAAAAAAAAGAAGAAAAATAAAATTCCTAAAGGTGATTCTGAGAGCATCAGAGATACCATTCTTGCCACAGGCTTAGAGGGAAAGGCTGTTTCCTCCTCCATTTCAAAGGGCAGGATCAGGTTCCCTTTTTTCTGTGGGACAGCAGGACCACATCCAGGGCTTAAGGAGTGGAGCTGCCCCATAGGAAGCCACATGGGTAGATTTCTCACAGAGGACCGAAGGAGTGAGGCTTCCTTGTACAGCTGTGTGGGTGACTCTGTCTCCAGCAGTCCTGGATAGCAGAGTATTAAGCCAAAGAGTATTATTAAAGCCTTAAGATCTATGGAAAATTATCTTTCTAGATTTCTGAGTTGGTTGAGACCTTTCGCCCACACATTTTTCTCCTTATTTTTGCCTTTTGGAATAATAATGTCGATTCTATGCCTGACCAACTACTGCATTTTGGAAACACATACTTTGTCTGGTTTTACAGTTTTATAGCCAGAAAGAAATTTACATCAGAATAAATCATAGTTTGAGTCTTCCCTTCATCTGATTTGATGATATTTAGATGATGCTTTGGACTTTCAAATTTAGAGTTTAGATGGAATGACTAAAAACATCTTGAGATTGTTGGGATGAAAAAAATACATCTTGCCCATGATAAGGACATGAAATTGAGAGAGCCAGGGGTAGAATGCTATGAATTTAATTTCTTACCCCACAATTCATATATTGAAGCCCTAACCCTTTATGTGACTATAATGGGCATAGGGCCTTTACATATGTGATTAAGTGAGATCATAAGCATGACATTGTAATCTGATACAGTTATGGTCCTTGTAAGAAGTGACACCAAAGATCTTCTTCTCTTTCTCTCTCCATGCACATAGATCAAGGCAGAGCCATATGAGTACATTGCAAGATGATAGCTATCTGCAACCCAGCAAGAGATCCTTCATTAGAATCTAATCATGCTGGCACTCTGATATGGTACTTCCAGCCTCTAAACTGTGAGAAAATAAATCTCTGTTGTTTAAGCTACAGTCTGTGGTGTTTTATTATGGTAGTCCAAGCTAACTGATATATTACCAGAAGTCCATGCAAATCATCTAGGCCCTAGCAGAGATTATTTTCAAGATTATATTGTTGAACCAGCAATTTGAAGATATTTTTCTCCTTAGCAAAGTAGGTTAAGCTTCTTCAACGATCAAATTATTTATAAGATGATTATAAAGAAAAATAACACAAAATTCACAAGATGTTACTGTAATAAATGTAAAAGAGCATAAAGCTTAATAAGCTGCATTTAGCAGACATAAGAATTAGGTAAACCAATTAATTTAATGAGGGATGTTGGTTCACAATCACCTAGTTGCTTTTTTTCCCAAGATTAAAGTTAACTTATTATGAATGTTTCCTCATTTTATTTATATAATAATGTTGAACCTGAAAACTGTTAGCTATCTGGTGTGATCATTTTTAAAAAGGTAATCAGCATAAAATGTCAGATATAATATGTTGCAGTTTCAAGTTTCAAGTAAGATAACCTAAAAATAAATGATATTCTATATGAGATTTTATTCTTTGAATAATTTTCTAAACATAGAATGGATCAATATTTTCAGTGTTTAAATTCTAATGAATTAAGGCAGTTCTGATAAATTTTGTTATTTTTACATTATTCCTCAGTTTCTTAAGCGTACCCAGATGAGAAAAAAGTAAGTTATTGGTGAAATTATGCATTAAAACATAGTAACAAACAATTAATAAAATTAAATATTTTCTCACTTTTTTAATTCTTAAGACATGTTTATTATAAAAGTCTGAGAAATCAGGAATATGTTCAGTTGCTTATACACAAATAGTTTATTATAGTAATATGATCATTTAAGCACATTAAATAATTTTCTTTATCATCAATAATTTATTAATGACATTATCCTAATATGATATTTAACAAAAAATTAATAAACACATGATGAACCCAAATAGACTTTGCACTAGAGATTAATATAGTAAACAATGTTTTTGAGTAAGTAACATGACACTAGAAGCAATTTGCACAAGTTGAATTATTACTCCAAACTACAATGTTTCACTGGCCAAATAATACATTTTATCAATCACATAAGGATTTAAATCGCTCTCCCACCCTTACCCTCTCTCACTCCTCAGGGTGTCTACTTCCTACCATGTCATATAGGTAATATAGACAGAGATGAAATAAAAATAGAAATAAAAATGATGTCATGTTTATGCAGTCAGCAATATTCATATTTCTCTTTCTATTGGTTGCCTCCCTTGCATACCTCAGATTACTACTTAGTTTTTATTATTACTTTCACATATCCTTCATTTATCTCTTCCTCTTTCTGTCCTCTCTCCAAGGTCCCAAACAGAGTTCTTCAGAAAACTATTTAAATATCTTGTGCTACAGTAAGCCTATTTACTAGCTAAAGCTGCCTTCCTGTCAGCTAGGTTTACACCATAGAAGAAAGTGTTAAAAAGCCACTGAATAAATAGGAATATTTGCATTCATAGTAAGTTCTTTTTCTGTTTTTCTAAATTATCTGTTCAATTCTGTTGACTACTCTTTTTACTTCAGATTTTTTTATCATTCAGAACTTGTTATGGCCTCTACTGTCATTATCCTGCTTACCTGACCTAGTGAACCACTAACTTTCAAATTATATATATATACACGCATATATTATATATACATATATATAAATTATATATATATATATATATATATATATATATATATATATATATATATATATGATTTTTCTGTGCTACTTGTTAACATTCTGATCCAGGATACACTCCTATAAATTCTGATTCTCTAATTCCTGTCCTGATTTATGCCTAGCAACCCTTACTTTAGTTAGCTCAAAATGACCCCTTGAATTAAGAGTAAAGAGGGATGGCCGGGCACTGTGGCTCATGCCTGTAATCCCAGCACCTTGGGAGGCCAAGGTGGGCAGAACACCTGAGGTCAGGAGTTCAAGACCAGCCTGACCAACATGGTGAAACCCCGTCTCTACGAAAAATACAACAGTTAGCCAGGCGTGGTGGCGCACACCTGTAATCCCTGCTACTCAGGAGGCTGAGGCAGGAGAATAGCTTGAACTTGGGACGTGGAGGCTGCAGAGAGAAACTCTCAAAAAAAAAAAATACAGTAAAGAAGGATACTCATAACCTCATAATATTGTTTAGTCCCAAGATGTGCTTATGTGAAAGCCATAAAAGACATTTATATACTCTACATAAGTTATATCATTAAATACAAATAAATGTGTGTAAATCTAAATGCTTATGAGCATTTTCTTAAAAATGTTAGAGATGCAAATGAATAGAAGTTGAATTTGTGTCTCTGAATAAATGAAACAACATAAATTTAATCTGAAATAGACAATGATCTTATAAGATAGAATGCCTTATAATGAGAATGTGGAACAAGTTTTTCTCAATATTTAAGTAGGTTTATAGCATGTTCCAGTAATAAAATTGTTAAACATTATTCAAATACTGAAAAAAATATAAAGTAGCCAAGTGAAATTAGTTATATAAAGTAGTTAAGATAGAAAGTTAAAATGCCCTCATGCACTAGGATATCTTTTTGGTAAACGCTCTTTGGAAAAGCTTTTATAAAATGTTCCTTTCCACGTGAAATTTTAGTTATTCTTTTTTTTTTTCTGCATAGTCTCATATTGCTCCATTTTACTTCTGACTGTCTGTCACAATTTGATTAACATGTTTTTGTTCAATGCAAAACAGCTAAAACAACACAGAATGCCTAATTTTCTTGATGTACTCTGAATTTACAGAAACACCTAAAAGATGTAAAAGAATAATAGATGAAACCAGAAATATTCTGTTTAACCAAAGCTGTTAAAATAGAGAGTTGGACACTGTTTAGCTATTGGAATAAAGGAATTTAATATGACATATGAAAAGTATAGTACATTCTTGTAACCATATCTTCCCCATTTTGGAGACATTACTGGGCATGAAAATTAAAGTATTACAAAAGTTGTAAAATAGAAACAATGAAATGTAGTTATAAAATTTACTTGATAACAGATGGTCAAGAGAAAAATCATTGAAACCAAGGCATTTAAAATGTGGCATCTATAGATAAAATAATGTAATCTAAATTTCACAATTCATATAAAAGAAATCCTTACAATTTAAAATAAATAATGGGAGAAAAACTACAGTGTATAAAATGTCAGTTCTAGCCGATACCTATTCAATTTTTTAAACAAATATTTATTAAGCATCCACTGTGAGTTAGCCACTGAGAGATGTGAAAATGAAAGGGATACAGTTTCATTTCTTACATAATTCAACTAGGCTAGAAAAGCAGAAAAGCAAATAGGCAAATACAGATAAAGGATAAACAGGAGACACATGCACACCATCCATTTAAGGGTGAGGCAAGTGCAAAGGCAGAGGAATGTGAAAATCATGAAGTAAACAATGAACTGCAAGTCATTCAACTTGGCTAACATATACAGTATAAATGGGAATAAGGTAACCCTTGCTTCTTATTCTGTCTCTCACCTTGAAAAAAAAAGGTACTTAGCTTTATTTGGCAGAAACAGGGCCTTTTCTGGGAAATGATGAAAATAAAAAAGCCCTTTAGAATTTCTTTCAGCTCGATTTTTTACTATCTTATTCATTTCAAAATATTTGCTTAAAATTCTACCACAGACTAAATCTTGTCCCTTTGATTCTTTTGTAATATATAAAACATATGACATATAATTGCATGTAAATGTATTTATTATGTATTAATATATCAATCACCTGTAAATATTGCATATATAATATGTTTTTTAACATCTGTATGTTTTATTCTTAACATCCTTTCCCATGGCTTTGCTTCATTTTTTCTTCTACCAACTAGGACTTCATATTTTCTAGATGCCACTTGCACAAAACCCCACTTTGCTGTGCCACTGATAATAGTATCCCCAAATCCTGACCTAACTTTCTTCTCCTCTATTATAACATGCATATCCTTTAACCCATTCTCTCAAATCACTGCTAAATTAGTAACTAGTCAGTGTCAACTAAATGCATTAACTGTGTTGATGAGAATTCTCTGCAAAGTGATTGAACAAGGGATTTCTGAGAGAGTCAGTTAATTTAATCAATTATATATTTCCCAGTGATGGAATGAGCTCTAGTGATAAGTGGTATGATACTTCTAAAGCATCAGAGTTTTTCCAAGGATTTCCTCTTACATTCCACGAAAACATCCATTTATCGAGTTAAATGAAAAATAGGTCCAAATGTATACAACATGAAGAAGACAAGAAAGAGATATTTACAGAGGTCAGATCATCAGAAGATAGGGACTATGTTTAGTTTCTAGTTTTATGGGGCTCTGTAATTCAGAGTAGGTTACCCTATACTCCGCATTCTCAATTTCTACATCTGTTGGAATAGAAATCCAACCAACTATAGAACTATTGTCAGGAATGCATAAAAAGACTTTTGAAGCTCTCTATAAAATCTACAGTACTATATAATTGAGACAGTTTAATAGTTGATGATATATTACAAACACATAAAACATTTAAGGGCATTATATAAGGAGACATTAGCAGAAAGGTAATTTTATTTTATTTTTCTCTGTCCAAGATGTCTTCTTTGAAGAAGTGTGATTTAAGTTATGAGTAGGATTTAATCTAATGGAAGGAAATAGAATTTTGCCACAGCCTGTCCCAAGGACAGCCTATGTGAATAGTGATGACTCAGAATGAGATCAAAGGAGAGGGAAAAGATCAGCCTCTATTAAGGAGCAAGAGCATGCTGGGTCAAGCAGGTGGTGCTGAGGGTTGGGAGGCACCTGGAGACCAGATTGAATAGTTTAAACACTGTGTCCAAAAGAGTATTTGAAAGGAAAATAGTACTTAGACTTTTTACAGAGTTGCATGCATTTATGATCAGTAATTACCATTGCCAGAATATTACCATTGCCAGAATGTAAACTGAGATTACCATTAATAATTTTATAAAAGTTATATTGTAATACTTCTTTATATCACACAATTATTTGTAGTGATATATACTTTTCTTATATTGTTATAATCAAAAACTTTGGCTATTGTGAAATATAGATAATATATTGGTTTTAGCCAGAAGAAATAATCAAATCTTTAAAAACAAAAAAAAATAAATTCATCTGGACACTTGAAAACAATGTAACAATTTTCACTATGCAAAAAGATCAGTAACGACAAAATATTGTTATTTATTTTTATTTGGAAGCATCAGTAAAAATATTGCCAAAGAAACAATAAAACTTTCTGATCTGAAATTCAAGGAGCTAGGAATATGTCACTTGTACTAACAAAAAAACTTAAAACTGAGGAAAATGAAAAGTCAATAACTCTCCTTAGATTTGTAAGAGAAGTGAGGTCACAGATAAACTGGTGCCCTCAATATTAGAGAGACAGGCAGAGGTAGAAAATCACAACTTATTGGAGCAGAAAACCAGGAGCAGAAACCTCTGTGGGGACCAGTCCTGGTGAACAGGCAGACCTAAACAGGAGCTGATGAATGTTGGAGGCTCAGTGTGAATACTCTCAAACTTTGTACAGAACCCCACACTTTTGTGAGTTTCATCTGCAGGACCTTCACCAGGTTATCACAGTAAATATCAGAAAAATCCCTTCATGCTGCCAGCAGGGAGAAAAGAAAGTAACCAGTTTGAAATTAATATACTGGAGCATTCTGTTGTTGCCCTCCTTCTCCCCCTCCCCCTCCCCCCCTTTCGCCCCTTCCCCGCTTCCCCTTCCCCCTCCCCCTCCTCCTCCTCCTCCTCCTCCTCGGCAGAAACATGTATGCAGCTAGAGGCTATTATCCTAAGCATTCTGTTTTTCTTAAAAAAAAAAAAAAAAAGGCCTGCCCCGAAGAAAAACTATTTTACCAGAGCTAAAACTAGTTGCTATTGTTGCAGAGCCCAGTTGACCTGGAGAAGGTAAATACCCTACTCCAGCTAGCTCTAGCATGTCACGTGCAGAAAAAAAATATCCAACTCTGGTTCACTCCAGCCAGGCTGTTCCAGGGAAAGGGGATGGGAGTGGAAATTGAGAAGTACTGTGAAGTTCATAATCTAAAGATATAGGGTGATTAAAAAACTGAGACTCTTCCTACTGCCATACCTGACCACCACATTACTAAAGGCCTGTTTACTGCAGCTTCTTTGACCCAGGACATTATGTCATGCTGCCAAGAAAAAATTACAAGGCATACTAACAGTCAAGAAACACAGTTTGAAGAGAGAGAGAAAACATCAGAAACAGACTCAGATATTGCAGATGTGTTGGGACTATGAAACAGGAAATTCGAAACAACTATGTTTACTGTGCCACAAACTTTAAAGAATAAGGTAGAAAGCATGCAAGAACAAATAAGAAATGTGAGCAGAGAGGTGGAAATCCTAAGAAAAAAATCAAAAGGAAATGTTTTCAATCAAAAACACAGCAACAGAAATGAATACTGCTTTTGATGTACTCCTTAGTAGACTGGATATGGCTGAGAAAAGAATAACTAAACTTAAGGATACCTCAATAAAAACCTAGAGGAAAATTACTGAAGAAAAAAACAAAGAATGGAATATCTAAGAACTGTGGGAAAACTATAAAGGGCATAATATATGCAAAATGGAAGATGAGAAAGAAAAGAAGAGAAAAAAATATTTGAAGCAATAATGACTGAGAACTTTCCCAAATTAATTTCAGACACCAGGCCATGGACCCAGAAAGCTCAGAAAACACCAAACAGGATAAATGCAAAAATAACAGAGGGTTAAACATAAGAATTACATTCATCTCCTCCTCAGAAATCATTCAGGTAAGAAGAAACTGGAGTGAAATAGTTCTGAGAGAAAAAAATTAAAAACTACCACCCTAGAAATATGTACTCTGCATAATTATCTTTCAAAAGTAGAAGAGAAATAAATACTTTCTGAACCAAACAGCAATGGAAAGAATTTGTTAATAGACCTGCCTTGCAAGAAATGCTAAAGAAGTTCTTCAGAGAAAGAAAAATGCTGTAAATAAGCAACTCAGTCTGTATATAAAAGAAAGATCATCAGAGAAATAAAAAGTGAAGGTAAAATAATTATTTTATTCTTAAGTGAGCTAATAGATATCAGATTCTTTAAAATAATAAAATCAATGCATTCAATAAGCTATGTTTATGTATATACATCTGCTTTTTTTCTGTTTCTCTACATCTTTTTCTATTCTATTATGTATATATTATGCCTTTTGTATAATAGTTTCCCCACAGCTCTTTGATATTCTATTCTTTTTATAAAATTTTTTTATCTTTACTTTTCAGTTTTGAAAGTTTCTCCTGAAATATTTCCAAGCTCTTGAGAATATTCTCAAATTCTTTTCTCAGCCATATCCAACCTGCCAATGAGTCCATAAAAAGAATTATTTACTTTTCTTACTATATATAATATATATATAAATATGTCTAGAGAGAGAGACATCAATCATATGTCAGAAGCATTAATATTGTTAAAATATTTACACCACCACAAGCAATCTACAGAGACTGTGACTACTATATACAGTAAACATAATTTCATATGTTTATGTATAAAAATGAAATGAATGAAGCAACAGTACAAGAGACTATATGGAGAAATTCAGATTATTTTTTCATTATAAGTCATTTACACTACCCATAGAGCAGTATAGTGTTATTAGGAAGTGAACTTGACTTAGTTGTAAATGTATATTGAAAACTCTAAGACAAAAACTAAATTAAGGAGAAGGAAGAGGAGAAGGAGGAGAACTGATGTGCTAAGAAAGGAAAATATATTACACAAAATTCACAATGAAAATCACAAAAGGCAGGAAAAAAGCAGAAGACAAAAAATAGGAATAGAATACAAGGACAACAAAGAGAAAGCATTAAAAAGTATGGTAAACATTACCCCAATTATATCAATAATCACTTCATTTTTTTTCTTCAATAGCTTTGGAGTACATGTGGTTTGTGGTTACATAGATGAATTTTATAGTGGTAAAGTCTGGGCTTTTAGTGTACCTGTCACTCTAAAAGGGTACATTGTACCCAATAGATAATTTCTTATTGCTCAACACCCCTCCAGTCTCCCCACTTCTGAATCTCCAATGTCCATTATACCACCTCTGTATGCTTTTTTTATACACATAGATTAGCTCCCACTTGTTAAGTGAGAACACATAGTATTTAACTTTTCAGTCCTGAGTTACTTCAGTTAGGGTAATGACCTTCAGTTCCATTCAACCATTCAAATGCTGCAAAAGACATTATTTCATTCTTTTTTATGGTTGAGTAGTATTCCATGATATGTACACACATATGCAAACACACACACACATATATAACATTTTCTGTATCCACTCATCAGTTGATGGGCACATAGGTTGAGTCTATATCTTTACAATTGTGAATTGTGCTGCAATAAATACATGTGTGCAGGTAGGTGTCTTTTTGATATCAGGACTTTCTTTTCCTTTGGGTAGAGACACAGTGGTGGGAATGTTGGATGGAATGGTAGATACACTTTTAGTTCTTTGAGAAATCTCCATACTATTTTCCATGGAGATTGTAATAGTTTACATTATTACCAGCAGTATATAAGTGTTCCCTTTTTACCACATCTCCCCAACATATATTGGTTTTGACTTTTTAATAGTAGCCATTCTGGTGTGGGGAGGCTCTATCTCCTTGTGGTTTTAATTTGCATTTCCTTGATGAATAGTGATGTTGAGCACTTTTTCATGTGCTTGTTGGCTGCTTGTATGTCTTCTTTTGAGAAATACCTATCCTTGTCATTTGCCCAGTTTTTAACTGGATTATTTGTTTTATTTTCTTGCTGATTTGTTTGAATTCCTTGGAGATTCTAAATATTAGTTCTTTGTCAGATGTATAGTTTGCAAATATTTTCTCCCATTCTGTAGATCGTCTGTTTACTCTGTTGGTTATTATTTTTATTTTGTAATGTGCAGAAGCTTCTTAATTAGTACTCATTTGCCTATTTATGTTTATGTTGATTTTTTTCTACCGTAGCTACTAAAACAAAAACTAGGAATTTACTTAAACAAGCAAGTGAAAGTTCTCTACAAGAAGAACTACAAACCACTGATGAAAGAAATTGAAGAAGACACAAATGGAAATATAATCTATCTTGTAGACCAAAGCATTAATATTGTTAAAATGATTACAGTGCCCCAAGCCATCTAGAGATACAATACAATACCTATTAAGATACCCATGTAATTTTTCACAGAAGTAGAAAAACTATTCTAAAATTCATGTGGCACTTAAAGAGGGCCTGTAAAAACCCCAGCAAGTTATTTTGTAAATATTGACAAACCGATTCTAAAGTTTGTGTAAGAGCAAAAGACCCAAAATAGTTAATATAAAATTGAAGAAGAATAAAGTTGATGGACTGACACTACCCAATTTCAAGGTTTACTGTAAAGCATTATGTTTAGAGTAATAAACAAAATGTGGTAGTGGCAAAATGAGAGACAAACAAATCAATGGAACAGGATAGAGAACCAAGAAATAGACACATACAAATAGAGTAAAATGGTCTTTGATACAGGAACAAAGGAATAGTCGCCCCTCCAAAAAAATCTAGACATGGATCTAATACCCATCACAAAAATTAACTCAAAATAAATTATAGGTAATAGATTTTACCTAAGTGTAAAATGAATAAAACTGTAAAACTCCTAGGAGATAACATAGATAACAAACCCAGATGGCCTTGAATATGGCAGTGACTTTTTAGATACACCAAAGACATGATCCATGAACAAAGTAATGACAAGCTGTACTTTGTTAAAATTAAAAACTTCTGATCTGCAAAAGACTATGTCTAAATAATTAGAAGACAAGCCGATAAACTGGAAATAATATTTGTATAAGGTATTCCTGGTAAAAGACAATTATCCAAAATAAATAAAGAAGTCATACAACTTAATAACAAGAAAACAAACAGTATGTCTTACTCATTCTTTCTAACTATTTTTGTACCCATTAACCATCTGCATCTCCCCATTACCCTCCTGAGCCTCTGAGAACCATCCTTCTACTCCCTTTGTCCATGAGTTCAATTGTTTTGATTTGTAGATAAATGCTTGAGAGGATGGATACTCCATTCTCAATGAAGTGATTATTTCACATTGTATTCCTGTATCAAAACCTCTCATGTATCCCCAAAATATATACATCTACTATATACCCACAAAAATTAAACATTTAAAAATTTGAGAAAAGAAGCAATTTAAAAATTGTCCAAAGTCCTGAATAGACACCTCACCAAATAAAATGTATAAATGTCCAAAATAGTAAAAGATGATGATCATTAGGAAGTTGCAAATCAAAACAAGGATATACCACTGCATACCTCATAGAATGGCCAAAATCTAAAACACTAACACCACCACATTTTGGCAAAAATATGGAGTAACACTGCGTGTCATTATTTGCTGGTAGAATATAAAATAATACAGTCATTTTGGAAGACAGTTTGACAGTTTTTTAAAATAAAACTAAACACAGTCTTACCATATAAACATAAACACATGTGTGTATATATATATATATGTAAATATGGCTATACATATGTGTATATACACATATAAATGTGTGTATATGGAGATATATATATATCTAGATGGATAGATAGATAGATAGATAGATAGACAGATAGATAGAAAGATATATAGATAGATAGAGATGTAGAGGTGGGGGCATATGTTAAGAAATTTGCCTATGTAATTGTGGAGGCTTGACAAATCCAAAATCTGTAGGGTAAGCTTGAAAGCTGGAGACACTGGGAAGAGCTACAGTTTAAGTCCAACAGCAATCTGTTGGCAGAATTCTTTCTTGTTTAGGAAGGTCACTCTTTCTCTATTAATGCCTTCTACTGATTGGATGAGAACCACAACATTATAGAGAGTAATCTGCTTTACTCAATGTCTACTGATTTAAATTTTAATCTCATCTAAAAAAAAAATCCCTTCACATAAACATCTAGAATCATGCTTAACCACATGTCTGTGTAGTCTGGCCAAGCAAGTGGATATGTAAAATTCTCTGTCACATATACAATGAAATAAAATTCAAACATAAGAAGGAATGAAGTATTGATTCATGATGCAAAATGCGTGAACTTCAAAAACATTTTGCTAAGCGAAAGAAGCCACTTAGAAATGTGATATACTGTGTTATTTCATTTCATGAAGTATATAGAATAGATAAATACATAGGAGAGAAAAGAATTGATGGTTGGCAGTGGCTAAGAAGGAAAGGGTAATGGGAAATAACTGCTTAAGGGCTATCCAATTTCTTTTTAGGGGTGATGAAAGTGTTTGGAATTAAATAGATGCAATGGTTGCAGACCATTGTAAATGTGCTAAATATCACTGACTTGAGCACCTTAAAATGGTTTTATTTAATTTTATATGTATTATACCTCAAGTAATAACATATTTACATGCATAAAATTGCCCATATTTTATATTTTATGTACTTGAGAAATCTATGAACTATTTAAACAATACCCAAATCAAGAAATATATTTATTTTACCCCAGAAAATTCTCTTGGGCCACCTTTCAGTCAATAGCACTAAACCAACTGCTGTTGTGCACTTTAAGCTATAGGTTAGTTTTGTCTGTATTTGATTATATACATGGAATCATACAATATATTTTTGTGTATATCTGGCTTCTTTCAAACAGCACAAAGCTTGAAAGATTCATCAAGGTTGTTGCATCCACAAATATTTTATTTCTTTTTATTGCTGAAGACTTTTTATTTGGATAAATATATTGTACTTTGATTACCCCCACTCTGTCGATGAATATTTGTTTTTCCCATTATTTGGCAATTATTATCAAAGCTGCTATAAACAATCTTGTATAAATTTTTGTGCATTCTTTCATTTCCTTTAAATAAATACCTGAGATGAAAATTTGGGTTACATAATAGGAATAAGGTTTAACTTTATTATAAATTGTCAGCCAATTTAAGAAGAGGTTTTGCATATTACACCACACAAGCAATATATGATATCTCAAGTTGCTCTACATCCTTGTCATAATTGTTAATATAACAATTATGTTTAACATATCTTCACGTAACTCATGTTCACAAATATAATCACATGACAATTATATTTTAATATAATTGTCAATATAACTATTATAACAATAATAGTTTTAATTTACATTTCCATTATAACTAATACAAATATATACTTTTGTTTAGAGTTTATTGGCAAAGTGTATTTGTCTCTTTTGTGAATAGTCTGTTCAAATTCTTTGCCCACAATTTAAACAAACGTGCTTGTATTTTGCATTACGATGAATTCATAAGCTTGCTTTATATATTCTGAGTACAAATACATTGTCAAATATTTATATATGCAGTACTTCTTACCTTATTTATCTTTTTAATAATAAAAAGATAATAGAATCTAATTTATATTTTTTCTTTATAGTTAATGCTTTTTTTCTTTTTTTCATTTTTTTTTTAGACGGATTCTCGCTCTGTCGCCCAGGCTGGAGTGCAGTGGCGCGATCTCCGCTCACTGCAAGCTCCACCTCCCGGGTTCACGCCATTCTCCTGCCTCAGCCTCCCGAGTAGCTGGGACTACAGGCGCCCGCCACCACGCCCGGCTAATTTTTGGTAGTTTTAGTAGAGTCAGGGTTTCACCATGTTAGCCAGGGTGGTCTAGATCTCCTGACCTCGTGATCCGCCCGCCTCGGCCTCCCAAAGCGCTGGGATTACAGGCGTGAGCCACCGCGCCCGGCCAATGCTTTTTTTCTTTACGGCTAACATGGCTACTACCTTGTACAAGAAATCTTGATGTAACTCATGTTCACAAATATAATCACATAATTTTTAGTGGCTTTATGAGTTTAGATGTTATATTAGATTTATTCTTTTAATTATTAATTTTTGTGGGTACATATTAAATGTATATACTTCTGGGATACATGAGATGTTTTGATACAGGCATGCAATGAGTAATAATCACATCTTGGAAAATGGGGTATCCATTCCCTCAAGAATGTATCCTTTAGTGTTACAAACAATCTAATTATACTTTTTAAAAATAGTTCGAATGAATAAACATGCTTTGTATTTGATAGCACAACACAGTGAGTACAGATCTATGTTTTATCCCCCATGAGAGTGAGAGAGCCTGTGTGTATGTGTGTGCATGCATTTGTGTAACTTGAAATAGGAGTCAAAGTTCATTTTTGCAATATGGCTACGCAATTGTTCCAGTAATATTTGTTAAAAAGATTTTCCTTTCCACATAAAATTCTATGGGTGCCATTGTTTTAAAACCATATATACATTGGGCTATTTTTGAACTTTCTCTTGAGTTTCAAATATCTATATAGCTATCTTTTCAACTGCATAACTGTATTTTTGTAGTATCTTAAAAGAAGATCTTAAAGTCAGTGACTATGATTCAAACTAGTATTTCAACCTTCCATCTAAATGAAAATTATATACCCAAGGAAAACATCCATCCAACCGTTCTGACATTGATTTATCAATTCCTGCTTTTTTCTCCGCTGTAATATTTTTGAGATTATCCTTGGATTGTAACAGGAACAATATATATTAAAATATATTAATGTGTATTTATCCTTTGCATTTGTTACATAATTATGTCTCTGTACACTCATTTGTTTATCTTCTTGAAGGGCTGTGTGTAGTATTTTGCTATAGCATAAATGAAAAATAAGAAAACCAAGTCAAGTTTCTAATTTAATTGCAAAAATGAGATACTGGAAGAGTCTCAAAAATAAAGTTTCATGGAGAGGAGTATTTTCTTAATGCTTTATGCTACTTAGCATATCATGAACCACGGTTGAAAGTATAAAAGAGAGATTTACATTACGGTAAATCTTAAGATTGTGGTTTTAAAACTTGTTTACAAATATCTTGAGACTTGTCTTTCAAAGTGTGGAATTTAATTCCCCTTCACTTAAATATGGGTCAGCTTTTGTGACCTTGTGCTAATAGAGTTACTGAAAGGGAATCTGCCTGATCTTTGATGCTAAGATAGGAAAGGCTTGATTATTTCTCTTGGGATGTTCATCTTGTGAAACCAACCATCACGTTATGAGATACCTAAACTACATAAAGAGACTACATGGTATAAAAACCAGCAGTACTATCTTAGGCAACAAGTTATAGCCAGTATTGACCAGGAGATAAGTGACTGATACAGCCTTCACATAATTCCAGCATTCAGCTTCTAGGATCCAGCACCCTGTATAATGCTAAATGAAGCAGAGGTAAGCGGTATCCTCAAAGCCCTTCTCAAATAGCAGATGTGTAATTAAAAAAAAGATTTTGCTTTAAACATTAAATATTGCACTAGTTTATTTCACAGCAATGCATACCTGGAATATGGAATAGTTTTGGCTACCAGAAGTGGTGCTACTACAATAAAACATTTAAAACAGGTAAGAGTGCCTTAAGCCCTGCTGGTGGGGAGAAGGTGGAAAGATGCAGACAACAGTGACAGTGAGAGCCTAAAAAGCCTCAGAGCCTGTTAGTAGCCTAGTAGTACTTTGATAGGATGTTGGTGATAGATTAAAAGAAAAAGAGTCATTGATATGCGGAAATTTAATGATACTGTTACCTTTATTAACATTAAAAATAAGAAAAAGGAACTTGATGATCTACTCAAGAATATTCCAGACAAAGTGTGAAAGTTGCCACCTGGCTTCCTTTAACTGCTTATACTAAAACGTAAAAGAAATAAGATTTAAAAAAACATTTATTTATTTAGCATAAAACAGGATTTCTTATGTTATATATGTCTATTTATTGTCCAGTACATTGTCAAATTAAAGCCATTTTTTCATCAACAGCTTCTTCAGTTAGCGAATGATTGTAAAAATTAAAAATATTTTCTAAGAGATCAAATTTAGGGTATTGTCAGGAAAATATAGTCTAAAAGAGGCAATAAGGGCATGTCTATAAAACCTTCTGTTAAGACCACAGAAATATTTATTATGGTATTTCAAACAGACAACAGTCTTTCTAACCATGCCTCACAAATCTTCATTAAAGAACGGGACGTCTCAAGGGCCTGAGGACTTTCTCCTCAGCAATCTTACAGGAAGCCAAGGAGATGGGTTTATTTTGATGAGATTTGTGAGTGTAGCTTTTGTCTAGTGGACAAAATCCTCATGGAGATCCTGCAAAAATTTTAAGAGAACATATTGGCAGAAACTCGGCCAGCTTAGACTAAGAGGGACACAGACAACAGAATTAAAAGTCTGTTGAAACCTTGAACTAGTATAGGCAAGGTGCATGCTGAGAAAACTGTTCAGCTGTAAATACTGTTCATTTCTAATGGAAATAAGTAACTCATTCAGTAAAATCAAGAACCTTGAAGGTAAATCCACAAGGGTCATGAAGAATCATCCTTAGGTAGCAGGATTAAGTTCTAATCAAGAAGCTGGCAGCATGTTCTTGGCTAGATTTCAAATTTGCTATAAATATGTGATTCTTGTGTGCCCATTTTTCTCTTTTTGAATGGGAGAGTCTAGAGCAGTTATCCGGGGCAAGTCTCACTGTTGCCTAGTTGGAATTTATTTGCATATGGGTCTGTGTGTGTGCATGTGTTTGTGTGTAGTTAATTTGTCTGTAAAGTTCACAGGTCTTCAAGATACAGAGGAATTTTACTCAAGGAGCTACACTGGAGGAACTGTAGCTGAGATGATTCACCCACACTTGAACTTAAGTTGAACTTCAAGCTTACCATGATACCACAATAAGCAAGACAGTGTAGGAGGACATGGGACAGGGAAGAGTTTATTTTACATGTGTGAAGAATATAAATAGAAGCAGATTATAGTGATTTAATAATATATCTGCAGCTTTTCTGACGCTTTTTCCATGAAATAACGGATTCTAGTTTTTTTGTTTTTTGTTTGTTTGTTTGTTTGTTCTGAGACAGAGTTTTTCAAGTTTCGCTCTGTCGCCCAAGCTGGAGTGCAGTGGCGCAATCTCGGCTCACTGCAACCTCCACCTCCCGGGCTCAAGTGATTTTGCTGACTCAGTCTCTCAAGTAGCTGGGATTACAGATGTACACCACCAGCCAGGCTAATTTTTGTATTTTTACTAAAGACAGGGTTTCACCATGTTGGCCAGGCTGGTCTCAACCCCTTGACCTCAAGTGATCAGCCTCCCAAAGTGCTGGGATTACAGGCGTGAGCCACTGCGCCCAGCCAGAATATGAAGGGTTTTAATCACTTGCTTTTAATCAAATGTCGTGGAAAGGATAATTAGTCAATTTCAAAGTTGGCCCCAAAAATGCAAAGGTGCTCCTACATGCTCTTTCCCTTTTAGAATACTGAAACTTTGTATCTAGCCATGATTTTTTTTTTTTTTTTTTTTTGGCTGGGGGTGGGGACGAGTCTGGCGCTGTCACAGGCTGGAGTCCAATGGTGTGATCTCGACTCACTGCAACCTCAGCCTCCCAGGTTCAAGCGATTCTCCTACCTCAGTCTCCCAAATAGCTGGGATTACAGGCGCCCACCACCATGCCCAGATATTTTTTGTATTTTTAGTAGAGATGGGGGTTTCACCATTTTGGTCAGGCTGGTCTCGAACTCCTGACCTCAGGTGATCCAACTGACTCGGCCTCCCAAAGTGCTGGGATTACAGGCATGAGCCACTTTGCCCAGCCCCAGCCATGATGTTTTAGTTAAGCTAAAGAAATGTGGAGCCCAGGTGTAGGTGTTTTGATTGTCATTCCCTTTATTTAAGTTCCCAGGCAACAGCCAATACCAGTCACCAGTCCTGTGATTCCCATCATATACCTGGCTGCCATTTTTGAGAAATGGAAGTGAAACTCTGACAGATGGACTACGTAATTAGTTATCAAAATGGACTATTTATAGTGAAAGAATAATATCTGAATTAAAAGAGTATTTAAAATGGCAAAGACATTTTTTCCTACAGTGGAGCTCTTGTGATAGCTTAAAAAGAGATAAGTTTAGCTCTGGGGGAAAAAGTTGTTTTTTTGTTTTTTTTTTTTTTTTTTCCTATAACTGGTTCATTTCAGTAGAGCTGCAATTGCACAGCAATTTTTGAATCCATATTTTGAATGTTCAGTGAAGATTCACAAATACATTTTGCAAAAATATGCCTATACCTTATGCTATTTGAGACGTTATGGTTCCTTAAACCATAACTTAAAATCAAACTGTGCTATAATTATGCACCCTACAGATTAAAGTTATGGCTTCAGTTAAATACATATGCTCCATATTACATAAGAATCAAAGGCTTCTTTTAGATGATTTATAATCTAAAAAGTGTAAGCAGGACATTAAGGACTGCATTTTAGCATGGGAAATTAAAAAATTATCTCTTTGGGTTAATTGAGAGAAATATCCAGATGGATATTAGACACTGTAACACAGAGAAAGAAAAGTACCGAAGAGGGCTTCTCGTTAATAATTAAAGAGCATGAAAGCTCTTTGATGGAATTTTTAAAAAGGTGCAAAAGGATAAGGTTATCTACTTTTTGTCTATGTTAAAACACTAGACAGTTTTCGGTTCAAATGAAATATGAATATTGAAATCTAAACAGTCTCTGTTTTTCATATCTGTGTTTCTTCCTATTTCTCTTGCCTTTTACCTAGTTTGTGGCCCCTCATTCTTCTGTTTTATTACTGTCTTAAGACTGTTAGGGAGTACAACAAAATATATAGCATAACCTAAATAACTTGTGTACATTTAATCTCATAGGACACTCAGGAAGTTCTAAACTTCTAATGCTTTCCATTTTCTGGAAAATTTATATGCAGTTAATGGTTGTTAATAAAAGGGTGATGAGTTTCAGTATTCTCTAAACAGTTGAGTTTTATTGTTTAAATAAAACAACTGTATCAGGAGTAAGAAAACTTAGCTGCTTTTTAAAAGGACATTCAGATTTCAGAATATAAGGAAAATGGAAGTATTATGATAAAGTGAATGAAATTTCATTACTTTCAAATCTCTGAATGCTCCTTCACACCCACATTCACCTTTGTGTTCCTGAGCAACTTCAGCTTCCCTATACTTACTTTTCCTACTTCCCTGTGTATGTAGAGCTTTCGTTAATTTGGGAAATGGTACTAGGATGGATTTATTTACCATTTTAACGTTCTTTGGATGCACTGTGTTTCAGATCCTCTAGATTCAGACACTTTAAAGAAGAAAAGAACAATCAACAAAATTGCTAAACTTAAAAGCAGAAAAAAAAAAGCTAATTAGCAAACAGTGAGGAATGAGTTTATTTACTTCAGGACCCTTGATTTCTTCCTGTTGTTCTTTAGCTTTCCTACACTGATTTCTACATCTATCATATTTCATTTCTCTGAAATCAGCTTATGCACTTAATGGTCCAGACTGGGCAATCAATGTTGATTGAAATCAACTTCATATTGATGTAAGAGGTCTACTGCTGCACCAAGAAGCAGCTGTATAAATTTAAGGGAAACATAAATGTCAGCTTTTTCCTTAATTATATATTTCTACATTTTCTTAAGCTTGCTGTTGTTATAAGGCCGCAATAGGCACTTGTATCTAGAAAATAAATTACTGGGTAAATTACCAAAGGTTAAATCTTCAAATCATACCATTCTGAGATGAAGTTTGACAAAATAATTTATCCCTGGCTTATTTAATTTCTTCTTAACTTCTTAGAAATAATTTTGATGGTTAAAAGGACAAAGATGCTTGACACTTTGGTGTCTGTTGAAAGCATATTTGTTCTCAAGGTAATCTATGTGAGAACAAGGTACTTGTATGAAAGAGGGGCCCAAGTTCTCAAAATCTTTCAACCTAATATACTTCTGATTTCAACTTGGTGTTGATTTTACAGAAAGAAGGCTCACAGCAGTGAAGGACAAGATTGTTTCATTTCTCTCACACTAGGATATCTATGTTTGGCATTCAGAGTTGAAAGTAGGGAAGGTTGCACTACCAACCCTTTTGCTCCATTGCCCTAATAAGGTTTACATGATCATCACCTTCCGTGAGAGGTCTTCATTTGCTCTGCATGTTTTCTTTCACTCTTCTACCCTCAACCCACCATGAAGTCTGTTACACACACACACACACACACACACACAGAGTGATAGAAACTGTAAATAAGATATGAAAAGTAGTTTAATTTTTAAAATCATTAAACCTTGTTTTACTTTATGTAGCATTCTCAATAGACTTCATTTTTTAGGACAGTTTTTGGTTCACAGCACAATTGAGGGGAAAGTTCAGACATTTCCCATATATACACACATATATACATACAGACACATGCAAATATGTGTGTATATATACATATATATGTATATGCAAATATGTGTGTATATATACATATATATGTATATGCACATGTGTATATATACATATATATGTATATGCACATGTGTATATATACATATATATGTATATGCACATGTGTATATATACATATATATGTATATGCACATATATGTGTATATGTATATATATGTGTGTGTGTGTATATACATACACATACTAGTTATCTACCTGATGTGGCTTGGCTGTGCCCGCACCCAAATCTCATCTTGAATTGTAGTTCTCATAATCCCCTTGTGCTGTGGGAGGGACCTGGTGAAAAGTAATTGAATCATAAGGGCGGTTACCTCCATGCTGTTCTCACAAGAGTGAGTGACTGTTCACAAGATCTGATAGTTTTATAAAGGGCAGTTCCCCTGCACACGTTCTCTTGCCTGTCACCATGTAAGATATGCCTTTGCTTCTCCTTCACCTTCTACCATGATTGTGAGGCCTCCCCAGCCATGTGAAAACTATGAGTCCATTAACCCTCTTTTTACTTATAAATTACCCAGTCGTAGGTATGTATATACATATATATATGTGTATATATGTATATATATGTATATACCTATATAGGTATATACGTGTATATATGTATATATATGTATATACCTATATAGGTATATACGTGTATATATGTGTGTATGTATATATATGTGTACACACACGTGTATGCGCGTGCGTACACGCACACACGTGTATGCGCGTGCGTACACGCACACACGTGTATGCGCGTGCGTACACGCACACACGTGTATGCGCGTGCGTACACGCACACACGTGTATACACACACATATGTGTATATATGTGTGTACACACACGTGTATATATGTGTGTACACACACACGTGTATATATGTGTGTATATACGCACACGTGTATATGTGTGTGTATACACGCACACGTGTATATGTGTGTGTATACACGCACACGTGTATATATGTGTGTATATACACGCACACGTGTATATATGTGTGTATATACACGCACACGTGTATATATGTGTGTATACACGCACACGTGTATATATGTGTGTATATACACGCACACGTGTATATATGTGTGTATATACACACACGTGTATATATGTGTGTATATACACACACACAAAGGAATACTACTTAATTGCAGTATTATTAAATAATAAACACGTTATTCTTAAGAATAATACTTAAGTACAGAATTTCCTTCTTTTGCATCTAAGTAGCATTCCATTGTGTATATATATGTGTATATGGGTATATACATATATGTATATTTATACACATATGTGTATGTGTTTATATACACACACACACACCGGAATACTACTTAGCCACAAGGAGAATGGAATTCTGTATTTTGCAGCAACATGGATGGAACTGGAAGCTATTATCTTAAAAGAAACAATTAAGAAACAAATGCAAATACTGTATGCTCTCACTTTTAAGTAGGAGCTAAATAATATGTACACATGAACATAGAGTACAGAATGACGAACTGGAGACTTTAAGGGTGGGTGGTGGGAGGGCGGGTGGATGAGTAATTACTTCATGTGTACAATGTACATTATTCAGGTGATGGTTACTCTAAAAGCTCAAACTTCACCAATACACAACATATTCATTGCACTTGTACTCCTTACATTTTTAGAAATAAAAAAGATAAATGATAAAAAATGAATATAGATATAACATATGTATTTATACAAATATCTACAGAAACATATCAAAATATAAATGCATATGTATAAAATAAACATAATCCAATAAAAATACCCAGAGGTACACACATAGAGTCACACACACAGATATACCTACATTTACACTAGGGGTCATTGAGCCCTTTGCAACCTACTGTCAGGAAAGGAAGCCATTAGAGGCTTTTCTTGCTAGTTCCATGGTTTTACACCCTTGTGGCTAAAACCAGGCCAGCAATTTTACCAGACCCAGTAATAGTTCTACCACCCTCCAGAGGGAATTCTGTCCACTTTTCCTCCACCTTTAAATCAGGAAAATTGTTTCCTATTGGTGCATGTACAATGGGTGGAGAAGAGGCTTTCCATCAGAGGTAGCAAGGCTAGGCCTGAGTCCTCAGGACAGGTTAAGGGCGGCACAAGTTTGGTTTATGAAATACAGTACAAAGGATGGTAGACGGGGCAGGCGATAGCCGGGCTGCACTGAGGACCACTGGGGTCTTTCAGAGTGCCATAACAGTGGGACCAGATGCTAAAGATTACCCAGTCCTGGAGTTAGCCTGTTCTGGCCATTCTCATTTAAATTTAGAGAAACTCAAGATAGGCTGACAGAAGACCTAGAGTAAAAACACCTGGAATACTAGGTGCCTGAGGCCTCTTTGACAAGTATGAGGGGCATGGAAAAAATGTGTCTGGCATCACAAACTCTTCTGAACTCCAAAGTAGGTGGCAAGAAAGAAAATCTGGATACAAGACACACTGTTGAACACTACCAGCCCAGGTGAGTGGATGATACCACTTAATAAGCTAGTGCCCATTTTGTGCTGTGATATATCTTTGCTTGTTCCCTGTATGCATGAAATACCAGACTGACAGATTATATCTAGATATATTTGGAAATATACACATTTATGCGTATGTGTATAAACACACATACATGTGTATATTTCTAAATATACAAAGAAATATGTGACTTCTAAATGTATGCATCAACATATACAAAAATAAAAATGAAAACATATATATTTATACTGAAAATAATAAAAAATAAAATAAAATCCAGCTATGCACAGTCACAGCACTTGTTGATGAAGGCTAAACTCTATACCCCACGAGAAGAATGACCTAACCTTCTGCTTTGAGGCCTGTACAAGCTTGAGACTATAAAAGTATTGATTATACAACATTCTAAAATTATGTGAATTGTGCTAACATTGGTGGAATGGCTCTCTCTTTTCAAATATATAGAATTGTATTAGGATAAATACCACGAGAGGTACACAGTAGTCAACGTAACACACAAATGTCCTATTAGTGAAGGTGATTTCAACGCAGTGTTTCTGAAGTGATTAATGGTCTTGCATTCTCACAAACAAACTCAGTATGCCTTTATGTTTTCTTAATCCAGTTTTTCATAACTTGAAATTTATTTATATGGCCAATACATTTTATTTACATATTTTCTATACATATAAACATGTATAAATATATGTAAATATAGGAATTAGTATGCAAATACACTTGAGTGTATTAAATACACACATTATTCAATAACATTGCTGACCACTAGAACCAATTCAAATATTTTCATCACATTTTCTTTACCATTGTTTTACTATTTTTAAGTTACATAAATCAAAATATAGAATTCTTGAACATCATAAACGCAAAAACACAAAATAAGATGTCTTAAAATGAGTTAAACCTGATGATTTTCAAAAGGTGAATGTAGTCATAGTAGAGGGCTCTTACAATGCTAGATTTACAAAGAGGATTCAGAGTCAGTCAGTTGGTTCCCCTGCATGTCTGGAACTAAGATAACTAAGGAGTGGTGTGGTGGCAGTTTCACTATCTCCAAGAAGCAGGAAAAAAAAAAAAACAGTATGTAATGAGAATATTTGGAAAGAAAAAAGGCAAGAAAGCAGAGATAAAGCATATATAACATTTCTGATAAATTTCTAGTTAGATTCAGTGTGTCTTAATGCATGTCTCATCTCTGCTCTTACATTCTAGGAGCTACCTCTCCTCTGAGCATGTAATAATTCCCACTTTTTAAGTTAAACCAACTATAGCATGTTTCTCAAATATTTAACCACAGGAGTCTAAATAAGAAGTGATGCTTTCCAAAGTAATTATGACTGCCCTGGGTAACTCCTGCTTGTTTTTGTGCTCTGTGATTTGGCCTTCATGATTTTAGGATACTTCTTCCAGGAAGATTCAACTACCTTGAATGATCAACGTAAGATAACCTCAAGTTTATTTCAGAAACTAAAAAATATTATGATATAAAATAAAATATTAGCAGGACAACATGTACTTTGAGTAGCTATAGAATTGTTGATAGGGGCTCATGGGCTCTTTACTTTTTGCCACCCAATAAAGTAATAAAATGATGCGGAAAAAATAAAGTGATAGGAAATATAAGGAAATACACTCTGAGCACCTATTTGCTACTACTTTTCCCACTGGCGTTCAAACAGCCCCTTGACTTTTTCTATGGCCAGAACCTAGAGTAAATATACAATTTAATCTTGCTCTATCAGTTGAAGGCATTTTGCTTTTTTTAAATTATGATATTATTCATGCTGTTGAAGATATGGCCTGCCCCTGCTTTCAAGTTTTAAAGCTCAGTTAAGTTTGGCTTTGTTAAATGTGGTGAGGCTTCCATTGAATTTTTCAAGTAAATGAGGGTGATTGAGAGATTAGAGATGAAAGTTTGGATCTCTGGTTACAAAACTGAAAGAACTAAAAATATGGAGCCAAAGAAATATGACAGTGATGCTTAGCAAATATAAGCTTCAAAATGTAACCCCCCCACACATCCCATAATGTATTTTATAAAATTCTTTTACTTTGTTTAGGGCCCAAGTGGCATAATTGTTTGGGATTCATGTGAAATATTCAGCAGATAACTAAGCAACCAGTGGAAAGGAACAGCTGTTTTTCATTTCTCTGATGACTTTTAAAGAGGATATTCAGGTTTGTTCATCAGATATTTATTAAATGCTTAATACCTATCAAACATAGATTGTTGTTTTTAGTGACAGGAGATATTATAAATATCTAGCCCATATAAAAAAAATCAATCTGCTATATGGAAGCATATATTTATCTAGTGATATATTCTTATCCTCAAAGGCATCATAAAAAAATTATAAAGAAAAGCACATCAAACTTAAGGATATCTAAATAAATAAAAGTATCATGGGTGGATGATTCCTCCCAAATTAATGAAACAAAAATTAACATATCCTTTATAAAAATAACTCAGCATATTTTTCATAATCCTAAGATTTATTTTCTTATTCTGTAACCTAAATTGAACTAGCTTTAAGTATGATAAAGAAGATCTATATAAATACAGAAAACGGTTGTCACAGACAAACAGTGAAACGACAAAGCCTAAACATTCTAGATTGCCTTGAGAAAACAGTTTATTGAGATAAGAGAAATGACAGAGATTATGGATATATAAGGTCAAAATATCATTGTTTTGGGGAGGAAGGTCTGAATAATAGGGGAAGATATCCCTATTTTCTCTACCATTATGCACATGCAAAGGTACTGATGGTGGCCATGAGGGAGCATGTAATTTGCTGTTTCATAGCATGGAGCAGAATGTAATAATGCTCTTCATTTGCCTGAAGTATGTTTTAATTTTACTATGCAAAAAATCTTGACAATTCTTAAAATTCTAACTTGAGCTATACCTCTGCTTCCCTGACAAGCTTGACCCAGGCACTTCTCCTTCCATTGAATTCTTCAGTATTTATCGTCCTGATTATTATTTCACAGCCATCATACACTGTATCATGAAAATTACCTTAATTGTGTTTTTGTTTTATTGTTTCTGCTTATATTATGATATACAATACTTCTGAGTAATCAGATGGTTTCATATTTATAATACACATTGTATATCTTACACATCGAACAGTAATTGTTTTATGAATATATAAAATAATTTATTTCCCTGTTGTTTCAACAGGAGTTTTGGATTAATAAATGACTCCTGAAATCCTTTGCCTGTCCAAATTTTTAATGATATTGTGACTTCACCGAATAGTATTTGTAGATTTTTATAATTTTTATTCTAATTTTCTAGAGAAGCATTTAACCTTGAAATTTGGCAAAACTATATATAAATAAACAATGGATTTCATTTTTGTAACCTTTTTATGTTAGATGAATAACTTCAGGATCAATCTGCAAATTTATAGATGCTCTTTTTCTCTGTAATAATATGCTTTAGATTATGTTCATCAGATTCAGACTCCATAATTTTAATATAATCCAGTTCCCTTACATTATGTCTTCCTCTATTAATAATAGTTTCACGATCAGATACACCTACATCAGTTTAGAATTGTTCCCCTCTCTCACACCTTGTCCCTGGCCAAGTATCATATAGTAACAAAAAGGGAAGGAGGGAGGGAAGGAAGGAAGGAAGGGAGATGGGAGGGAGGGAGGGTTGGTTCTTATAAATGGCATCCATGAAGTGTATAATCTTCCCAGAAGCAACAAGCTGCTTTAAAGAAAAAAAAAATCCAAATCAAGCAACATTAAATTTGAGGATATTTGTAGCACCATGATTTTGTCATTCTTTTGCTAGCAAAAATTCTCAATGAATTTGCACCTGCCAAATCACATAGTGCAAAACTCATTCAGCATATCATTCTGTGTCCATAAAGAATCAGGTTATACATTCCAGTTATGTTAAAGTTTAAAGATAATATTTTTTATATTAAAAGTGTCTTGAAAGGCATGAAGATCTCACTTAGAATTTGTGGAACTGAAAAAGTACCGTATAGATATTATCTGTTTATCAATAGGCTTTCTACTAGTTATTTGGAGTACAAGCACTCCAAAATTAAAATGATTTTCAGGCATTAGATTTTATTACTGGAATTGTATTATCCACTATATTATAGCTTATTTTTCTTAATATAAGACATTTATCCTTGATAACATCTACACTAAAGACATTTTTCATGAAGCGGAGATTTTTCTCCTATAATATCTCAGACACTTAGGGTGTGGGGAAAATTATATTATTAATTATTTGGCAAATTTCCCTGGGATATGAACATACAGTAGCCCTGGCCTTAGGATTATAAATGGTTTACATGTCATATTGTTTTCACTTTTATTTTAATTCACGCCACTTCCAGGTCCCTTCACACAAGCGAAGAGCACCAAACTCACCCTTTCCTTTCCCAAAGCCTGTGAAACTGGCCTAGTTTGCTGAATATTTATGGAATATTACAACATCCTCTCTAGATGCTATTTTTTCTGATGTTTCAGTAGCTAATATAACTATTCGTTGCGTAGTAGAGGAAGATTAATAACAGATGTGCAGAATGTTTCAAATGCAATAGCATCCTGTGTGTGTGTGTGTGTGTGTGTTTCCTTTCCTGCATTTGTTTTTAAGCTCTCTTCATTTCTATTAGCCTGAAATTAACATTTCAATCTGTGAAATATGCTGATCACATGGCACTTTGTGTTGTATTATCCATTGATCTCTAGCATAATTCTGTCAAAACAGCATAAAAACAGTGAAAACTCTGCCTTGCTGGGGCTTGCACAGATGGAAATGCATTTTTATTATAAAAAATCAGGGGACAAACATTGGTTTTTGATTTGGAGGGCCAGTTAAAAATCTGTGGAATTAGTAGGATAATGTGCTGAGTCACTGCCAGAATAGAAATTGGGAGATTTTTGTGGCCGAATTTGTCTTTGGTTAAATCTAATGATATAATCAAAGAATGATGCTCTCATAGCCCAGACTTCTGTTGCCTTCAGGTCTATGCATCTTGAACCTTTTCAGTTTTTTTTAAGTAATTTGTCAGTCTGATGATTTATTAAAAGCAAATCTTAAGCAGGAGAATGCCTGAGGACCACACTTATCTGTTCTGGTTCAAGTTTGTGCTCACTTACTCTTCTCTCCTAAGAAGAATCTCTCTCTCTCTCTCTCTCTCTCTCTCTCTCTCTCTCTTTCTCTTTCTGTCTCTCTCTCACTCTCTCTCTCTCTATATATATACACACACACACAACATACATATTACTGTGAGTGTGAATAAGCGAGGAATTAGTGTAAAGCTTTGATAGTATAATAGCAATGGGTTCTCACGCCTATAATCTCAGCACTTTGGGAGGCCGAGGCAGGAGGATCATGAGGTCAGGAGATTGAGACCATCCTGGCTAACACGGTGAAACCCCGTCTCTACTAAAAATACAAAAAAATTAGCCGGGCATGGTGGTGGGTGCCTGTAGTCCCAGCTACCCGGGAGGCTGAGGCAGGACAATGGCGTGAACCCGGGAGGTGGAGCTTGCAGTGAACCGAGATTGCGCCACTGCACTCCAGCCTGGGCGACACAGAAAGACTCCGTATATAAAACAAAAAAAGTGATGGGTTGTACATTGAATTGTGCTCCCCCGAAAAAAAAAAGTATGTATTGATGTCCTAACTACAAGTATCTCAGAATGTGACGTTATTTTGAGATAATATCTTTACAGATGGATTCCAGTTAAAGTGAGGTCCTTGAGGTCATAGGGAGAAGATGGTCATCTACAAGCCAAATATAGAGACCTGGAACAGATCCTCCCCTTACAAACTTTGTGGAGAGCCAATCCTGCTGACATCTTAATTTTGGACTTCTAGCCTCCAAAGCTGTGAGACAATAGAGTTCTGTTTTTTAAGCTGCCCAGGCTGCAGTACTTTGTTACAATAGCCTTAGGAAACTAATACAATATCATTTGGACATAATGCTGCCTTGTAGTTAGATCAATATAGAAAAAAATCTAGAGCTTTTCACAAAATCTAGGAGATTATAATTTAATAATAGATAATTAAACATACTCTTCTGACAGGATTACTATTTGTTTAAAATAGTTTTATTTCAAAATTAAAATAAAATAATAAAGTATGTGACTCAGCCTGTGCAAGAGTGAAAAAAAAAAAAAAACACCTTACATAATAAATCCTCTTTTTAACGTTCTTTTCTTTTTTGGTTACCACATAACAAATATAGATTTTCTACCATTTCATTTAATTACAAATAAGGGAAGATTTTATATTATTAATTGTATTTCCTAGAAAACCACATTCTAGCCTTTAGTTGTTTCTTTTTTTTTTTAATATTGAATTATCTTGGAAAAGGTTTACTAAAGTATCTACTGTTATCTACAGTCAAGTATTTTAATATACTGGCATTTAAAACACAGGAAACATAAAACAATGAAATACTATACATAAATTGCTAATAGCTTTGTTACATGTTGCTGGAAATAGTTGATTTTAACTTATGCATAATTTGCCACATGTAAGTTCAAATTTGGGTGAAAAAAGAATGAACTTCTAGGTATACTCTACAAGTCAGGCATATGTTAGTCAAGATTCTTCAAAGAAACAGAATCATCTCTCACTGATATGTGTGTGTGTGTGTGTGTGTGTGTGTGTGTGTGTGTGTGTGTGTGTATAAAATGCTGGCTCAAATAATAATGGAGGCTGAGAAATCCCACCATCTGTAGTCTGCAAGTTGGAGAATCACAAAGCCAGTGGTATAATTCAATCTGAGTCTCAAGGCCTGAGAACTAGGGTTCAGGGTAGGTGTGTGATAGTGGAAGTCCAGGTTTGAGTCTGAAGGCTTAAGAACCAGGAGTGACAATGTCCAAGGACAAGAGAAGATAAATGCCCCAGCTCAAATAGAGAAAATTTGCCCTTCCTTTATTTTCTTCTATGCTGACCCTCAACAGATTGAATGATGCCCATTCACATTGATGAGAGCAACCTTCTTTACGCAGTTTACCAATTCAAATGCTAATCTCTTTTGGAAACTTCCTTACAGTCACACTAAAAAATACGGGCTATCTGGGCATCCCTTAGCCCAGTCAAGTTGACACATAAAATTAACCATCAGAAGCTCACCCCTTTTTAACTTGGTGCCCATATGCATCTATTTAAACCATATTTAACCTCCAAATAACTACAATAACAAAGTCATAATTCTACCTACTATGATACAATTATCATTTATATGACCAAAAATGCTCTAATGTCTTCCCAAAAAAGGAGTCTTTGAATGATGTTAACTCTTCTTCAAAAGTCTTGAAATAATGTTAACCCTTCTCCTGATATTCCATACCTTAAATATTGGGATATAAAATTAACATGACTTAAATACTGATATAAAGTTAATACATTATTTTTTGAGACAGGGTTTCACTCTTGTTGCCCAAGCTGGAGTACAATGGTGCGATCTCAGCTCACTTCAACTTTTGCCTCCCAGGTTAAAGTGATTCTCCCGTCTCAGCCTCCTGAGTAGCTGAGATTACAGGCACCTGCCACCACGCCTGCATTGCAGGTAAGGAAGGCAAATTTATATCCAAAGCGTTTATTCCAGAAAGGACAAAATGCTATTTCTCCCATAATGGAAATGGTCCAATGTAATCAACCTGTCATCAGATAGCTGACTGATCACCCTGGAGAATGGTGCCAAATGGGGACCCAGTGTTAATCTCTGCTGCTAGCAGATTGAGCACTCAGTGGTGGTCATAGCCAGGTCAGCCTTGGTGAATGGAGATCTATGTTGCTTACCCTTAGTCCCTGCTACTAAGACCTTTTATTTTAAATGAGTCCTTTGGGCAATGACAGGGGTGGCTGTGGAAAGAGGCTGAGTGCCATCTATAAACTGATTCCTGCTATCCACTTTATTATTAAAATTCTCTACTGAAGTCACTTTTTGGTGAGCATTCACATGGGATATAAATATCGTCACAATTTTTCCCATTCAGAGAGTTCTCTATCCTCAAATATCTTTCCCCAATATTTTTGTCACCAATTTTCTAATCATGTTTCTTCCAAATCCCTGACCATCCAGCCAAACCATTGGTGAGAACCCATGAACTATTGTATAATCACATGTCTGGCCATTTCTCCCTTCAAGCAAAGTTCCAAACCAGGTGCCCTGCCCTAAGTCCTACCCATGGGAAGATTTGCCTTCCTTCCTATCTTTGAGGAATGTCCAGACAGGGACTATAGTTCTACAGTGGTCCAGTTTTCAGTGGTTATCTGCATATTGGGTAGAACCATCCATAAACCAAGCCCAAGTTTTCTCTTTTTTTGTCAACTGAACATAGGGTATTCCCCATGAGGCCACAGATGCAGGCTGGGAGAGAGAATGCAGGGTAGCAGGATTGAAGATTATGGTCACTTGGGCCAATTATTCATGTAACTTATTTGTACCTTCAGGCCTGCTCAAGTTCAATAACATGTATACCACTTGCATTTGATAATATAGTGTTACTATGCAAGCCCAACATTGTGGCTTGCTGGGTCATATTATATTCAGTATACGATTGACAGCTCAGGGGTCATAGTAACTTGGTGGCCTATGGTCAAGCATTCAGTAACGCCCAATAGCAAGCCAAGAGTTGCTCCTCAAAAGGAGCTTATTTAATTGCAGATGATGGCAGGCTCTTGCTCCAGAACCCTAAAGACTTCCTCTGTGATTCATGCATGGGCACCTGCCAAAGGCTTCAAACACCATGCCTATTTGCACTGGCATTTCAAGCGCCATTGGATCATCTGGATCATGTGACCCAAATGCCAGAGCAGCTTGCACAATAGCCTGGACCTGTTGCCGAGCCTTCTCTTTTTCAGGGCCCATCTCAAAACTAGCAACTTTTTGGGTCACTTGGTAAATGGGCTGAAGTAAAACACTTAAATGAATGATATATCACCTCTAAAATTCTGAAGGGGACCTCTAGGCACTGTGCCTCTTTTATGGTTTTAGGAAAGGATAGATACAATCAATAACTTATTCTTCAATGTAGAAAGTGTATCTTGACATGTCCCACATCACTGGATCCCTAAGAATTTCTCTGAGATAGAAGGTCCCTGAGTTTTAGTGAAGATTATTTAACACTGTTTTACACATAAATGTCTTACCAATAAGTCTAGAGTGGTTGCTATCTCCCACTCACTAGGTCCAGTCAGCATAAGGTCTTGAGTGTATTGGAACAGTGTGTTATTTTATAGAAGGTTAAGATAATTAAGATCCTTCTTGAACTAAGTTATGATATAGGGTCATTGAGTTGATATATAATTGGAGTAGCTGAATATGTACTGATGGCATTTCCAGCTGAAAGGAAATTGCTTCTGATGGGCCTTATGGACAGGGATAAAGAGGCACTTATCCTCTGGCTGTCTAAACAGGCAGCCAGATCAATAGCTGCATAGCAGTACCAGGGTACGTCTTAATTCTCTCAAGCATGAAACCACACCTGGTACATCAGATGCTGTTGGATTTATCATCTGGTTAAGCTTACAATAATTCTGTGTCCAAGATCCATCCATCCTTTGCACAAGCCAAATAGGAGAATGGTATAAGGATGGGGTAGGAATCGCCACCCCTGCATCTTTCAAATCATTGGTGGTAGCAAGGATCCCTGCAATCTCTCCACAAATGAGGCACTGCTACTGATTTACTATTTTATAAGTAGAGACAGTTATATTGGCTTCCACTTTGTCTTTCCTACCATAATGTCCCTCATTTCACAGGTCAGAGAACCAATGTGGGGATTCGGGCAGCTGCTAAGTATGTCTATTTCAATCATGTCTCTAAAACTGGGGAAATGACCACAGGATGAATTCAGAACCCACTAGATCCACTGTGAGATGGACTTGAGCTAAAACTTCATTGATTACCTGATCTCTATAAGCCCCTAATCTGACTAAAGAGCCACAGTGACATTTTGCATCTCCTGGATTCAATGTCACTTCAGAGCCAGTGCTCAGTAGTCCCCGAAAGGTATGATTATTTCCTTTCCTTTTCTTCGAAGCACAGTTACCCTGACAAAAAGCCATGGGTCTTTTTGGACAAGGCTGGAAGAAAGATTTACAATCAAAATTTTATGTTGAGGTCCTTCCTCTAGGAGAACCAGCCTCCCCTTAATTCAAAGACTTATGAGTCTGTAAACTCCTTAGGCCTGATAATTGATTGAGGGGTTGTGACTTTCTGTTTTTAGGATTTAAGTTAGGATTTAAGTTTATTCACTTGACTTAAGACTTTTCTATCTATATATATCAGGTAAGAATTTAGTATGGTTCCTATCTACTTTACTGCTAGGAACTCTATGATTAACTAGCCAAATCCATAAGTCTGTGCAGGTCAGATTATTCTGATTACTGCTTTGACTCTGATGTCCATTGTGGTAACCATGCCCATCTTGCCTTTGGTTGAGTGCAGTCACTTGGGGGTAGGTTGAGAGGAGAATCAACATTGTCTTCCATGGCAACTACTTTAGGAGAGACTGTTATCATTTTCCCAGGCAATATGTGTTAATACTCTCATAGGGAGGCAGGGAGACCAATACCACTGAAGATGGAACAGCCAATTTAGCTGGTGGCTGAGAGGCTAATTTGATGGGGTATATGGAAATTTCACTGACAAAGAAAAACAATCTAAATTTAGGGGTTTTACCAAAGTATGATGTCATGCACCTGCAGTCCTAGCTATTTGGGAGGCTGAGGTGAAAAGATAGCTTGAACCCAGGAGTTTAAGGCTGCAGTGAGCTATGATCACGCCACTGCACTTCAGTCTGGGTGACAGACCAAGACCCTGTCCATTTCAAAAGCAAAAATAATTTAGGGGTTCAAGGTCTTTCTTCACACCCTCTTTCAACTTATGCAATTCAATTTTTTCCTCAATCAATGCCCTGATGTTAATAGTAGAAACTCAAAGAGGCTGGGAATACAACTTCATTGTAATTCAGCCAATCACAGGGTGAGCTTCTGCATTTTATTTTTGGCAATTCTAGCCTTGCAGCTAGAAGAAATAGAGGTTGGAGCTGGGAATTTGATTCCTTGAACTCCTCCTTTTCTTTCCCACTTTGTACAGTGATAGTGGGAGCAACCAATGAACATCATTACAGTCCTTAATTTAAAAGAAATGTTCAAAAGTGTCATATACAAAGTCACTGAGCTTCTTGCTTCTATAAGTGGTTGATAAGGAATATCAAGTGCAGATTTCCATTTCCCTATTCAGGCCATAGAATGTCATTGCCCTCTTTTCTACTGGGAATAGTCATTCCCATCTTCAAATCTAATCAGACTAAGGAGACAATTTCTGAAACCTCAAAATCTCAGAATCAATTTATAAAAACCATCCTTAAAATTCTATTTCTTTTGAACACTCTTGAACAAAAATTTGTATTAGAGCTATTCAAAGAACCAAAAACAATAGGATATACACACACGTGTGTGTGTGAAAAAGAAACAGAGAAAGAGATAAATTTATCTTTATCATAGTGTTATAAGAATTGGGTTGTGCACTTGTGAAGGCAAAGAAGTCACATGATCTGCTGCCAGCAAACTTGAGAACTGGGAAAGCCATTACTGAAATTCAGTTCAAGTCCAAATACCCTAGAATTGGCAGAGAGGGGTAGAGGTCGATGATATAAGTCCAGGCCAGGGTCTGTAGGCCTGGAAACCAGGAGTGCTGATGTCTGAGAGCAGGAGAAAGTGAATGTCTCAACCAAGAGTACATTTTCCCTCTATTCACTTTATCATTCTATCCTGGCCTTAAACAGATTGGATGACCATTCACACTGGTGAAGACGATCATCTTTCTTCAGTTTACCAATTCAATGCTAATCTCTTCTGGAAACACTCTCAACACACCCAGAAATGATGTTTTACCAGTTATTTGTTTATTCTTTAGCCCAGACCAGGCAACAGGTAAATTAATCATTACAGCCATTATCAAAGACATCTTTGGAGATTCAGGACTACAATGTAATGTCAGCCATTATAAGATTTCAAAGGTACTTAATGCTCAGTGAACTTGGGCAGTGACCTGCTGTCCAGATTGAAATACACCTTTAAATCTTGTTTCCTATTTGCTTTTAATTCTCACAATAAGGAAAATGTTCTTCTCCTCAAGTATGTTGAGAGAATGAGTTAAATTTCTACAGATTTATGCTATATTATGCATTTGGAAATGTTTAATAAAAACAAAACATTATCATTTTAAATTAATATCATTTTTATCTAAATCAGACTAATAAAAGTTTCTACAGTAACGAAAAATGTTCTGTGCCTGTGCCCTCTAATATGATAGTTACTAGCCATATGTGGCTCTTCAGCAATTGAAGTGTGACTAGTGTAATAAAGGAACGGAATTGTAAATTATATTTAAATTTACACATAGCCACAGAAAGTTTGTGGGTATGGTAGTGGCACTACAGCTCTAAATTATTATTCTTATCATTTTCATGTTCAAGTATTACAGGATTCTAGAATTGTATTGTTCCTGCTTGAAGATTTCTACTTTTTACTAGTTTTCCATTGGCTAGTTTAATTCTTTATCATATAGATATCTTGAAGAAATTTAGTATCCATACATAATAACATAGCTTAGAATAATTATGTATAATAAATCCAAAATAATTGTCTTATATTGAGCCTACCAGTAATATAACAGCATATAAACATAAACAAATAATATTCAACTTGAGACTATAACCATTTTATTTGCATTGAAAAACACATTCATTTTTTTCTTCAACATGCTTTTAACAGTGTCATACACTGTTTGTAAATAACATTTAGACTTTCAATTTACTCTTTTCACCTGTTCCACAACACAAGTCAAAAAAAATTTAGTTGAAAGAATCTTGGAATTTTTATCAATTAATGTGAAATTCAGTAAATATTTAGAAAAGGATTAGAACCTAGAATTTCAAACTTCAACATTGCCCCGTAGTGGGATCAGGATGGGGAAAGCAAAAACACTGAACATCATGTCCCACATTGCAAGTTAGGTCAGTCTTAATAGACATATTTAAAAAACAATATCATTAATTTCCATGAAATAGATATTTCATATGTAAAGTCAATATGATAGATCTTTTTGACAAGAGAGATGAAAGTGCTTGTTTCTAGTGAAAGTGCTCATTTCTAGTGAAAGTGTTTTGGAGAAGTTAAAGGTCAGGGATAAGATGACTCGGTAGGGTATATTGGGAAATGTGCCTCAGTTTGTATTTGTCTAATATTTATTTATAAATAGATTATAGATATAAGGAATAATACTACAGAGGTGATGCTCCCATTTCATTGCATCCTTTCAAGGGTACATGATGTCGGTATGACTTATTCCAGTATTGTTAACGTGATCATCTGGTAAAGGTAGTGTATTTCAGTTTTCTTCATTGTAAAATAAGTTGTTTTCCTTCTCATACACCATTCATTATAACCAAGTCCTAAAGTCCAGCCTCCACTTAGGGTGGGGAGAAATAAGCTCTATCTGCTAGATAAGGGAATATCAAAGTTCTGTGGTTATATATAAAACACCACAGACATTGTGGATATTTTGAGTCTATGTGGATATTCCACTTCTTAAAGTTTCATCCACTGATTTCAACATTTATCAATAGATTTGGTCTGCAAACATTTTACCATGGTTTTCTAATTATGATTTTCAACTTACCTTTATATTTCCACCCTTATTAATTAAGGTTCTTCTATAAGACAGTTGTTCCTTATTTATTTATTTATATATACCGGTAGGAACATTGGATAGATATCTTATTCTTAGGAGTATAATAAAATATATTATTTATTTTGTCCTTCAACTTGTTTCATTTCTGGCCCTTGAGAGTTCTTTCAGGTTGATTTCTGTCTCCTTTTGATACATCCCCAGATATAACCCCATCCTTTTCTTTTCCTCCTTTTTTTTTTTTTTAGAACTTCTTTACTCTGTAGCCCTACAAGATGTCTTGTATGTGCCCTAGAACAAATAATTCTGCAAAAAGTAATGGTTTCTTTTATTGGAAATTATCTTTAGAAATCAAAATCTGGGCCCTAGATATGCTTGTTGCTACTGGAATGTCACAACTTTTAGATCCTATCAGAGGATAGAGGTAGCAAACATAACTATGTATTCCAGTCAGTCTCTATACACATCTTTTTTTTTTTTGCTCTACTTCTATGTTTATTACATATTTTAAAAGACAAGGGTTCTATTGAATCTCTCTAGCTGTCGTCTAGCCCCATAGGGTTCATTCTAGGCTTCATTGTACTCTCTTATTGTATTTATTTATTTTGTAGCTTATTTCTCTGACAGCAATATGATTTGGCTGTGTCCCCACTCAAATCTAATCATGAATTGTAATTCCCATAATCCTCACGTTTCGTGGGAGGGACCAGGTGAAGATAATTGAATCATAGAGGCGGTTTCCCCCATCCTGTTCTCATAATAGTGAGTTAGTTTTCACAAGATCTGATTTTTTTTTTATAAGGGCTTCCCCCTTCACTGGGCACTCATTCTCTCTCCTGCCAACCTGTAAAGAGGTACCCTCCACCATCATTTTAAGTTTCCTAAGTTTTCCCTAGCCATGCGGAACTGTGAGTCAATTAAACCTCTTTTCTTTATAAATTACCCAGTCTCAGGTATTTCTTCACAGCAGCATGAGAATGGCATAATACAGTGAAAAACCTGACTCCCATTATCTATAACTTATGTACTTTCATCTCTACTCTACATATGTATCAGGTTTACTTTGTAACCTCGCACCCTATAAGAAGTAAATTTACTAACTAGAGTACAGTGTGTATGTAGAGTGTCACTTCAGGGCCAATGCAACTGAAGACTATTATGAATCTTCTATTTCTAGTTTTCTCTACTAAAAGCATTTGTTCCAGATGGCATAGCTACAAGAAAAGGGGCCTTTTGAACTGCCTCAGACAGGATATAAGCAGGAAATATTTATTAATATTATTAGTACAGTAGAAAAAGAAAAAGCTAGCATTAATTTTTCTACTATCATAGGTAATGGCATTTGTTTTCTTCAAAAATTATCCAAGTAATTGCTTCAAATATTCTCCATGATTTGCATATCAGGACACAGTGTGAGTGTTATCTCAGATGTGAGTGTTATCTCTGATGTTTGTGTTATCTAAACTGATCATCATTAAGCACTGTGCCATGAGATAATCCTTCTGATAACAGCCACTTTATGTAAACCCTCTTCAATAATCTTTAGAAAATTAGCTCATTTTTGTCTCCCGAACTACAGAGGCAATTATTTAGCAGAAAGTTCTTAGACAGGCATTAGAGAATGACAAATCAGATCTTGTGCTCTGCTCTAGAAATTATATCTGACATGTCTTTGGACAAATATATAAAACTTGCCTGTTAGAGTGTTTTTGAGGATTAGCGGTAATAGATATGAAACATTGTTGGCATGGGGCAGGTGCCCTGACATTGTGATTATTTTTTATTCTTATCCTTATTTTCACTCTTATATTTTGCTGAGGATACAAGAAGCCAGTATTTTCTTAGCACCAAAGAATTTACTTGGTGGGCTAGGGATTTACATAACTGAAGAATGAATTTATTCCACAGTAGGCATATCCACGTACTATGCTCATTAAAGGGCCACAGTCTGAATTCAGTCTCTGTATTGCAGAAGTCTTGAGTAGGTATGGATCAAGTACTGCAAAAAATCTAACGTCTCAGATGGTAAGGTGTCAGCTAAGTAATAATTATCTAGACATAGATATACATAGCAATTGTGCTGTATCTGCTGGGAAAAAAGCATGGCTGGTCCTCAGATGATACTTCAAAAAGATGTAGGGCCAAGGATATTTTTTCCCCAGAGGAAGAGTAAAATCCAAGGAGAGCACTGGTTCTGGAGTCAGAACACCCAGTTCTACTGTTTACTTAATGTACACCTTGGGTTGTTTTAATTTTAATAGACGATAACATTAATAATACTTTTTAAGGAAGTGTAACAGTCAAATGAGGATATACAAATAAATGCCCCATAAATTTCCAAGTAAAATATAAGGGACAGTAATTATTACATACCTACCTATGTAGGGTATCTCAACAGTACTTAACAAAAGTGAGTTTTTCAATATTTACTTTCTCATGTTGCATCTTTGCCTGACAGATTTGCGTCTAGGTCATAAAATATGCATAAAAAGCCATGCAAAATAGCTGCTTAAGGACATTGATCCACAAAGTGAGAGAATATCCTTTCTAACACAGAGAGAGGAAGTTCTAACACAGAATATCTGACATCTGAGAGTCAAGTTTCCAGTCTTCCCAATTCTTCTAGAAATGTTTTTTTCTTCTCAGAAAAATGACTCAATACCTGTAGAGCAGAAAAGATTATGTGTTTGAGGTAATAAGGGATAAAAGTGTTCCTCTGTGTGTGGTGTGTGGCACCATGTAAGAAGTTCCTTGTTTTACCATTGGATGTGAAGATCGTGGACACAGAGATATGGTGGGAAGTAACAAGACATTGGTTTTCATTTGTGAGGTCAACTTTCATGAGTGTCTTTCTACTCTGTTCTGTTGGTAAATTAACACCTTCTCAGCCATAGATGTGTAATATTGGGCAGCCTGATATACTCAATGTTAGAGCCAATCTACTTAGCTAGATGCCAATTTTCCATTTCTGCCTTTTAGTATCCTCATTATCATCGCAACCACGTATTCCTGTTGAAATTCTTTGTGGGGTGGGGGGAGGGGGGAGGGATAGCATTAGGAGATATACCTAATGTAAATGACGAGTTAATGGGTGCAGCACACCAACATGGCACATGTATACATATGTAACAAACCTGCACGTTGTGCACATGTACCCTAGAACTTAAAGTATAATAAATATATATATATATATAAAAAGAAATTCTTTGCTGATGAAAACCCAAGAATTTCTACTAACTAAAACAAAACAAATGCAAATAACCTCTTAGGACAATATTCTGTCAGTTCCTTCTTAATGGACTTTGTCAGTGGTATGAGCAATGAGAAGAGAGTAACATGTCATTCAAATGTAACATGTGAACAAGTATTATGATGTCACTGGTGTGTACCTTATCATCTGAAGTAGTAGCAGGCTTTAGTGAGATCATCATTGTAGACTGGTGCAACATAAAACAATAGTTGAAGAATGAATTGAGAGATAGTAATTTTAGAATGAAAATGCCACACATACTGAGCCAAGATTCAAGAGATAGACCTGCGTTGAACCTACTGTAATATTGAAGACATAGTCACTGTCCTTAAGCACCTACAAAACTATGCAGGTCACTTAAATAACTGACCTGGGCCAGGTACAGACCAGATATATGTATATGTGTGAGTGTGTGTGTGTATATACACATGTATATACATGTGTATATATGTATGTATATGTATATATGTATATGTATGCATATATGTACATGCATATGTGTATGCATATAATCTCCATTTAACTAGCTAGTTTTATCATACCATTTTGATTACAGTCAAAAGGGTATAAAGGACAAATTAACAAATCAAATGTATTTATGTAATGGTATATATATGTATATATGTATACTTATATACACACACACACACATACACTTACACATATATACCATTAAAGTCTTATCTAATTGATAAGAAAGCTTTATATCAATCATGTTTTAGCTCAAGAGCCTTTGAGAGGAAACATGATTTACAATCTACAATGGAACAGTAGCCAAATTCATGAAAGCATCTGTACTGGAGACATCTGTTTATGCCTAAATACCAGATGCTGTACGTGTTGACAATTTATATTTACTGAAATTGCCTAAACACGTGTACTTAGCTAAGTCGCAATACAGAAGCTAACAAAAACACAGAACTATAAATGTTCCTGACTCATGGATGGATTAAATGCGCTCCATCATATCTCTCAGGATATTGAGCATAAGGCCCTGGCAGGTAACAACAGGGTAGGGGAGATGTAATGAAACTTTATCTAAGCACCTAATGTGGTTGATAAAAGTAATTGAGTTCTGTGATTAGGGAGCAATAAATTTTTCCTCAACAGATAAGGAAAGATTCTTTGCATTACTAGTAACCACAGAACTGATAAGAACTTTGATGAACATTTTCAGTATATTTATAGGCATTCTGTGGGGGTAATAAAATATGCTGTATTCAACACTAGCAGATTAGAAATTCAGAAAAGACTGATTGACATGGTAGTAGTCATTCATATAGGAAAGAAAAATAACAATTTAACACCTCCCCTAACTTTCCCACACATATTTAAATACAGAGTTCATTTTCTCCACTAGTATCCTGAACAGCTATCCTAAGCTATTGATTTCTAATGGTGGTGACTTCAGAGCATTTATGTCTAATTGTTCAAGTTTTAAATAAGTCAGCTTTGCCTTCAAATTTGAAAAGCTTTCACCTAGATAATGAAACAGGAGGTAGAAAAAGCAAGAAACTATGGAAGGGCTATATTTTGGATAATGTCTCCTGGGTTACATAAGAAAAAGAACTAACTCTTTACATCAAATAATTTGATTTTGGAAGATTCTCAGGAGAATTATCTATTAAAACATTATCTCATGCATCTGTGGAACTGAACATTGTGATTTATTTTAGTTATAAAGCTAGTTTCAATTAATCTGTAAATTGCTTACAAAGCAACTGTTTTACAAATAACCCTTAACATGCCTCTCTAAAAAAAACTGATGTACTTAACAATATAAGACAGGAAATTTACACTCGGTGAACTGATATGTACAAACATACAAAAATGTTATGTTATGTGTTATGTTATGTTATCTGTATCTATATAACTACACGTATATTTATATTCATTTGTTGTATATTGGATACAGGGAAAAGGCCATTTATTCCAGATTTACCTTCTGAATTTTAAATAAAGTTAATTTGTTTTACCTGCAGTATAGCTTAACCTTTGCAAGTCTCTAATACTACAGTCTCCAAACCATGGACCAACAAAAAGCCTGAACAATATTCCTTTACTTGGCTTACTCTGTGTGTGTACACACATATGTGTTATCATAAGCATGTACACACTAATGTTTTTCTAAGTACTCTAGGTACAATAACTTTGATTAAATAGAATTAAACATTGAGACAAAATACTATGAAGAAATTTAGAAATATTCCACGTTAAAATAGCAATGTCAAGAAACAGATGAAAATCATTATATTTTAAAACATATGGTCAAAAAAATGTTATATAAACAGGCTTTTATACATTGACCACCATGTTCAGAAGAAATCCAGGAAAAACTACTCTAATGCATTTTGCTCAATCATGGTACATTTTTTGACATCCCATGTCTTCTCAAGAGGCTGAATAAAGAACAAAATAGCATATATGGCCAGAAAAGTGATTTTTTAAGCCTTTCTTTAGTTGTGTGGCTAAAAAATAAAAAGCGCAAATATTTGACTTTCGCATCTCCAGAATTTTCTCCAAGTTGACTTATGAATAAAATGAAATAAGAATGAATTCAGAATTATTACAATTTGTCTACCTTTTAAAATAAATACATCTGAGAAATGAGTGTATTTCTCTGCTTTATATAGCTGTTTCTTTTAGAAAAATAGAAATTCTGAAAACCTACATTTCCACATGATATCACAGTGTATTTTCTTTCAATCATTATCGGGCAAAGTGAAATTCTTGGCAATAATTCTGTCCTTTAGTTGTTTGTACTGTCACTGTGATGGCAGCTGAACTTAACACCCCATTTGTTTTCAGGAAAATGATGTCTTTTGTGCAACAAACTGGCTCAAACTCTTTTTCCCTGCTGTATTAATGTGTTTGTGTTCATACAAAAATCTCCATTAATGTGGTTGCTTTGAACATTTCAAGTGTCAGATTTTAGATGTTTATAAATTGACTGCAAATCAAAACATTACATCATGTTGAGCAGGATACAGATAAAGAGAATAGGAACCTGATTTTAAAATATTTTAAAATATCTATTGTGATATCAGATACATGGCACTGATTTTTATATACCAAAGCAGCACATCACTGCAATAGTTCATAGGAAATGACATTACCAGGACAAAAAGAGACATTTTATTTATATCCGAGAAGGAATGTGTTACTCCAGATGTCACAAACTATACAACATTGTCATTAACTATTAAGCCACAGTGATCAATCTGAGCTAATGAACTGAGAAAGAAGATATGTCTTTTTTGACTACTTTTATAATATTTAAATATATCTTTGGTTAAGAAATCAGTCCCCCAAGAGAGAAATGAATATTGGTTGAAATGTTCAGTTGCAAATACTAGAAGTACCTTAATAATCCACCAACAATGCAGGCATGGGTGTCTCCATGACAACTCCTTTTCTGTTTGTCCTTGTAAGTCTGACTTAGGCAATCTATCAAAGAGTTTCACAAGTTTCATTGGGACATTTTATAACTAGTAGTATCTTTAAAGATGCTAAAATTCTACAAATTGGAAATTTGTAGCAAAAGTGAGTAATGATGGAGACTGTGCCCTGGCAGCATCTAGCCACTTTAATGAAAGAAGCTTCGTTCCATAAGCAATGCAGATATTGGGCCCATCCAGAAAACACAAAATAGCTTGACATCCGTGACTTTATAGTAGCAGTGACATGAACAGATTTTCTAGGCCCATAGAGAAAAATCTTACCAGTCAAAGAGAAAGAACTGGATGAGTGTGCTAAAAAAAAAAAAAAAAGTGTGTGTGCATGTGTGTGTCAGAGAGAGAATGAATAATATCAGCATCATCACAACCTTATTTAGTCACACTTCTCTTTTTATATTGGGAATATTTTGAGGAGACCAACCTTATAATAGTACCCTTGTAGTCTAAAATAAGAATGCTTTTAGAACAAATATCTTTATCTTCACCTTGGATTTATGCCCTTGATGAAAGACTATTTTTCTTATCAGCTTGAAAGCTTAACGAAACAAATTAAACTATGTGTCTTGAGACAGTGGTTCTATGTTTTAAATTATTATTCTTCTATCTGTCACAGTTCACACAATCAGGTATCACAAACTGGTAGGCAAATGACTGAATTCAGGCCCTACAAGTCTTTGGCTTGACTGCCCATAAATTTAATAAAATAAAGCATTCCAATTATGCATTTTTTTTATTTGTTAAGACGATACTTCTTAGCGGTCTGCAAAGTGCATGGTATAAGAAAATTAGCAGATATAGCATTAAGTTAAAGCAGATTTACATTGAAATAAATATAATTTACATAAAATTTGATGGTTGCCTGCAAAGTACATGACATCCAATTCCTCAGTTTCCCTGTAAAAATATGTATAATTATCATTTTAGCTCATATTTTTACACAAATTGAATTTTAAAAGGAAAACAAAATGCTCTGTAGAGTCCATACTCAAACTCAATTAACATTAGTAATCATGATAAAAATAATAATTATTTAGTGTTTACTAAGTGTCATTTGTTATTTTCAATGCTTTAATGATTTATTATATTCTAATTAGGACATTATAATGAAAGAGATATATATATAATTAAATAAATAAATAAATATGTATAAATAAATATGTATATATATAAAATTTGGAGATATATCTCCAAAATACAAAGTGAAATATAAAGATTCTTTGTTATTGTTGAAGATCACACAGCTAATACACATTAAAACTAGAAGGAATCACGGAGAACGCCGTATCCATCCCCTCAAGCATTTAGCACTGTACTCCAAACCTTTTATCACAGGCCTCTTCACTGTAATGCTTATTTTTCTACTACAATCTTTTCCTCTGGAAGTAATAAAAGTTGCAAAAATGTTAAAGGTTGTCACTTATAATAAATGATAATCCCTATTTACAAAACTTAAAATTTACTGAGGAAGATTAAACAAAATACAATATAAAAGAAATCAGATATTAGATTGGATTTGACTATTAAGATCTAGACACCATGTAATTATTTGTTAATCTTTTGAAATACTGCAAAAACAGCTCTAGGTTCTGCCCAATAATTCATCCATAGAAGGAAATGAAAAATTATATAGAGGAGTTTAAAAGTGCAGTGATGTTTAATACAACTGAAGTGACCACAGGCTTAGATCACAATACCCAATTCTCTGACTATGTGGACAGCCTTCTCAAGAAAGGTGAGTACAAACATTCTGAACTACAGAGATCAGTATATATACCTAAATCTACAATGCCCAGACATTCATGAGTGTCCACATGTTATTCAGGAAAACATGTCCTCACAAAACAAACTAAATAGGGCAGAAATGATCAGTCTCAGTAATATAGATATGTAAACTTTCAGGCAGATAATTCAAAATAGCTGTCTTGAGGAAGCTCAACAAACTTTAAGACAATACAGAGAAGGAATTCAGAATTCTGTCAGAGAAATTTAACAAAGATATTGAAATAATAAAAATCAAGCAAAAATTCTGGAGCTGAAAAATTCAACTGACAAACTGAAAAATGTATCAGAGTCTCTCCATAGCAAAATTCATCAAGCATGCAAAAGATGTAGTAAGCTTGAAGACAGGTAATATGAAAATGCATTGTTAGAGGAGAAGAATTAAAAAAGAATGAATTATGACTACAATATCCAGAAAACAGACTTAAAATGGCAAACCTCAGAGTTATTGACCTTAAAGAGGATGTAGAGAAAGAAATCAGAGTATAAAGTTTATTCAAAAATAACTAACAATATAGAACTTTCCAAACCTAGTGAAAGATGTGAGTATCCAGGTACAAGAAGGTCATAAAAGAAAAAGTAGATACAACCCCAAGAAGACTACTCCAAGGCATATAATAATCAAACTCTCAAAGTTCAAAGATTTTTTTTAAAAAAGGATCCTAAAATAAACAAGAGAAAAGGAGCAAATAACACATAATGGAGCTCCAATATGTTTGGCAGCAGACTTCTCAGCAGAAACTTTGTAGGTCAAGAGAAAGCAGGTTGACATATTCAAAGTAGTATAGAAAATAATAATTTTAAAAACCACTCCAATTTTAAAACTATAATGTTGTACTTAGAAAAATTATCTTTCAAACATAAATAAAAACATTTCTCAAAAAAACTGAGAGATTTTGTCAACATCAGAGTTGTTTTACAAGAAATGTTAGAGAGAGTATGAAACTAGACCCCTATCTCTTGCCATATAGAGAAATCAAATCAAAATGAATTAAAAACTTCATTCTGAAACTATGAAACTATTAGAAGAAAATATTGGGGAAATACTCCAGGACATTACACTGGGCAAAGATTTCTTGAGTAAGACGTCAAAAGCATAGGCAACCAAATAAAAAATGAACAAATGGAATCACATCAAGCTAAAAAGCTTCTGCACAGCAAAGAAAACAATAAACAAAGTGAAGACACAACCATAGCATGGGAGAAAATATTTGCAAACCACCTTTCTAACAATAACCAAAATACGTAAGGAGCTCAAACAACTAAATAGAAAAAAATCCACAAATAATCAGATTAAAAAATGGGCAAAAAATATGAATAGAAACTTTACTAAAGAAAACATACAAATAGACAACAGTTATAGGCAAATATGTTCGAAATAGCTAATTATCAGACTAATGCAAATCAAAACTACAATGAGGTAACATCTCACCCTAGTTAAAATGTATTTTAACCAAAAGACAGCAATAACGAATGCTGGTGAGGATATGGAGAAAGAGAAACTCACGTACACTGTTTGTGGAAATGTATGTAAGTATAATCACTATGGAGAACAGTAGGAAAGTTTCTCAAAAACTAAAAATAGAACTAACATATGATCCAGGAATTTCACTTCCAGGTATATATCCAAAAGAAAACAAATGTGCATTCTGATATTTATTACAGCACTATTCAAAATAACCAAGACATGAAAGCAAGGTAAGCACCCACCAATTAATGAATTGATAAAGAAAATGTGGCTCATATACACAATGGAGTGTTTTTATTTATTAACAGTTCTTAATATACAATTCTACTATATGGCAAATATTTGACCACTTAAATGTAGTGTGCCTATTTGGTTTAATGTAATTTAATGTGGTCACTGTCATTTTCCTACAGAAGAGAAGAAAACATCATAAAGTTATCATTTCCCTCTCAGAGTTGAGATATTTGCAAACAGGTGGAACTTTGAACTAGAGCCTGCTGAAATCAATAGCTGTCTGCATTATTCAAGGAGGCCTGCCTGCCTCTGTAGGCTCCACCTCTGGGGGCAGGGCACAGACAAACAAAAAGACAGCAGTAACCTCTGCAGACTTAAATGTCCCTGTCTGACAACTTTGAAGAGAGCAGTGGTTCTCCCAGCACGCAGCTAGAGATCTGAGAACGGGCAGACTGCCTCCTCAAGTGGGTCCCTGATCCCTGACCCCCAAGCAGCCTAACTGGGAGGCACCCCCCAGTAGGGGCAGACTGACACATCACACGGCCAGGTACTCCTCTGAGACAAAACTTCCAGAGGAACGATCAGACAGCAGCATTCGCGGTTCACGAAAATCCACTGTTTTGCAGCCACCGCTGCTGATACCCAGGCAAATAGGGTCTGGAGTGGACCTCTAGCAAACTCCAACAGACCTGCAGCTGAGGGTCCTGTCTGTTAGAAGGAAAACTAACAGAAAGGACATCTACACTAAAAACCCATCTGTACATCACCATCATCAAAGACCAAAAGTAGATAAAACCACAAAGATGGGGAAAAAACAGAGCAGAAAAACTGGAAACTCTAAAAAGCAGAGCACCCCTCCTCCTCCAAAGGAACGCAGTTCCTCACCAGCAACAGAACAAAGCTGGATGGAGACTTACTTTGATGAGTTGAGAGAAGAAAGCTTCAGACGATCAAACTACTCTGATGTACAGGAGGAAATTCAAACCAAAGGCAAAGAAGTTAAAAACTTTGAAAAAAATTTAGACGAATGCATAACTAGAATAACCAATACAGAGAAGTGCTTAAAGGAGCTGATGGAGCTGAAAGCCAAGGCTCGAGAACTATGTGAAGAATGCATCAGAAGCCTCAGGAGCTGATGGATCAACTGGAAGAAAGGGTATCAGTGATGGAAGATGAAATGAATGAAATGAAGCAGGAAGGGAAGTTTAGAGAAAAAAGAATAAAAAGAAATGAACAAAGCCTACCAGAAATTTGGGGCTATGTGAAAAGACCAAATCTGTGTCTGATTGGTGTACCTGAAAGTGATGGGGAGAATGGAACCAAGTTGGAAAACACTCTGCAGGATATTATCCAGGAGAACTTCCCCAATATAGCAAGGCAGGCCAACGTTCAGATTCAGGAAATACAGAGAACACCACAGAGATACTCCTTGAGAAGAGCAACTCCAAGACACATAATTGTCAGATTCATCAAAGTTGAAATGAAGGAAAAATTGTTAAGGGCAGCCAGAGAGAAAGGTCGGGTTACCCACAAAGGGAAGCCCATCAGACTAACAGCGGATCTCTTGGCAGAAACTCTACAAGCCAGAAGAGAGTGGGGGCCAATATTCAACATTCTTAAAGAAAAGAATTTTCAACCCAGAATTTCGTATCCAGCCAAATTAAGCTTCATAAGCGAAGGAGAAATAAAATACCTTACAGAGAAGCAAATGCTGAGAAATTTTGTCACCACAAGGCCTGCCCTAAGAGAGCTCCCGAAGGAAGCACTAAACATGGAAAGGAACAAATGGTACCAGCCACTGCAAAATCATGCCAAATCGTAAAGACCATTGAGGCTAGGAAGAAACTGCATCAACTAACAAGCAAAATAACCAGCTAACATCATAATGACGGGATCAAATTCACACATAACAATATTAACTTTAAATGTAAATCGACTAAATGCTCCAATTAAAAGACACAGACTGGCAAATGGATAAAGAGTCAAGACCCATCAGTGTGCTGTATTCAGAAAACCCATCTCACCTGCAGAGACACACATCGGCTCAAAATAAAAGGATAGAGGAAGATCTACCAAGCAAATGGAAAACAAGAAAAGGCAGGGGTTGCAATCCTAGTCTCTGATAAAACAGACTTTAAACCAACAAAGATCAAAAGAGACAAAGAAGGCCATTACATAATGGTAAAGGGATCCATTCAACAAGAAGAGCTAACTATCCTAAATATATATGCACCCAATACAGGAGCACCCAGATTCATAAAGCAAGTCCTGAGTGACCTAAAAAGAGACTTAGACTCCCACACAATAATAATGGGAGACTTTAACACCCCACTGTCAACATTAGACAGATCAACGAGACAGAAAGTTAACAAGGATACCCAGGAATTGAACTCAGCTCTGCACCAAGCGGACCTAATAGACATCTACAGAACTCTCCACCCCAAATCAACAGAATATACATTTTTTTCAGCACCACACCACACCTATTCCAAAATTGACCACATAGTTGGAAGTAAAGCTCTCCTCAGCAAATGTAAAAGAACAGAAATTATAACAAACTGTCTCTCAGACCACAGTGCAATCAAACTAGAACTCAGGATTAAGAAACTCACTCAAAACCGCTCAACTACATGGAAACTGAACAACCTGCTCCTGAATGACTACTGGGTACATAACGAAATGAAGGCAGAAATAATGATATTCTTTGAAACCAATGAGAACAAAGACACAACATACCAGAATCTCTGGGACACATTCAAAGCAGTGTGTAGAGGGAAATTTATAGCACTAAATGCCCACAAGAGACAGCAGGAAAGATCCAAAATTGACACCCTAACATCACAATTAAAAGAACTAGAAAAGCAAGAGGAAACACATTCAAAAGCTAGCAGAAAGCAAGAAATAACTAAAATCAGAGCAGAACTGAAGGAAATAGAGGCACAAAAAACCCTTCAAAAAATTAATGAATCCAGGAGCTGGTTTTTTGAAAGGATCAACAAAATTGATAGACCACTAGCAAGACTAATAAAGAAGAAAAGAGAGAAGAATCTAATAGACGCAATAAAAAATGATAAAGGGGATATCACCACCGATCCCACAGAAATACAAACTACCATCAGAGAATACTACAATCACCTCTACGCAAATAAACTAGAAAATCTAGAAGAAACTGATAAATTCCTCGACACATACACCCTCCCAGGAGTAAACCAGGAAGAAGTTGAATCTCTGAATACACCAATAACAGGTTCTGAAATTGTGGCAATAATCAATAGCTTACCAACGAAAAAAAGTTCAGGACCAGATGGATTCACAGCCGAATTCTACCAGAGGTACAAGGAGGAGCTGTTACCATTCCTTCTGAAACTATTCCAATCAATAGAAAAAGAGGGAATCCTCCCTAACTCATTTTATGAGGCCAGCATCATCCTGATACCAAAGCCTGGCAGAGACACAACAAAAAAAGAGAATTTTAGACCAATATCCTTGATGAACATCGATGAAAAAATCCTCAATAAAATACTGGCAAAACAAATCCAGCAGCACATCAAAAAGCTTATCCACCATGGTCAAGTGGGCTTCATCCCTGGGATGCAAGACTGGTTCAACATACGCAAATCAATAAATGTAATCCAGCATATAAACAGAACCAAAGACAATAACCACATGATTATCTCAATAGATGCAGAAAAGACCTTTGACAAAATTCAACAACCTTCATGCTAAAAACTCTCAATAAATTAGGTATTGATGGGACGTTTCTCAAAATAATAAGAGCTATCTATGACAAACCCACAGCCAATATCATACTGAATGGGCAAAAACTGGAAGAATTCCCTTTGAAAACTGGCACAAGACAGGGATGCCCTTTCTCACCACTCCTATTCAACATAGTGTTGGAAGTTCTGGCCAGGGCAATTAGGCAGGAGAAGGAAATAAAGGGTATTCAATTAGGAAAAGAGGAAGTCAAATTGTCCCTGTTTGCAGATGACATGATTGTGTATCTGGAAAACCCAATCTTCTCAGCCCAAAATCTCCTTAAGCTGATAAGCAACTTCAGCAAAGTCTCAGGATACAAAATCAATGTGCAAAAATCACAAGCATTCTTATACACCAATAACAGACACACAGAGAGCCAAATCATGAGTGAACTCTCATTCACAATTGCTTCAAAGAGAATAAAATACCCAGGAATCCAACTTACAAGGGATGTGAAGGACCTCTTCAAGGAGAACTACAAACCACTGCTCGATGAAATAAAAGAGGATACAAACAAATGGAAGAACATTCTATGCACATGGGTAGGAAGAATCAATATCATGAAAATGGCCATACTGCCCAAGGTAATTTAGAGATTCAATGCCATCCCCATCAAGCTACCAAGGACTTCCTTCACATAATTGGAAGAAACTACTTTAAAATTCATATGGAACCAAAAAAGAGCCCGCATCGCCAAGTCAATCCTAAACCAAAAGAACAAAGCTGGAGGCATCACGCTACCTGACTTCAAACTATACTACAAGGCTACGGTAACCAAAACAACATGGTACTGGTACCAAAACAGAGATATAGATCAATGGAACAGAACAGAACCCTCAGAAATAATGCTGCATATCTACAACCATCTGATCTTTGACAAACCTGACAAAAACAAGCAATGGGGAAAGGATTCCCTATTTAATAAATGGTGCTGGGAAAAGTGGCTAGCTATATGTAGAAAGCTGAAACTGGATCCCTTCCTTACACCTTATACAAAAATTAATTCAAGATGGATTAAAGACTTACATGTTAGACCTAAAACCATAAAAACCCTAGAAGAAAACCTAGGCAATACCATTCAGGACATACGCATGGGCAAGGACTTCATGTCTAAAACACCAAAAGCAATGGCAACAAAAGACAAAATTGACAAATGGGATCTAATTAAACTAAAGAGTTTCTTCACAGCAAAAAAAACTACCATCAGAGTAAACAGGCAACCTACAGAATGGGAGAAAATTTTTGCAACCTACTCATCTGACAAAGGGCTAATATCCAGAATCTACAATGAACTCAAACAAATTTACAAAAAAAGAAACAAAGAACCCCATCAAAAAGTGGGTGAAGGATATGAACAGACACTTCTCAAAAGAAGACATTTATGCAGCCAAAAAACACATGAAAAAATGCTCATCATCACTGGCCATCAGAGAAATGCAAATCAAAACCACAATGAGATACCATCTCACACCAGTTAGAATGGCAATCATTAACAAGTCAGGAAACAACAGGTGCTGGAGAGGATGTGGAGAAATAGGAACACTTTTACACTGTTGGTGGGACTGTAAACTAGTTCAACCATTGTGGAAGTCAGTGTGGCAATTCCTCAGGGATCTAGAACTAGAAATACTATTTGACCCAGCCATCCCATTACTGGGTATATATCCAAAGGATTATAAATCATGCTACTATAAAGACACATGCACATGTATGTTTATTGCGGCACTATTCACAATAGCAAAGACTTGGAACCAACCCAAATGTCCAAGAACGACAGACTGGATTAAGAAAATGTGGTACATATACACCATGGAATACTATGCAGCCATAAAAAAGGATGAGTTCATGTCCTTTGTAGGAACGTGGATCAAACTGGAAACCATCATTCTCAGCAAACTATCGCAAGGACAAAAATCCAAACACCGCATGTTCTCACTCATAGGTGGGAGTTGAACAATGAGAACACATGGACACAGGAAGGGCAACATCACACTCTGGGGATTGTTGTCTGGTGGTGGGAGGGGGGAGGGATAGCATTTGGAGATATACCTAATGCTAAATGACGAGTTAATGGGTGCAGCACACCAACATGGCACATGTATACATATGTAACAAACCTGCACGTTGTGCACATGTACCCTAAAACTTAAAGTATAATAATAATAAAATAAAAAATAATAAAAAAAGAGATGAATATAACCCTGTTACATTAACCAGAAGCAAGCATTTAAAGAAAAGTAAACTATAGACCAATGTTCTTCATGAGCATAGATAGAAAAGTCATCAAAAAGTGTTTGGGAAATTGAATCCAGCAACATATAAAAACAACAGCATGTCACTACCAAGTAGAGTTTAGCGTGGGAATGCAAAACTGGTTCAACATTTGTATCAATCAACATAATTCACCATAACAACAGACTAAAGAAATATAGCATCATCCCTATAGCTATAGAAAAGATATTTCATAATTTAAGAATAACTTTCAGTAAAATAAGGACAAAATACAACTTCCTTAACCTATTAAAAGACATCAATAAAATTATTCATTAAACATATATTAAACTTTATGAAAGACTAAGCATTTTTCTCCTAAGTTTGGAACAATTTAGGATGTCCTTTCTCACTGTTCTTATTCAAAATTGAACTGGAAGTTCTAATGATTTCTCAGAACAAAGGATGCTACCACAATTTCTACTTTGGAAATGATGTTGACACAACCTAAAGTCTCTGTCGTTAGCTATGCAGCAGGAGAAAATGAATTATAGTATATAGTTAATGGTCTCCATGGATATAGATAATGGGAGTTGAAGGACTTGTTCCAGTTTTGAATTGGAGTATTTAGAAATAATAAGTATAATAATAAGGATACGTGAAATAAGTGATTAGCTGTATGAGCTTACGTAATATTCTGTATTTTTATCACATGTAAATTTTCATCTGTTGCTGGTGTATATTTCCTTCCAAGAAATTGTCTTTTACATTAGATGAAAACTGTAGTTTAAAAATTCTGTAACTATTCTGTAATTATCTAAATTCAAAAAAATATATATTTAACTACAGATTCTCCTTGACTTATGATGAGGCCATGTCCCCAAAAACCCATCCTAAGTTGAAAATACATAAATCAAAAATATATTTAATACACCTAACCTAAGATTATAGCTTAGCTTAGCCTACCTTAAACATATGAAGAACACTTAAATATTAGCCTAGAGTTGGAAAAAATAACTCACAGCCTATTTTACAATAAAATGGTGAATATCTCAAAAATTTGTTGAATACAATATACTGTACAGTACAGTACTGATTGTTTACCTTTGTGATTGTGTGGCTAACTGTGAGCTGTGGTTTGCTGCCACTGCCCAGCACCACAAGACAGTACTGTACCACATAAGATCTCAGGAAAAGGTCAAAATTCAAAATTTTGAGTATGGCTTCTACTTAATACATATTACATTTGCACAACTTTAAGGTCAAAAAGTCCCTTTTTGTAAAACATCGTAAATCAGAAACCAGCAGTACCATATATATACAATTCATTAGCAACTGATTTTTGACTCTATAATCAAGGACAAATTTAGATAATAGGTTTTGAAAGGGTTCAAGGAGACATAATTTTGAAAGACATTTCCAGTCAACTTCATTATTTAACATTTTCAGATTAAACAACATTGGTTTATGCAAAATATATTCAGAATTCAAAGTTTTCCACTCATGACTCTTTTTTTAAAGGCAATAACTTGTTTTATAACAGGATGCCACAGTGAGTGGAGCTGGCCTACTAACAAATATGCACATGTAGAAATTTACATAGATATAATCACTCTTCTCAGGCAGAAAACATTTATATGCCAAAATGCTATTAAACATAATAAATAGAAAAAATGAATTTGTAAGAATCAAAGAAGAATTAAGAAAGCTTTTCTGTTGATTGGTAAATTTCAAGCATTTTTTTCTTTTTTTTTTTTTTTTTTTTTTTGAGACGGAGTCTCGCTCTGTCGCCCAGGCTGGAGTGCAGTGGCGGGATCTCGGCTCACTGCAAGCTCCGCCTCCCGGGTTCACGCCATTCTCCTGCCTCAGCCTCCCAAGTAGCTGGGACTACAGGCGCCCGCCACCACGCCCGGCTAATTTTTTGTATTTTTAGTAGAGACGGGGTTTCACCGTTTTAGCCGGGATGGTCTCGATCTCCTGACCTCGTGATCCGCCCGCCTCGGCCTCCCAAAGTGCTGGGATTACAGGCGTGATCAAGCATTTTTTTCTATACTTACTATGCTAAGTTACATTATAATGAGAATCAACAATATTCCACATCATTTTAAATATTTGCCCAGTTGTAAAGGCAGTAGAGACTTGATAGTCACTTTTGAGAACTAAGGTAGTAATTCAGTTTTTCCTAAAATCTGGCTTGCCCAGGAGAGTCCCAATTTACACATCTTGTTTCACTGTAATTATCTGCAGCTCCTTACTTTACTCTCATGGTTTTATTAATAATTTATAAGGTCTCTTTAGTTGTGGACTTATATAACTTAGCAAGGGACCAATGGAGATCTCAGTATTGTAGAAAATATTCAAAGAATTGTCAGAGAGCTTGGTTGACTTTAATTTTTTTGCTTATGTTAAAGTACTTCAAAATTTTCAGTTATGTTTACATGACTGTTGTCTCCCCTAAACACAGCATATATTTTAAACAAAAAAAAATCAAAAGTAATTTGCTTTCTTTTTTTACAAAAAAACCTTTTAAAATGTAAAGTTAATATAATTAGGATAGAGCCTGTAAAATAGGGTCTACAGCCAATCAATGTTTTTAAATGATCTTGCTATTATTAGTCTTCTCTGAAAGCTTCCGCCTAGTACTTTCATGATACTGTTTTGAATTAAAAAATAAATGGATTAATATCAAATCTTTTTATTATATTCTCAATGTTTGTCTTTTTCTTTTCTCCTTCCTTTCCTCATCCCTCCTTTCCTTTCTCTATTTTGTAATTGTAAACTTTTTAAGCTTTATTGAGGTACAACTGATATAAAAATTTTACATATGTTTAATGTATACATTTTGATGAGTTTGAACATATGTACACACCTGTAATAACATAATAAAGTTCTAAACATATCTGTCATCTTCAAAAATTTTGATTTTTTTTGTATTTTGAGGGATGTGTGTGTGTGTGTGTGTGTAGTCAGAACACAATGTGAGGCCTACCTGCTTCACATATTTTAAGGTGCAACATACTGTATTGGTAACATTAGGTACTATGTTGGACAGAAGATCTGTAAAATTTAGTCATCTTGCATTAACACAATTTTATAACCATTGAGTAACAACTCCCCTTTTCCTCTTCCCATTAGCCCCTGGAAACTACCATCCAAAGAAGATATACAAATAAATGATCACCAGAGGTTAAAGGGTATTCAAAATTACTAACCATTACAGAATTACATAACAAAATCACAATGTGATATTAATTCATACCTATTAATATAGCTATTATAACAAATAAACAAAATTTAACAAGTGTTGGCAAGGATGTGGAGAAATTGGGATCCTTTATACACTGTTTTGGGGAACAAAAATTGGTGCAGTCAAGATGGAAAACAGCACAGAGGTTACTCCAAAAATTAAAAATTGAACTGTCAGATGATCCCGCAATCACACTTCTGGGTATATATACAAAGGAAATGAAATCAATATGTCAAGTAAGTATCTCTACACCCATGTTCATTGCAGATATTTTCAAAATGGCCAATACATAAAAACAACTTGCCATTGACAAATAAGAAAGAAATGCAGTATATACATATAATGGCATATTATTTAGACTTTAAAAAAATAAGAAAATTATAAACCTGGAGGACATTGTGCCTCCAGTGACATAAGCCAATTACAGAAAGACAAATACTGAATGATTCTATTTATAGTGAGTATCTAAAATAATCCAAATGCATTTCCCAAATTTTTATGAATACACTAGATGTTTCTACTTTCAAATTTTTGTGAACACACTAGATGTTTCTAACTTAGATTAACAACTAGTACATTAAACTGAAAATTTCTTGTGAACGAATGCTCTACTGTAGTAAGATGCTGTTGATGCACCACCTAGGTCTTCTTTGCCTGGCTTATCTACCCATCCCTCTGTCAATGTGAGTCTTTGCTGCTAGATCACAGATGCATGCCTTCTCTAGAAACTTGCTCTTGTGGAGTAACTCTACACCAAGAATTGTGTTCCTGAGCACCCAAACCCCACTGCCAATCAGGCCAGGGACATATTTTATTTGACATTATATCATTGTGGGTCTCCTTCTTCTGTATCCTGTCTACCTCATTCTGTTCCACATTTTCCTGAAGAGCATTGCTTTGGTAAACCACATGCTCCTGAATCCCTGACTCATACTCTGTCTGTAGGATACTCAAGCTAACATATCTACCATTCTCTGAATCACAGAGGTTCAAAATCCAGATACATTTTATATTGTGTCTCTCTTTTCCTAAACTACCTCAAATCAGCCGTAACATCATCTTGCATCACTTAAATTTATTTCATTATTCATATTTATTAATCTATACTTTTTTATCACTTCTGCTTTATTGTATAACCTCGTCTCAATAATATCATCTTTATCCACCATTTCTCCAGTACATTTTGACAGCAACATTAAGTTACTTTTATTTTTTATTATTGTTATTAATCTAAAAGCCCTACTACATTGGCTTAAAAAACAGTTTGTGTCCAAACATTCTGTTGATTATGTATTTCTTTTGTTAGATTGATAAATTTTGTATCACTCCTTGTCTTGGCTTTCATAGTATCTACTGAAGTACTCATCACAAATCAATATGTGAGTATCTCAGTACACTTCCCATTAAGAGATTGCTCTTTCTGGTATAACAATCTTGAAATAGTCACATCAGCACCCTCAGAGTGAAAATTTCCATGTAAGTGTCTGGATGACTATTGGTTATAATTACAAGTTGTTATCTTAGCACATTAAAGTGAGGGCCCTCAAATACATTAAATAAAGCAAGTGCATCCAAATTATCTGGGCAAATTATTAAAAATACAGGTGACTGGGCATGATCATTAAAGGTTTCAGGTAAATTAATCTGTAATAACTGCTCAGGTAATTCTAAAACACACCAATGTTTTTTTAAAATCCTGAAATAGATCCCAAAGTTCAAGCAAAATTGGATAGGATCAGTCCTTGAGCCAGTGTTTGCAAGTTAGTTTAGATATCATTTTCTGGTGATCTCAATCCTGTTTTAATTGATGCTCTTGCTGCTGTTGTCATTTTATTTTACCTGAAATCCATCCTTTATCTGCAAGCAAATTGCCTTATTTTTCATTTAAAATAGCTTTGAAACATCCTCATCACTTTCTTTCAGAGCCAATGCTACAATATGTCTTCTGTGTAAGGGAATCTAGGTTCTATTTAAGATAAGTTAAGCACATAGCTTGCACTTATTCTGGAGACATCTGTTGGGCACTGGCAGTTTAGATAGAACCCAAATATTGGACCTGTTGGAATGTGATATGAACCTTCTTTCTGGACACTTTGTATCCCCGTCTCTCAGAAAATTCAAAGTCCTTACATTATTTTGGTCAGATGGCTCCCAGGTTGGACTACACTCAAGAAGGTCCTCTACATACTGGAGTATACCTTGAGGGAGTACTGTCCAGATGCATTTTTTTTCTTTCCCATTAGAATCTTCCCATTCAAATACAACATGGTATTGAGACTCCAGGGCCAGGGGAATGGAGGAAAAAAGCATATAAACATTTTGCATTCCCCAGAACGAACCTGAGTCAGAAGAGTATATGGATCTACTACTAATGGGTGGACAAGGATCACTGCTTCATTAATTGCCCTGAGATCCTGTACCATGTGGTATTCCCCTGAAGGCTTTAAAACAGGTAAAATGGGGTATTACAAGGAGAATTACAGGGTTTTAGAAGTCCATGGACAAGCTACTCCTTAACTATGAATACTAGGCTCTTTTTTGCTTCCAGCTTAATTGGGTATTGGTTTCAGTTGGGAAAATGACTGGGGTCTTTAAGCTGTATTTTGACTGGCACTGCCATTCTAGCCTTTCCAGGCATCCCAGTATACCATGCTAGGGCGTTGACTTGTTTCTTGACATGTCCTGGAACATTGTCTGCATCACTGACCATTAGCAATCTTGGTGGGCTGTTCTTAAATCACTCCAGTGCCCCTATTTTAATCATAGTATCCCATCCAAACAGGGGGACCAGGCAGCTTGGTACTATTAGAAATTCCTACTGGAAAATTTGTTTTTCAAATTAGCCAGTTAAAGGAGGGGCAAAATGCCTGACTTTATCTTTCCCTTCCATTCCTATAACAATCATGGTCCTAATGGAGGGTTTTCCTGCATAAGCAGTAAGGACAAAGTAACTTACTCCTGTGTCAAAAAGAAACAATTTGTGTACCCATTACAACCAGTAACCCAGGGGTCCTCAGTAGTAATGGTGATGTTCCAGGACAGCGGCAGTGAGAAAGGCCCCAGGATCCTTCAGTCTTCATCTAGTTCCTCCTTTTGCAGTGCTAGAGTCTTGACTGACTGAGTAGGGGAAGCCAATTCTCCAGTGCCAGGGGTCATGACTGGTCCCTTCACAATGATGGAAGGAGGCTGGCAGGGACTTAGTGCAATCCTTTGCCCAGTGTTCATTTTTCTTGCACTTGGAGCAAGAGCCTTTGCTGGCATTGTCTTTATGGCCCTTTGGGTTTCCCTTGGACATTCTTTGAGCATTCAGGGCATTGCAAATGACAGCTGCCATAATATTGGCTTGCCATTTTTCTTAACTCTGTTCTCATTTTTCCTTCTCCTTGTCACAATTTTTATATACTATAAAGGCTGTATCAATAAGCTGATTTTGATTACTTTGTGGTCCCATTTGCAATTTGGGGGGTTTGCACCTGATGCTTAGGAAGACTGGCTGATAAAATGCTGTGTCATTAGCATCATACCCTAGGGAGATGAAGGGTATAAATTTACATATTTCCTGAAGGCCTCTTCTAACCTCCCATGAAATACACCTGCCATGAAACACAGCTGGATTTTCTTCCTTTCCTTGTGTGACTTCCCTGACATTGTTATAATTTATGGCCTTGGTTATCCCTTTTTTCATTCTTCCAAGGAGTCCCTCAAGAAACTGCTCACTTGTTCATTCAGACAGGGGTATTATAAACCCAATTTGGGTTGGTGGTGGGCACCATGTCTGGGTCCAGGTGATTGCCCTGGGGTTTTGGACAAACATATGGTCCACCTCATGGGGGGCAGCCTCAAAAATCTTTTTCTTTTCCATAGAGGTGAAACAGGTTGCCAAAATGAATTGGACATATCTCCATGATAAATCAAAAGCCAGAGACAAAGTTTGGAAACTGTCTGCAAACCTGCCAGGGTCCTCAGAGTACCTTCCCAATTTTTCCTTACATTGTTGGTTATCAGTTATGGAAAATGGGTCTTGCACTTGAACTGGCCCTTCTACTCCTGCTATTTCCCTGAGAGGCAATTGTACTGGGGGAGCTGCTGAGTAGAGTGTTACATTTTGGGTGTGTTATGGGCTTAGGGTAATTTTTTCCTCTTCTGCCTGGCCTTACATGGTTGGAGCATTTGGCAAAAGGTTATACGGGGCAGCTGTAGTTCCTCCTGAGAGACAAATGGCCTTTATAGGAGGGGTCATCCACAATGTTCAGCTCAGTCTTAGGATTTTCTTTTTGAGGGACAGTCTTAGAAGCTGTACAGATGAAAGGATTATGAAAGGTGTTACCTATAGTGGTCTGCCCCAAGGAGGGCCTATTTGTTTCAGACGTCTCTGAACTTAGAGTGTCTCTGACCTTAAAGTGTCATGCATCTCTGACCTTAGAGTGGGTATCAGTGCTGTTTTGAATGTTTTCCCACCATAGGCAATCGAATGGTCTACTATGATTCCCTCAGTGCTGGGATATAACGCTCAGCTTTTTGCGTCAGACCAAGTGAGATAAGCTTCTTCAGCCTGTAACCCTCGTTAAACAAGGGACCTCGCAATATACCTTAAACTATTAATGAAATCAGAGGTATGTGTCAACAAACAAAAATTCTGGGTTCTCATGAAAAAATAATTCATACTTAAAACAGGAGTCCTTTGCCCCACTATGAGAAAAGGAATATAAAGCAGTCCCAAAATTTGGGCTTACCTCCTGGCTGTCTTGCCAAAATGCAGTACCGGATAGAAGGTCTTGACTGAGAATTGTTCAGATTCTGGGCGGGTTGAACAAAGAATTGAAAAAACCGCACAAAAAGAAGAAGCAATGAAAGACAAGCAACAGAAGAACAGGGTAATAAAGGCACAGATTTATGGAAGAAGCGAAAGTACAATTCACAGAGTGGGAACAGACTTGAGCAAGCACCTCCAGAGCCTCTCTAATGCAATGCTCCCCAGGGTTTTTATAAAGCCAAAATAACTTGGCAGCACCCCCCACGTGCCCTTTAGAGGCCTCCAATTGGTAACAGCCTATGAAGGATTGGCCTGTGACCAATCAGATGCTAAAGTAGAGGCCTGGCCCACAGTCAATCAGAGGCTAAAGTGGAAACTTCTGTCTTGTTACTACAGGAAAGGATGTGGCCTGTATACTGCCTAATCTTGCTTAGAACTAGCTGCACCTGTGGTTTTTTTTGATACTGCCTTAACCCTTAGTTACTCTAATTCCCTATTGTTCTGCCTCAAAACCACATCCAAACCATATTAGATGCCTATTAAGAGTTTTATTAAAAGTCTTAAGTAGCAATGATTATGAAGTTTAACCCATGCAACAGCCCTTTCAGGCTTCTTTTGTCTCCATCAACACCATTTTCTCAGGAGTCCTTTAGAACATTTCATTTCAAATGAGTGGGAACTAGAAAGTACCATGTAAAGAAATTGATTCATAGAGATTATTTCAGCATGCACATTCACAATTATGGTGTGGATACTATAAAAAATACAATTGGTGTCAATATATGCCTATTTTTATTACATATTCAGAAAAAGAGATTGTCAGATAGCCAAATATACAGTATTTGGTCCCTATGACAAAACAGCCTTCCAAATGATGTCATTTTCAAAATATTTAGGAAAAAACTATATAACATAAAATACTTTCTGAGAAAAATATGGATTACATTTCCAGGGTGTATCAAGGGTTAATGGCCTTACTACCTTTATCCTGGAATAAACAGTTGGTATATTAAGCCATTTTTGTTCTGCAGCTAACTTTATGTTGTATGGTCTTGGCAATAATGTGAGGATGGAAGCTGAGTATCTAACACTGTCAACATCAATTTTAATGATTTCTTTTCAAATATCAAAATCACAATGTCAAAAAATTACAAGAGTATGAATATCTTTGCAGGAATGGGTTTGGGTCTTGTTTTACTTTATAGGAGTAATTTCATATCACTTCATGTTATAGTATTTCTTCCTTAATAATGTGCCCATAAGTATAGACCCGAGGTATTTTTTTGACGTACGTTTTAGTAAGTTAATAAACATGCCACCTAGCACTTAAAAAAGAGTAGGTGGAGGTTTCTGTTTTAAACAATCCTAATCCTAACTTTAATCATTTGCTATCTTATCTAATTTTTATTTTGGATTCTAAGTTTGTACTAATAGAGTTTTCTGAAATTTTTGTTTTATGTGTTAAGAATTCTACTTCCAGCCATAACTTACATGTACAATAAAAGCAAAGCATTAGATGAAAATCAAATATGAAATAGTTTAGTACAAGAGGAAGATATATTTATGCACACTCTTAAGAAGTATCCTGTAAAATCTACATATGAACTTCTTGAAAAAAACAAAAATGTGCTAATAAACATTATTCTGCGTGTCTAAATTAATAAATATGGGGAAATAAAGGTTAATGGTGCTCTAGGAATAAAGCTGTTGTTTGTGTTTGATTAAACTATTACTCCTACGATGTATTTAAATTAGCAATTGTATTCTACTGATTTGATTTTGAAGCAAGAAAATAGTAGGAAACATTAAGAACAGAAGGTGGCAGGGTTCTCTTGGAAATGTGTTTCTGTTAATGAATGAATGCACTGTCCTTAGATATTTTTTACATAATATATACAAAAAAGATCAGATTGTTATACTCAGTACTGCAGATATTAAAGTGACATTTTAATCACATTTGATTATGTCTGTATAGCGACATTTTGTTTTATAATTGTCAGATATACATTTTCCAAGTTTTAAGCTACTGGAAACCAAAAATATTTACGTTCCTACTATTTTCTACTAAAATATTTGCCAGAGATGGCTTCATATTTCTGTTAGAATAACACACTACCTACAGAATTTCCCCTTATATACTCCTTAAGGTTTATTTTATGAACTTTGGCAAAATGACATCTTTTATATTACTTTCTGTATTCATTTGAAGCAGCAAGAAGTTTAATTTCTTTCCAGCATAAAAATATAAAAATAAGTTTAAAATGAAAATATTCCTTGTTTCATTGATACTTGCCTTATATTTTAGTATAATTAAAGAAATGTTTGTAGTTTTATAGTAGATAAATAGATGGTATAAAATAATTTTAATGAAGGCTATTGGGAACTGATAGTCCTTCTAATTAATTACATTATTCAAGCTAAAGTAAATACAGGAATGTTAGTCTACATAGTGTTTCCATTAATTTAAAATTAATTCAGTTTTCATTAAGAGTCATAAGGCCCTGCCAACAGTGGTCATTAGCCACTGTTTTGAAAGACAGAAACCTCACTTTTCTTCATGTATGCTTAAAACCGAAATATTTCCATATTAAATGGCCAAAATGGCCAAACCTTCCATAAATTACTATTTTTTAAAGATATTATAGTCTAAGCTAAAAAGAATAGAAAAAAACAACAATATAACCAAATAACAAAGCCCCACTTCTGTTTTATAATGTGAAATAGCTCTAAATATCTGAGGTGATGAGCATTCTGCAAGTCTTAGAGGAAATAATGCCTAATCTTTGCCTCAGCATGTGATTTCTTCATTGTCTAATTTCATTCACTCATTTTACAAATATTCAATCATAATTATTCTTCTTATTGCCAAAGTTTAACATTGTTAAACCATAATCTAAATATATGATTTAAGCTGAACTGACTCCATAATTTTGTTTTGAGGCTAAAAAAAAGTGCAACAAAGTTGAAGAATTTGTCACCTCCCAGAGACTGCATATCTTCCCTTACCTAACGTGACAGGCAAGGTTATTTCAAAGATATGAATACAAAATAACTAGTAATGCCTAAATCTTTCTAAAAGTTTGAAAGAAAAAAACATAAACAACATTGGTTTATGTTTATAAGGAAATAATTCTCATATGCATACAATTATAGTATTTGTAACAATAGGCTATTTATAGGACAGTGGTGAATTTGTGTTTTGATACCAACTATTTTCTTTTTCCTTTTATGTGATTGTAAAAGTAAAATATCTTCATAGGAAATGGGCAAATTCATTGCAGGAGGAAAAAGTAATTAGAATTAATTGCAACCTTGTCAGAGACATAACTTACTTTTAATAATATAGTATTTTTTCATTTTATTTTGCCAACATTTCTACTAATCTGTACTTTCAATGAAATGAAAAAAAAATTCTAGGTGCCATATGCTGTTATATAAATTTAATATGTATATGTAAAACAACAAATTTACATAATGTACATCATTATTTTTTGTTTTATACGGATAAGAAATCTGACATAGAGATTAAGCCATATAAGCAAGGTTACTGAGTTAGTAAGTAGTCAAGTCCAGGACTGAACCAAGAGGCAAGTCCTTAACTTTAGAATTGTCCCACCACATGAACTGAGTCACAATGAGCCAATCAAAAAAGTTAATTGTCAGAGAGACCCAGTAGCCACTTAGTTTTAATAAGAAGAAGGTATACTAGCAAAATTAAAATTCTCAAAAGACTGATGAAATCTATATAAGTAATAATAACATTCTTAAGGAATTTAGGTGTTTAGGTACAACCAAGAAACATCCACACCCATACAATGTCAAACACACACACAAACACACACAAACACACACACACACACACACACACACACACACATTTTCTAAAGCTAAAACAGATATTTTTCCAATTTAAAAAGTCAGTGGATAAGCTGAAGGAGGCAGTTCTCAACATTTAGAGTTTATTTATTGGCTTGAAATATCACATAAAATTAATTTTAACAATAGTGTAGCACATGTATAAAATTATGAAAATTAGGAGATAACAGAGATGGAGGATAAATCAAGAACTGGTGAGAAAAATAAGATGAAGAAAGAGAAAAATTGAGAAGGCACAACAATTTTAAAATATTTTGAGAAAATATTTCTATATAAAATCCTTATATAAATATGAAAAGTCAAAAGATCCCAATGGATTCAAGGATGGTTTTTTAGCTTCTGACAAAATTCTGAATTCTTATGCTAAAGGAAAGAATCTTACTACACTGAAAGCAACTGCAAGTCAATAGAAAATTTTGTTAAATTCCCTTTGGCCTGTGCTCCCTGTTAATTCATGAACCAGGTGCCTCCCATCCAAAGTCCATTTCCTTCCATTTCCATTGGTCAAACTGATATACTATAATCTGGCTCAAAATTTTCACCACTTCATATTAAAGATGATTCAACAAGATCCAAGTATGAGGTTATCGTCTTGGGGTTTTTTCCAACCCTCCTTTTTTTCTCTTCCCAATAGTGCCTTACCCTAATATTATGAATAATAGGTCTGAAAAACAATCCTCATAGTATCAATCTGTAAAAACACACACGATCAGATTGTTAGCAAATCAGAATAAAATGATTAAAGCTGTAACTCAATACCAAGTTTCATTAATAGTTTCAAAGACACAATCATTCAAGAGGCACAGACAGAGCTGGGAGAGATTTGGGGCATTTAGCACGATGTTATATAATGTCTTTTCTTTCTAGATCAAACATGGTCTGGGTTAGATGGATAAATAAGATTTCAAGTTGTGAGGTGTATTAGCCATCAAATATCATCTTTGAATCAGATAGTTGCAAAATTTATGTGATATTCTTCAGTGAACTAAATCACAATAATCCATTTATTCCAGGCTTACTTGCCATAGCATGCTAGACAGGTACATTCTGTGAAAGCATTTAATAGATAAGGACTTTTCTGCTACCAAAAACAAATTAGTTTGAATGTGGAGAGATGCATTATTAATATACTCAAAAGAGATTAGATAAAATAAACTACCTTATTTCTTCCACAGTAGAATCTGCCTGCTGCCCTCCTTCCCCTGGAGTAACTGAAGACAGAAGATCGTGATTTAACCACTTGAACCTTACCTTCTCAATATTAAAAAGAAGGCCAAGTGAAATCTATTCCAACAAAAGAAGCGTAGTTAGGTATTAGGAAATCTAAGAAAAAATTCATTATGGTATCAAAATTCAGGAGAAAATAATATAAATATATTTATGTAGAAAACCCACTTTGCTAGTTCAATATACATATTTTTACTCAGTTAAAAATACTTTTCAACAATATGTGATGTTTTATGTCAGTTCGCCCAGGCTGGAGTGCAGTGGCGCGGTCTCGGCTCACTGCAAGCTCCGCCTTCCGGGTTCCCGCCATTCTCCTACCTCAGCCTCCGGAGTAGCTGGGACTACAGGCGCCCGCCACCGCGCCTGGCTAATTTTTTTTTGTATTTTTTTAGTAGAGATGGCGTTTCACCGTGGTCTCCATCTCCTCACCTCGTGATCCGCCCGCCTCGGCCTCCCAAAGTGCTGGGATTACAGGCGTGAGCCACCGCGCCCGGCCAGAAGTCAGCTTTTTTCTTAATGTAAGTAAGCTTGAGACTTTCCTGTTGAAGAGAGGAACAAAACAAGAATGCACCATGTTTTTACTGCTATTTAAGATTGTTTTGAAAGTGTTAGACAATGTACTCAGATAAGGGATAAAAGCAAAGGTAGATTAATTATAATTCAGAAGGTAAAATCGTCTCTAAATTTAAAATACAGGATTATTTACAAATAAGCATTAGAAGCCAATATAATTAGAAAATGTAGTAAAGAGACATATTATGTGACACAAAAAGCAAAGATAGTACATAACAATAAAAATTTGAAGTTATAATAGAAGTGAAAAACCTATATGTAATTGCAAGTAAATGAATGAGTAAAGAAATATTAGAAAATAAACAAAAATAGAACATTCTTGCTGGATATGAAGGAAAACCTAAAACAAACAGAAAGCTACTAAAATACACACAAAAAAATGAACAAATAGAAGCTGTATTAATTATGTCCTAGAATAACACTAGTTAACATAACAGCTACCAATTTTACCTAGGGTTATTAAACTGTTAGCAGTATCCTAATAAAATTCTCTCTAATATTTTCCTTAAACTACAGAAGTTGAATATAAAGTTTATTTGGAGGAATGTGAAAAAAGAATAGTTATGAAAATTATGAAAAAAATAGAACAAAAAGTATTATCTAGCCCAAACAAATAATAAACATTTTAAAGTTCTCTACAAATAAAAAGATTGCAGTATTAGTCCATGATTGCAGAGAACAATGAAATAGAAAAGAGAATTTAGAAATATATTAAAATGTGTATGGAGATTTAATGTGACTCCATATCTTTAATGGTCTTTTAAAATAAAATGAATTTTCCAAGAATCTTACTATATCAGACCCATATGGATAATATGTTTAGTTATAAAATATGAAATCATAGATATACCAGAATAAAATAAGCGATATTTTATAACATAGAGTGAGAGAAACTTTTCTAATAAACTTAAAATTTATAAATAAAAAGGAAAAAGGACACATTTGACAATACAAAAATAAAAATAACATACATGATGAACAGGGAAATAAAACAATTTAAAAATGGGAAAATATTGAGAAGTTATATAGCTTAATAATGATTATTAATAAGGGAGAAAAATCCAACAAATCCACAGAAAACAAGGTGGAAAAGAGATTTGAATAACTAGTGATTAAACACATATAAATACCCCTTAATATATGAAAAGATGCACAGATATTCATAGTAAGAGATGTGCACGTGAGACAGCATTAAGATATGTTTCTTGCTACGTTGGCAAATATCAGAAATTGGATAACATGTTTTCTTGGTATACTTGTCTAAATACAGATTCATAATTTCTGGTAAAGTTGCAAATTGTAATCATACCTGTGGATGGGAATTTGGCACTGCTATAGTTTGATCATGGGGGTGGATCCCTCTTGAGTAGATTAATGTTTTCGCTCTGTGGGGTGGGGTTTGAATGAGCACTCATTCTATTAGTTCTTAAGAGAGCTGGCTGTTTAAAAGAGCCTGGCACAGCCCCAGTTACTTCCTTTCTGGCTGTGTGATCTCTGCAAACACAGGCTCCCTTTCATTATTATTATCATTATTATTTATACTTTAAGTTCTGGGGTACATGTGCAGAACATGCAGGTTTGTTACGTAGGTATACACGTGCCATGGTGATTTGTTGCACACATCAACCCATCATCTACATTAGGTATTTCTCTGAATGCTATCCCTCTTCTAGCCCCCCACCCCCCTGACAGGCCCCAGTGTGTGATGCTCTCCTCCCTGTGCCCATGTGTTCTCATTGTTCAACTCCCACTTATGAGTGAGAACATGCAGTGTTTGGTTTTCTGTTCTTGTGTTAGTTTGCTGAGAATGATGTTTTCCAGTGTCATCCATGTCCCTGCAAAGGACATGAACTCATCCTTTTTAATGGCTGCATAGTATTCCATGGTGTATATGTGTCACATTTTCTTTATCCAGTCTATCATTGATGGACATTTGGATTGGTTCCAGATCTTTGCTATTGTGAATAATGCCTTGATAAACATATATGTCCATGGGTCTTTATAATAGAATGATTTATAATCCTTTGGGTATATACCCAGTAATATGATTGCTGGGTCAAATGGTATTTCTAGTTCTAGATCCTTGAGGAATCGCCACACTGTCTTCCACAATGGTTGAACTAATTTACACTCCCACCAGCAGTGTAAAAGCGTTCCAATTTCTCCACATTCTCTCCAGCATCTGTTGTTTCCTGACTTTTTAATTATCGCCATTCTAACTGGTGTGAGATGGTATCTCATTGTGATTTTGATTTGCATTTCTCTAATGACCAGTGATGATGAGCTTTTTTGCATATGTTTGTTGGCTGCATAAATGTCTTCTTTTGAGAAGTGTCTGTTCATATCCTTTGCTCACTTTTTGATGGTGTTGTTTTTTTTTCTTGTAAATCTGTTTAAGTTCTTTGTCAATTACGGATATTAGCTCTTTGTCAGATGGATAGATTGCAAAAATTTTCTCCCATTCTGTAGGTTGCCTGTTCACTACACAGGCTCCCTGTCTCAGCCTCTGCATAAATAGAAGCAATCTGAGGCTTCCACCAGAAGCAGATGCTGGCCCCATGCTTTTTGCACAGCCTGCAGAATTATGAGCAAAATATACCTCTTTTCTTTCTAAATTATCCAGCCTCAGTTATCCCTTTATAGCAACACAAACGAAGAGAGACACTATTCAGAAAAATTATATTTAGTATACTTATTAATCCTAAAACTCACATTTAAGATAGTTCCCAAGGAAGTCCTGGCAAACTATTAAAATTACGTGGACGTTGTAACCCTATGTATAATAATAAAAGACAATGTATAGCCAGAGTTCCATCAATATGGCAGAATTAGAATATTTCTCTTAGCCAGGCACGGTGGCTCATGCCTATAATCCCAGCACTTTGGGAGGCCGAGGCGGGTGGATCACGATGTCAGGAGTTCGAGACTAGCCTGACTAACATGGTGAAACCCCGTCTCTACTGAAATTACAAAAATTAGCCGGGGGTGGTGGCATGAGCATGTAATCCCAGCTACTCAGGAGGCTGAGGCAGGAGAACTGCTTGAATCTGGGAGGCGGGAAGTTGCAGTGAGCCGAGATCATGCCACTGCACTCTAGCCTGGGTGATAGAGTAAGACTCCGTCTCAAAAAAAAAAAAAAAGAATATTAAGAATATTTCTCTTAATTATTTTGCCCCATTTTTTTCTACTGAAAATATCCAAAATCAAATACCAATCCCAAAGCTAGGGGTATTTCTAGCACCCAGAGGTTGGCTCCATATTCCATACAAAGATTCAATGAAGCACTCTGTAACTACAGGAAAAAAGTAAAAACTGTGTCTATCTTCCTATGCACAGTGTACTCCAACATAAGTTTTTAAAGTAAATTTTATTGTATATGTTTAAGGTATACAACATGAAGCATATGTTAAATGATAAAAAGTGAAGACAAGAATATATAGTTTAATATCATTTTCTAAGGAGTATAGCATACATGTGTATGCATATTTGCATATATTATAAGATGAAACAAAATCACAAACTGGAAAATAAATTAGGTACTTTTGGGGGAAAGTGTTTATGGCTCAGTGGAAATAGAAATGGGAAGAAGAAATAGTTGTTTTTATATATCACTTGACTTGTGTATTGTATAATTAGTTTACATAATTATAAAACAAGATTAAATTAAATAAAGAAGAACCACTAGCAATTTAAAACCAAATTTATCTGAAGAAGATCACCGCCTATCAATTCAGTGTTTAAAGTGCAAAGGAAATACTCCGAACTAATTTTAAAATATAGTATTATGTTGGGGCAAGACCGATTGCAGTTTTTGCCATTAAAAATAATAGGGCAAAAGAACTGCCACAAAAATCTTAAACTGTTTTTTAATAACAGTGTTGTTAGTAATAATATAGAAACATGTATTTTGAAAATATAAACATGTATACATATAAAGAATGATTGTCAATGCAGGTGAACAGAAATGCAAATATAAAATTGAAAAAGTTATGTACAAAATGTCAGAAAAAATTCATGATGTATTTTCTCATATATATTTTTCCTTAGATTTGTCTACTGAAAATATCTAAAAGTTTACCTAGCTCAGTAATAATAAGTACTCCTAGAAATCAAATAGCCATATTTGCCAGTTCTCTCTGAAAACAATCAGGAATCCTTAGAGAAATAGTCAATTATCCTATTTGGGGCAAACTTTCAGGTAAATGAATAATATTTCAAGACACTATAAAGCCAAGGAGTTATGCTAAAGGCTATTTTGGAAAAGGACTCAGCACCAACTTTTAAAAGTTTCTGCTGAAAAAAAAATTGAGACAATTGAACATCAAAAAGAAAAATTACTCTAGTTTGTTAAAACATGTGAAATATACAAAAATCTATGCATTTATAATGATAGTAAAAAAACTAATTGATTACCTTTGAGGATACTTGGGGAACCATTCATTATCCTGAAAGGTATTAAGAAAGTGGAGGAAAAAAAAAGTTTTCCTGCCTTTCCTTAACAAACTAAATATCTGAATAGCCAAATTGTAAATGTAGGAAAAACAGCTGATATAGATAGAAGTTATACAGTGGTTTTAAAACATCTCTACCAGTTCTCTGACACTCCTCTCTCCAAAACATGTAGCCTAGTTCTACTCCTCATTTATAATGAACATAATGTGGTGAAAATGAGGGTGTGTGACTTCCAGGACTAGGTTATAAATGACATTGTGGCTATCTTTTTGTTCCCTCTTTTGGATCCCTTGCAATGAGGACACTCAAGAGGCTTTATATGGCTCACTATATATTTCCTAGTCCTTTCACTGGAATCAGTTAACAATAGTTACAATATTTTAAGATTATGTACTCACATTTAGAAAATACAATTTGCTGGTGTATTTTGAGATCTTCCACCACTGACATCTTGAGAATTTTGCAAGCCTTCTCTCTTGTTCATCAGTGGTTGAATGCTGCTTCTCATCTCTGCTCCTAGTAGGTCTTTTTCAAATGAAGCTCTGTTTCTGAAAGTGAATTTTATAGGGTGATTTCTAAGATCTGCTGTACCCATGCAAGGACCTTCTGCACTCTCCATTCGTTCCTATTGCACTGTCAGGACCTCGTGCCTGGATTTCCAGTCTGGTTCTCCTGGACTTTGTTGCCTTGCCAGCGCTCACTCTCAAGGTGGTTTGGGATTTCTCTTTCTTTATAATGCTGGAAATACTGTTTTTAGATTGTCCTATCCTTCGTGTTTGTGTAGTTTCCAGTAAAGAAAGTAAAATGATTTCAATAAAGCTACTCTTATAATCCCATGAGAACTGAAGTACAGATTTTACTGATAAAGCTAAAGCCTGGCTTCTTTAACAAACACAAAAAGTTATCTTCATAGTTATGTTCTTTCTAATAAAAGGCAGCATTATTTTATTAGAGGTAAAATGCTATACCTTGACTGACATTTTGTTAATCTATAAATTAAACAATTTAAACATTTTAAATCCACTGAAACTCTTCACATCCAGAGGCATGTTACTTTTCTGTGATTATTGAAATTGTTTATATATACTGAAATATCATTTTCTCATATAGAGTTTTCAGAATTTTATATTAGTCATTCTAGTTATTATAATATTATTTGCCACTCAAATTTTAACTAGTATAAATTTTATATTTTGCTAATACTTGGAAAAACTAATCCTTTTTATAATGGTTATTAATCAGCTATGTTAAATCAGTCACTTTATTAAGCTTTAGTTAATTCTAAATACAGTTTCAAACAACATATAAAATGTTGATTTTATTTTTCTGAGTTATTCCTCTAATTTCTGTGTATAATTATAGAACAAGTTCAGAATAGTTTTTAATGATAGTGTTTCAAGTGAACATCCTTGCTTACTCCCAAATTTTGGAATATAAAATGATAAATGTTTGCTTAAATTAGAAAATCTTTATCATGTTAAAGAAGTACAGGGAAAATATGAAATAATTTACCAGGCAATCCTCTTTTGGCTCCTCTTTAAAAGTAAGATTGAATCCCTGTTTCTAACCATGGCCTACTAGCTCTATACATGCAGATCCGTGCCACACTCTCAAACCTCATCCCATACCATGCTATTTCCTTGTTCATCGCCATTGACAACTACCCAGTACCTTTTCTGTTTCTTAGCAAGAAAATATTTTGCCTTTCAATTGTTGTGGCACATACATATATCATCGATATTAACCTGTTGAAGAAATAAAATAAATAGATTTCTTCATGGGAGTGGCTACTTCTCATCTGTCAATCAACATCTTGTTTTTGGTTAGATTTTCTTTAAACATACAAAATGAATACCCTGTCTGGTAACCTTGCTACTCTACGTCATCACTTTATATTAGTCGGAGCATAAAGACGATGCTAATTGCCTTGTTTATTTGTTACCTAACTTAAAATTATTGATTTTGCTGTGTCAGTAAATTTACCAAAAGCATTACTTATAATTCATCTCCATGGATATTGTGATAAAATAACCCTCCTAGATTATAGCAATATATTATGAGGAAGTTGAGAAAAGCAACATCAAGGTTTATATATGATTTGTTACAGCAGAAATTTTGGGGACTAGATAATAGAGCTTTTGGAAAGGAAGGTAGACCTGCCAAAATATCTTCTTGCACAATTAAAGTGTATTAATGAAAATCAAGCATTCTAAGGTTTATTTTCTCACTTAATTTTATTATATCCTTTTCATTTTCTGCCAAATATAATCATTAATTAGGAACCAGTTGTCAAACTCCAACTATAGCTCTGTTAATTTTTATTATCCTTTTTTTCTCTAGTCTGTCTTCATTATATTACATTCTGCTTTTATTTCTATATCTATTTTTAAATTATTTTTAGAACACTTTTAGATTTTGAGAAAAATTACAAAAATAGTATAAAAAGTTACCATATAATCCAAACCAATTTTCTCTATTAATATTTTCCTTAGTATGGTACAGTTGTTATATTTAATAAACCAATATTGATACATTTTTATTAAGTAAAAATGCATATTTATTCATATGTCCTTAGTTTTTAACCTGACATTATTTTTTGTTCCAATATATCATCTAAGATACCATATTAACTATAGTCCTCGTGTCTCCTTGGGTTTGTATTGGCTGTGATAGTTTCTCATAGTTTCCTTGTTTTTGATAATCTTGACACCTATGAGAATTATTAGTAATTTTGTAGAATGTCTCAAAATTAAGTTTTGTCTAATGTTTTTCTTAAGATTACCCTGGAGTTATGGGGATATGGGACTTTCTAACTTTCTGATACCGCAAGATACTCCAGATGCATTTTGGATAAATTTGCCCTAGTATGAGAATCAGCCATTTCTCTGAGGGGTCATAATTCTTTTTGTTAGAGAATGATGTATTAGTCCATATTCACACTGCTGATAAAGACATTCCCAAGACTGGGAAATTTACAAAAGAAAGAGGTTTAATGGACTCACAGTTGCATGTGGCTGAGGAGGCATCACAATCATGGCAGAAAGTGAAAGGCACATCTCTCATGGTGGCAGACAAGAGAAAGAGAGCTTGTGCAGGGAAACTCGCCTTTATAAAACCATCAGATCTCATGAGATTTATTCACTATCCCGAGAATGGCACGGGAAAGACCCACCTCCATAATTAAATTACCTCCCATCAGTTCCCTCCCACAACACGTTGGAATTGTGGGAGCTACAATTCAAAATATGACTTGGGTGGGGACACAGCCAAACCATATCAAATGATATTAGAAGCAAAGATGTGGACATTAGGCATGCTCATTGCTGTGACTGTTGTGAGTATTGGGTGTGTTTCATCTAGACTCTCAGCTGACAGAGGAAGAAAATATAATAATGTGTAGATATGCATATATCTGTAAATATTTCTCTATGTAATCATTTGAATTCCTAGTAAGCTAAAATTAAATTCATATTGATGTCTCAGGCTTTAATTCATTACCACAGTGTCATTCCATCTTCCTCTTCTTGCTTATTTGTAACTTCTCACTCCAATAATGAGAAACATGTCTTCTATCATCTGCTATCCATGTACTTAATAGTTCAATTCTGATATACATGTATGGATATGTCAGAATTGTTAGCCTGTATCCTCACGGTGGGGAGAAGGAGCAGTTTATCAAATGAAATACAGTGCATACGGGCAATTGCTTTTGCCTTTAGTCCTACAGACTCTATTCATTTCCAAAGGTACTTTGGTCAGCACCTTTCCCCTTCCCGCTTCAATAAACTTCTTTTATACATTGGTAATAGAGTTAGTTGTCACATTCTGCATTCCATCCTAGGAACTCCTGAACTCCTAAATAATTTTTCTTTAATTTGCATATATTGAGGTTTATACCTTGTGCTGTAAAATTCTAAGAATTCTACCAAATAAATGTTATCCTGTATCACCATTACAGTATCATACAGATTAGTTTTACATCCTAAAATAAACCCTGTGTTTCACCTAATCAATACTTTCTCCATTCCTCAAACCCCTAGAAATTACTGTTCAGTTACCATAGTTTTGGCTTTTTCAGAATTGAAATTATACAGTATGAAAACCAGGTTTTTTTTTCAGTTAAATATGCTTGTGAGATTAATTCATGCCTTTTTGTGGCTTCACAGTTCATTTCCTTTTATCATTGACTAAAAATCCATTATATGGTTGTATCACAGCTTATGTCTCCATTCGAATATTGAAGAACATTTTGTTTGCTTCCAGTTTGGGAAAATTTTAAATAATGCTAATTTCATACATGGGCAGATTTTGGTAAGACATAAATTTTCAAGTCACTTTGGTAAATACCTAGGAGCATGATGGAGAGTTCATATGAAAAGACTATGTTTAGCTTTGTAAGAAAATTACCGAATGTCTTCAAAATGGCTGTATTAATTTTTTACTCCAACAAACAATGAATGAGAGTTTCTATTGCTCTGCATCTTTGCAAGCAATTGGCACCATACGGTTTTTATTTTGATTTCTTTTTATTTTTGGAGGTGGGTGAAAGGGAGCTGATTTTAGCTATTCTAATTGGTTTATAGTAGTAGCTCATTGTTTTAGTTTGTAATCCTCTAATGACACATAATGTTGAGCAGTTTTTCATATGCTAATTTGCTATCTGTATATCCTCCTTGTTGAATTGTCTTTTGGATCTTTTGGTCAATTTTTAATCAGGTTTTTTTTTTTTTCTGCTTTCCTGTTGAGTTTTAAGTTTTCTTTGCATACTCTAGATACAAGTCCTTTGCCTTATATATATTTTGCAAATATTTTCTCCCAGGCAATAGCTTGCTTTTGATTCTCTTAATAGTATCTTTCACAGAGTAGATATTTTGTTTCTTTTTATCTGTCTATATTCTTAATTTTAATGAAGTTCCACTTATTAACTTTTTCTTTCATGGATTGTGCTTTTTTATGTGGTATCTAAAAATTCGTTGCCAAATTCAAGGTTTCTTGGCTTTTTCTCCCACATTTTCCTCTAGAAGTTTTATATTTAGGTTTATGGTCCATTTTGAGTTAAATGAAAATTCATTTTTAATTTACTTTTCCTTAAACATTCTTTTCTAAATTATTTTTCAAAAGATGACCAATGTCTTTTAATATTATAGCCTAGCAAAGTAATGCTACATTGAATTTATTTTGCATCTATTAATATTTATATGATGCTATTTAGCTAAATAATGTGTTCGTATATTATGATCTCTGTTAGACTGTAAAGTCTTTGAAAAGAACATTCCATCTTATATACATTTTATATCCCAGATTGTAGTATTAAACATAAAACAAATATTACTCAATTATGATTGCCTGTAGTTCATTCTCTACCATATATCAGAGAAATTGTTTCAAAAATACCCTTTCAAATACTAAAACAAAATACACAATGGAAAAAAAAAGCAATGCTTTAGAAAAGAAGCATATGGAAGAAAGTACTTGCTTTAAGCTTCCTCTAATTGCTTCTCAGTACAAGTTGGAAACAACTTTGAAGAGACTTTTTAATTTGCATTCAGTTCTAATAGTTCCTTTACTGATTGAAACTGTAACATTAAATTCTAAATACTGAATATGAGAGGAAGAAAACTCACCTGTGTGGGAGAAATAGAAAACCTAGAATGATATGTTTATCTAGAAATATATATATCTGTGTACAATTTTTCCACCCCATCTTTAAACCTTCTAAACCTCTTAGGAAATTAATAAGTAAGCACATAGTACCTCATGAGCATTGTGTGGATACATATTTCAATCCTAAAGAATTCAACTTAAACATAATTATACCTTGCCAGTTTTGAAAAATGATTAGAGCTTATAAACCCAAACTATCTCCTAAACTCTATAATGTAATAATGTCTCCATTGGAGAAGTGGACTTCTTTTGAAGTTTTATCTACATTTTTTAAATTATTTAACTAGCATACTGACATTGTACTTTCTGCTTTTTTCTTTAGAAATATTATCGTATATTGATCATCTCTTATTATTATTATTATTATTGTTATTATTTTTGAGACAGAGTCTCGCTCTGTCAGCCAGGCTGGAGTGCAGTGGCATGATCTTTGCTCACTGCAACCTCCATCACCTGGGCTCAAGGAATTCTCCTGCCTCAGCCTCCCTAGTAGCTAGGATTACAGGCGTGTGCCACCATGCCTGGCTAATTTTGTTTTTTTTTTTTTTGTATTTTTAGTGGAGACGGGGTTTCACCATGTTGGCTGGGCTGGTCTCGAACTCCTGACCTCAGGTAATCCGCCCGCCTCGGCCTCCCAAAGTGCTTGGATTACGTGCATGAGCCACCGTGACCAGCTGACCATCTCTCATTATTAATAAGAACATCACAGACAGGATTCCACATATTTATAAAATTTCATGTTATCTCAAAGGTAAGCCACTCTCATATTGTCCAAGCCTCACATATGATTTGGATAGGCTTCACAAAATAATAGAATAGATAATGATTTTGTATCAAAAACCAAATTTGGAATGGAGTTTGCATTTGGTAGCCCATTCTCTTCTTTCAATATTCTGGGAAATTTGTGGTGGTAGGTCACAGGATTGAAAATCCCACCTATTCTCATTCAGTAGACACCACTAATAACAAAGCACCCTATGGGGTCTTCAGCCAAAGGAAGAGGAACAGACGTCTTTCTTTATGTCTTTATTTATTTATTTATTTAGAGACAGAGTCTTGCTCTGACACCCAGGCTGGATTGCAGTGGCATGATCTTGGCTCACTGCAACCTCCGCTTCCTGGGTTCAAGCAATTCTCCTGTCTCAGCCTCCCAAGTAGCTGGTATTACAGGTGCCTGCCACCATGCTCAGCTAAGTTTTGTATTTATAGTGGAGATGGGGTTTCACCATGTTGACCAGGCAGGTCTCGAACTCCTGACCTCAGGTGATTCGCCTGACTCGGCCTCCCATGGTCCTGGGATTTCAGGCATGAGCAACTGCGCCCAACCCAAAGATGTCTTCTTAACACAGGACTCCATAAAGAAGAAATAATTAAAGGCTATAATGCTTGACACAGTTCACTTTCCATGATAATTACCCAAAAAATATTGCTTTATATAATGTTTTTGAAATAAAATTCCTACTTATGTTTGTACCACATTTACCACAGTAATAAAGTATTTGATTCTAATAAGTCTCATACTTAATTTCATCTACCCTTTTATCAGCAGTCTTCATTCAACTATGCTTAGCCTTGCCAAGGCTGTATTATATCTTGCCTCCTCCAGACAAGTTACAAAATGTATGCTCAAGTCCACCGCAAAACCCCTTGTTTCTCCAATAAATTTCAACTTTGGGCTTATTTTCCCACAATAAAAAATAACTTTTTTACCTGAATGTAGTTTGACGCATCATAACTATAATTCTTTCCAAGGACATTATGTTTCTGAAAAATTTGAAATGTTCTAATTTAAGCGGTCAATGTTGAGCACAGTCTTGGTTCTTTATTTCCAGTAATTAGAGCATTTATAATTTATACCTCCAATTTCATTGGTTTTTCTTTTATGTATACATTTTTTTTATCACAAAAGTGCTAAGCCCCAGCTCTCACATAACTTTTTAAATTTAATAGAATATCTTTTTTGTAACTTTTATTTTAAGTTTATGGATACATGTGCAGGTTTCTTATATAGGTAAATCATGTGTCATGGGGGTTTGGTGTACAGATTATTTCATCACCCAGGTAATAAGCATAATACCTAATAGGTAGCTTTTTGATGCTCTCCTCCCTCCCACCCTCCCCTCTCAAGTAGGTCCAAGTGTTTTTTGTTTTCTTCATGTCTATGTTTTCTCAAAGTTTAGCTCACCCTTATATAAGTGAGGACATGTGGAATTTGGTTTTCTTTTCCTGAGTTAATTCGCTTGTGATAATGGCCTCAAGTTCCATCCATGTTGTGGAAAAAGACATGATCTCACTCTTTTTATGGCTGGTTAGTATCCCATGGTGTATATATATCACATTTTCTTTATCCAGTCTACTGTTTATGAGAATTTAGGTTGATTTCATGTCTTAGCAACTGTAAATAGTGCTATGATGATCATATATGGGTATGTGTCTTTATGGTAGAACAATTTATATTCCTTTTGGTATACACCCAGTAATAGGATTGCTAGGTCAAATGGTTTTTCTGTTTTAAGCTCTTTAACAAAGTAATCTCCAAACTGCTTTCCACAATGGCTGTAATAGTTTACATTCCCACTAAGAATGTATTAGCATTCCCTTTTCTCTACAACCTTGTCAGAATTGGCTATTTTTTGACTTTTTACAATAGCCATTCTGAGCGGTGTGAGCTGGTATCTCATCGTGGTTTTGATTTGCATTTCTCTAATGATTGGTGATATTGAGCATTTTTTCATATGCCTCTTGGCCACATGTGTGTCTTCTTTTGATAAGTGTTCATGTCCTTTGCCCACATTTTAATAAGGTTGTTTGTTTGTTGCTTGTTAATTTGTGTGCATAGAGGTGTTCATAATAGTCTCTGAGGGTTTTTGGTATTTCATTGAGGTCGGCGGTAATGTTCCCTTTGTCATTTCTGATTGTATTTACTTGGATCTTCTTACTCATTTTCATTAGTGTAGCTAGCGGCCTATCTGTCTTAGGTATTATTTCAAAGAACTGCTGGATTCAATTATCATTCTTATGGTATTTCGTGTATCAATTTCATTCAGTTCAGCTCTGATTTTGTTTATTTTTTGTCTTTTGCTAGCTTTGGAATTGGTTTATTCTTGTTTCTCCAGTTTCTGTAGGTGTGATGTTAGGTTGTTAATTTGGGATGTTTCTATCATTTTGATGTGGGTTTTAATGCTATAAACTTCTCTCTTAACACTGCTTTAGCTGTGTCCCAGAGATTCTGGTATGTTGTATCTTTGTTCTCATTAGTTTCAAAGAATTTGTTGATTTCTGCCTTAATTTCATTGTTTACAGAAAGGTTATTCAGGAGAAGTTTGCTTAATTTCCATGTAATTTTATGGTTGGTATGAATTCAGGTTTTTTTTTTAATTTGCTGAGGATTGTCTTATGGATGAATGTGCAGTTGAGTTTAGAATATGTACCATGTGAAGATGAAAAAAATGTATATTTTATTGCTTGGTGTGGAGAGTTCTGTAGATATCTATTAGTTCTATTTGGTCAAATGTTGAGTTCAGTTCCCAGAATATCTGATAATTTTCTGCCTTGATAATCTGTCAGATAGTATCAGTGGGGTGTTGAAGTCTCCCAATCTTATTGTGTGGTTATCTAAGTCTCTTCACAGGTCTCTAAGAATTTGCTTTATGAGTCTAGGTGCTCCTGTGTTGGGTGCATGCATATTTGGGATAGTTAGGTCTTCTTGTTGAATTAAACTCTTTACCATTATGTAATGCCTTTATTTGTCTTCTTTGATTGTTATTGGTTTAAAATTGGCTTTGTCTGAAGTTCAAAAGGCAACCCCTACTTTTTTATGTTTTTCATTTGCTTGGAAGATTTTTCTCCATCACCTTTACTTTGAGCCTGTTGGTGTCATTGCATGTGAGATGGATCTTTTGAAGATAGCGTAACATTGGGTCATGCTTCGTTATCCAACTTGCCACTTGGTGCCTTCTGATTGGAGCATCTAGCCCATGAACATTAAAGGTTGCAGTTGATATGTGTGGATTTGACACTGTCATCATTTCATTAGCTGGTTATTATGCAGACTTGTTTGTGGTTGCTTTGGTCTATGTCTATGTGGTTGCAATGGTCTATGTACTGATGTTTGTTTTTATAGTGACCAGTAACAGTCTTTCCTTTCCATATTTAGCACTTTCTTCAGGACATCTTGTAAGGCAAGTTGGGTGGTAATGAATTCCCTTAGCATTTGCCTGTCATATAAGCACAAGAAATAGGGAGAAATCTTATGTCTCCTTCACTTATAAAGCTTAGTTTGGCATGATATAAGATTCTTGATTGGAATTTATTTTCTTTATTAATACTGAATCTAGGCCCCCAATCTTGTCTGGCTTGTGTCCTTTGTAATGATCTGCCCCTTCTCTCTAGCTGCCTCTAACTAGGTTTTCTTTTGTATCAGCTTTGGAGAATCTGATATCTATATGTCTTGGGGATAACTATTAAATCTCCATGAGAACTCACTCACTATGATGAGAACTGTATGGTGGAAACTACCCCCAGAATTCAATTATGTCCACCTGGTCCCACCCTTGACATGTGGGGATTATTACAATTCAAGGTGAGATTTTGGTGGGGACACAGAGCCAAACCATATTAGAACAGCACACACCAGCGGCTTCTAATCAGCCATCCTGGCCCCAGAGCTCCAGAATATCTTATTATCATTATTTTACCTGTGATATGGTTTGGCTGTGTATCCCCACCCAAATCTTATCTCAAACTGTAATCCCCATGTGTCAAGGGAGGAACCTATGATCCCCAGGAGTCGAGGAAAGGAAATGATTGGATTATGTAGGTGGTTTCCCCTATGCTATTCTTGTAATAGTGAGTGAATTCTCACAAGATATGATGATTTTATAAGTGTTAGTTTTTCCTGCACACTCACACTCTCTCCTGCCGCCTGGTGAAGTAAATGCCTGTTTCTCCTTCTGCCACAATTGTACGTTTGAGACCTCCCCAGCCATACAGAACTGTGAGTTAATGAAACCTCCTTTGTTTGTAAATTACCTAGTCTCAGGTAGTATCTTTATACCAGTGTGAGAACAGACTACTACAGTAAGTTGGTACTGCAGAGAATGGGTTACTGCTATAAAGATTCCTGAAAATGTGGACACGAATTTGTAACTGGGTAACAGGCAGAGGCTGGAACAGTTTGGAGGGCTTAGAAAAAGATAGAAAGAGGTGAAAAAAGTTTGGACTTCCTAGAGACTTGTTGAATGGTTTTGACCAAAATCTGATAGTTCTATTGCTACTGATGGAAGGGATCTGTTACCCCAAGTTACCTGCGACCTATCTGTACAGGTCTGTAACAACTTCAGTACTTGCCTCCTCAGAAGAAAATATTCGACTGAGGGCAATAAGGCAGAAAAAGAGAAGGAGGCAAGTTCCAGAGCAGGAATGGAAGTTAGAAAGGCCATAGGACAGGAAAGAAAGGAGGATGTACTTGGAAGAGAACCAAGCAGGCACATGAAGGTTAAAGACAGGGTTAAGTGTCCTGTTTAACCATGAGTCTAGGATTTTATAAGCTCTCCTCTTTCCCATGACTCTTCTACTAGGGTGGGCTTTCTGCATGCCCAGTGCTTTTCTTACCCTTTAGAATTAAGCACGCACAATGTGCTTAGGGAGTTATGTGCATGCCCATCTGAGGCTTCCTATTTTGGGTAGCATGTGCCCAGAAGATCATACTTTACCACCTTTGTCTCTTAACACGCATGCCCAGGAAGTGGCTTCTCCCTGGGGTCGGCAGTCAGCTAACATTTTTTAACAGGTGTGGACCATCAAGAAATGGCCTCTCCCTGGCCCTGCCAAATTATCATTTTTAGAGAGGCTATGTGGTAATAGCAAAACCATCACCCAAGATTTCTAGTGGGTAGTATAGGATCCCTCTCCCGCCTCCCTCATGCCTAACTACCTGTAACAATATGGACAATGAAGTCCAAGTTGAGATGCTCACAGATGGAGATGAAGAGTTTATTGGGAAATTGTGCAGAGGTCATTGTTGCTAGGCTTTAGCAAAGAGACTGGCAGCATTTTGCCCCTGCCCTAGAGATCTGTGGAACTTTGAACTTGAGTGAGATGATCTGAAATGGGAACTTATGTTTAAAATGTAAGCAGAGCAAAAAAATTTTGGAAAAGTTGCAGGCTGACAATGCAATAAAAAAGAAAAAACCCATTTTCTGGGGAGAAATTCAAGCCAGCTGCAGAAATTTGCATAAGTAACAAGGAGCAAAATGTTAATCACCAAGACAATAGGATAAATGTCTCCAGGGCATGTGAGAGGTCTTTGCAGCAGGCCATCCCATCACAGGCAGGAAGGCCTAGAAGAAGAAAAAAATGGTTTCCTGGGACAGGCCCAGGGCCTTGCTGCTTTGTGCAATATTGGGACTCGGTGCCCTGCATCCCAGCTGTGACTAAAAATGGCCAACATACAGCTCAGGCTATTGCTTCAGAGGGTGCAAGCCCCAAGTCTTGAGGTGATATTGGGCTTGTGGGTGCACAGAAGTCAAGAACTCAGGTTTGGGACACTCCACCTAGATTTCAGAGGATGTATGAAAATGCCTGGATGTCCATGCAGAAGTCTGCTGCAGGGGTGGAGCACTCGTGGAGGGCCACTGCTAGGGCAATGAGGAAAGAAAATGTGGGGTTGGAGCCCCCACAGAGTTCCCACTGGGGCATTGCCTAGTGAAGCTGCGAGAAGAGAGCCACGGTTCTCCAGGCCCCAAAATGTTAGGTCCACCGACAGCTTGCACCAGGCACCTGGAAAAGCCACAGACACTCAATGCCAACCCATGAAAGCAGCCTGGAGGGGTCTGTACCCTGCAAGGCCACAGGGACAGAGCTGCCCAAGACCGTGCTAACCCAACTCTTGCATCAGCTTGACTTGAATGTGAGACATGGAGTTAAAGGATATCATTTCAGAGCTTTAAGATTTGACTGACCCACTGGATTTCAGACTTGCATGGCACTTGTAGCCCCTTTGTTTTTGCCAACTTCTCCCATTGAGAATGAGTGTATTTGCCCAATACCTGTACTCCCATTGTATCTAGGAAATAACTAACTTGCTTTTGATGTGACAGGCTCATAGGCTGAAGGAACTTGCCTTGTCTTGGATGAGACTTTGGACTGTTGACTTTTGAGTTAATGCTGAAATTAGTTAAGACTTTGAAGGACTCTTGGGAAGGTATGATTGGTTTTGAAATGTATAAAGGGCATGAGATTTAGGAGGGGCCAGGGTGGAATGATATGGTTTGGCTCTGTGTCCCCATTCAAATCTCATCTCAAATTGCAATCCACATGTGTCAAGGGAGGAAACTGTAATCGCCATCTGTCATAGAAGGGAAGTGATTAGATTATGGGGGTGGTTTCCCATGCATTTCTCATGATAGTGAGTGAATTCTCAGGAGACCTGGTGGTTTTCTCAATGGTAGTTTTTCTTGTGCAATCACATTCTTACCTGCACTTTGTAAAGAAGATGCCTGCTTCCCCTTCTGCCATGATTGTACTTTTGCTTAGGCCTCCATAGCCATGTAGAACTGTGAGTCAATTAAACCTCCTATATTTATAAACTACCTAGTCTCCAGGAGTATCTTTATAGCAGTGCGAGAATGAACTAATATAAACTTTTTTCTTTTTGTGACTGCATGCATAAGCAATTTTGCTGTTATCAATTTTTTTTATAATGTACTTTTTCTTCTAGGTCATTTTTGAATATATAGCTTCCTGTTTTTTCCAACTAAACTGATGTTTATTTTATGTCTTGATATTTTTATTCTGTGTTCTGCTACAAACAAAGGAAAATAATAATTCCATGTCATATTTGGATGGCACTTTGCAATTTTCAAAATATTTTCACAGGAACCTTTTACAAAAATTTGGATAAGTATATTTATAACCTTTGTCCTATTGTTTTACCAATGTCATTAGCAAACCCATGAAGATTAGTAACATTTCCGTGGCCTCATATATGTTGTTATTCAACCTGCAGTGTGCTTCCCATCCAATCAAATTTGAGAACTTTAAAAAAATACATAAGTCTTCAAAGACTTTGATGTATTTAAATTACATGCATGTCAAGATTGCTTCCAACCTCAAGATTGTATAATTACAAAATGAGAAAAATATGCTGAAAATTGTTAAGATTATTTACATTATTTATTGTTTTCTCTTGATTTCTCACATTTCCCCACTCTGGTCATCTCCTTTCCTCTTTTTTTCCCCAGGAGGCAGGGAAAAAAACTGTAAACACTAAGTGGACAGTCATCAGGCTCTGTACATTCCCTTTCTCATATGTGGAGTCCTGGATGTTTAGTTTTAAACAATCATTGTGTTGTTGGTACTTGATGGGAAAGTTTGTATAATTTGGGTCTGCTTTCCTACGATTGTCAACATCTGTGGGGCACACTATATTGGAATCCAACGCATAGTTTTACAACTCTACTTGGATCTTAGACATTAGGCTATGTTTAGCATCCTACAGATATGAGAAAGTAGCAATTTATTACCTTTGCAAAAGTTTAGAATAATAGAAGGGTGGACAGCATGGATCCCTTCTTCTTTGTATATTTGAAAGGAAAGTTATAATTATTATAAGTCCATTAGACAGTATAAATAAAATTGAATTTACATGTTTTTATAATTAGTTTTTTAAAGATTGATGATAGGTAATATGTTTTTGATAACCTATCAAAATACACCAATATACAATGCAATCATAACCTTACTCAAGTGCATGGATTTATACATGGTTTTTCCTTTTGTAATTTGTCATGTATGATCAAAATCACTCCTTTTGGTTTATATATATTGGATAGGGAACATTTAAATCTACTATACCTTGGAAGCTTAGCCAGTGGTCCATTTTCAGTTCATGAAGTAGACAAACTTTAAAGAATGTATAAGGAGAAGATACCTCTGTAGAAAGATTTAAAAAGTGATGCCATATTTAATTAGTTATTTGCAAATGAGGTGACTATATTTGTGAATCTGATCCGTAATATTATATCTCTTGATTATTGATATTGTGTTGTTACTGACTAAGAGGTGGGTAAATGTGGAAACCTCAGACCTATTCTGCTTCTAGGCCAAGAAACTTTGAAAAATCTGAGGTAAGCAATAAAAGACAACATTACATTAATTTATGACTTAACTTGTTTTGAATGAACATTCTTATAATTTTTTTTTGTCTCTCTAAAATTAAGCCAGTAATCCTGACAGCAGTGTAGGCCTTCTCTAGCCAGCCATTTTATAGAGCAAAAATGTTAAAATTTAATGCAAGTTTGGATTTGCTGGTTAATAAAAGTTTGGATTTGCTGGCAATACTGTGTTCCTATTTCATCTTCTTTGACTAATGGGTCAACATTGCTATTTTCTTTACCAGTAAATTTAATAAACAAACCTAAGCATTTCTTTTTTTTGTTTTTTGTTTTTTTTTTTAATTATTATTATACTTTAAGTTTTAGGGTACATGTGCACATTGTGCAGGTTAGTTATATATGTATACATGTGCCATGCTGGTGCGCTGCACCCACTAACTCGTCATCTAGCATTAGGTATATCTCCCAATGCTATCCCTCCTGCCTCCCCCAACCCCGCAACAGTCCCCAGAGTGTGATGTTCCCCTTCCTGTGTCCATGTGTTCTCATTGTTCAGTTCCCACCTATGAGTGAGAATATGCTGTGTTTGGTTTTTTGTTCTTGTGATAGTTTACTGAGAATGATGATTTCCAATTTCATCCATGTCCCTACAAAGGACATGAACTCATCATTTTTTGTGGCTGCATAGTATTCCATGGTGTATATGTGCCACATTTTCTTAATCCAGTCTATCATTGTTGGACATTTGGGTTGGTTCCAAGTCTTTGCTATTGTGAATAATGCCACAATAAACATACATGTGCATGTGTCTTTATAGCAGCATGATTTATAGTCCTTGGGGTATATACCCAGTAATGGGATGGCTGGGTCAAATGGTATTTCCAGTTTTAGATCCCTGAGGAATCACCACACTGACTTCCACAATGGTTGAACTAGTTTACAGTCCCACCAACAGTGTAAAAGTGTTCCTATTTCTCCACATCCTCTCCAGCACCTGTTGTTTCCTGACTTTTGAATGATTGCCGTTCTAACTGGTGTGAGATGGTATCTCATTGTGGTTTTGATTTGCATTTCTCTGATGGCCAGTGATGATGAGCATTTTTTCATGTGTTTTTTGGCTGCATAAATGTCTTCTTTTGAGAAGTGTCTGTTCATATCCTTTGCCCACTTTTTGATGGGGTTGTTTGTTGTTTTCCTGTAAATTTGTTGGAGTTCATTGTAGATTCTGGATATTAGCCCTTTGTCAGATAAGTAGGTTGTGAAAATTTTCTCCCATTTTGTAGGTTGCCTGTTCACTCTGATGGTAGTTTCTTTTGCTGTGCAGAAGCTCTTTAGTTTCATTAGATCCCATTTGTCAATTTTGTCTTTTGTTGCCATTGCTTTTGGTGTTTTAGACATGAAGTCCTTGCCCATGCCTATGTCCTGAATGGTAATGCCTAGGTTTTCTTCTAGGGTTTTTATGGTTTTAGGTCTAACGTTTAAGTCTTTAATCCATCTTGAATTGATTTTGGTATAAGGTGTAAGGAAGGGATCCAGTTTCAGCTTTCTACATATGGCTAGCCAGTTTTCCCAGCACCATTTATTAAATAGGGAATCCTTTCCCCATTGCTTGTTTTTCTCAGGTTTGTCAAAGATCAGATAGTTGTAGATATGCGGCGTTATTTCTGAGGGCCCTGTTCTGTTCCATTGATCTATATCTCTGTTTTGGTACCAGTACTGTGCTGTTTTGGTTACTGTAGCCTTGTAGTATAGTTTGAAGTCAGGTAGTGTGATGCCTCCAGCTTTGTTCTTTTGGCTTAGGATTGACTTGGCGATGCGGGCTCTTTTTTGGTTCCATATGAACTTTAAAGTAGTTTTTTCCAATTCTGTGAAGAAAGGCATTGGTAGCTTGATGGGGATGGCATTGAATCTGTAAATTACCTTGGGCAGTATGGCCATTTTCACGATATTGATTCTTCCTACTCATGAGCATGGAATGTTCTTCCATTTGTTTGTATCCTCCTTTATTTCTTTGAGCAGTGGTTTGTAGTTCTCCTTGAAGAGGCCCTTCACATCCCTTGTAAGTTGGATTCCTAGGTATTTTATTCTCTTTGAAGCAATTGTGAATGGGAGTTCACTCATGATTTGGCTCTCTGTTTGTCTGTTGTTGGTGTATACGAATGCTTGTGATTTTTGTACATTGATTTTGTATCCTGAGACTTTGCTGAAGTTGCTTATCAGCTTAAGGAGATTTTGGGCTGAGACAATGGGGTTTTCTAAATATACAATCATGTCGTCTGCAAACAGGGACAATTTGACTTCCTCTTTTCCTAATTGAATATCCTTTATTTCCTTCTCCTGCCTAATTGCCCTGGCCAGAACTTCCAACACTATGTTGAATAGGAGTGGTGAGAGAGGGCATCCCTATCTTGTGCTAGTTTTCAAAGGGAATGCTTCCAGTTTTTGCCCATTCAGTATGATATTGGCTGTGGGTTTGTCATAGATAGCTCTTATTATTTTGAAATACGTCCCATCAATACCTAATTTATTGAGAGTTTTTAGCATGAAGGGTTGTTGAATTTTGTCAAAGGCTTTTTCTGCATCTATTGAGATAATCATGTGGTTTTTGTCTTTGGCTCTGTTTATATGCTGGATTACATTTATTGATTTGCATATATTGAACCAGCCTTGCATCCCAGGGATGAAGCCCACTTGATCATGGTGGATAAGCTTTTTGATGTGCTGCTGGATTTGTTTTGCCAGTATTTTATTGAGGATTTTTGCATCAATGTTCATCAAGGATATTGGTCTAAAATTCTCTTTTTTTGTTGTGTCTCTGCCTAGCATTTGTTAAAGCAAATTTTAAAAAGCTGGAAGAGATAAAAAGATATAATTGTAAGATAAAAAGTTAATTCCCAATACAAATTCAGATTATCAGAAAGATGGGTACATACATTCCTTATTATGCTACCACACAGGGTAGTGTTATCTAGGCTCAGTCATGATTGAAGACCTAGGGCTAAGTCTCTTAACCATCTGCCAAACTAAACTTTCCTATATAAGTAAGATATAAATAACAGTTCTATTCTATCTGTCTGTGTTCTTCTCTGTGGTTTCGAAATTGTCTCTGTTTCCATCTAGATCACCCACTTCACTCCTATAAGGTTTCACATTTTGATAAAGATTAGTTGTATACTATTTCAGAGTTTACTTATTGCATATGCATGTATTAATTTAAATGAACTTTGTGAATATGGGTAAGGAAAGTATTATTAGTTCCTTTTTATAGCTGAGCAAAATCCATGTTCAGGAAGATTAAATATCTTCAATGAAATTAGACAGCAAGTAAGCAGAAGAACTAAAAGACAAATGTTTCTCAATTTTATCATCCTTCTATTAGTTTTCCTACAAATATATGTGTTTTTCTTGTACTTGATGGTACATAAAAAACAACATTCACTAAGGTTTAAAATAGAAGTATTTCAATTGATCACAGAGGTTTTACTTTCTATGGTTTTGCACTAATTTTAGTGAGAGTAAGAACCAAAAAATTATATTTAATATAATTTTGTCACTGTTAACACAGAAATATTTAACTGCCCATGTAAAGCTTAGTTCAGCGTAGATTTTTTTGGTATTATGACCTATTCAAAGCATTCATTTTATTAATATATTCAAATTATGTTATTACTTTTCCATCTTTACCTAAGTAAATGGAAGAAGAATATTTGGGAAGAACAGTGTAACTAGAGTGATACACCATTTAAGTGCTCAAATTCAGTATATAGTAGAGAAAAAAGAAACAAGAACTAGAAAGACAAGATAAATGAAAATGAACTGGGCAATTGAAGCTGAAAAATAAAGAAATAATAAATAGGACAATTAGCCGGTGTAACTTCATGCTGTTTTGTCATTAACTATTGTGATTTGAAGAGTTCCTTTGACATTTGTCTAAGGAAAACAGCTATTTTGGGCATTCAAAGTCAGTTAACTGTTCCAGGATACAAACAAAGAACTAAGAGAAAACAACAATTTGAACATTAGCCATTTTAAGGTCACTAAGCTCACACGCCCCTTTCTTTCATTTGTTTCATTTATCAGGGTCACTTAAATCTAAATCGAAATAATAACTATATTCAACACAGAAAACTGTACACACACATTGCCTATAAATATTTGTGGTTTTGGCAGGAGTGGAAATGTGGGAAAAATTGTGAGAGCCCCTTGAGTTTCCTAGGCTTTTAAGTTTTTTTGTGAATGTTGGAGAATCTAATACTTTTAAATAGTACAAAGGTGGTTGACGAAGGTGGTTTTCCTCTTGGCAACCCCTCACCAGGTCAAAGTCTAAAACAAAGTCAAGCATGGGAACTGGAGGCAAGTAAGAGGAGGTCTGATTAGTTACTTAGCAATGAATCATGAGGCAGTAAAAAGGGAAGTTTCTTTTTTAGCATTCTTCAGAGGACAACCCAAATAATCATTCTCATTAAATATTCTTAATGATTTTTTTCATGAATTTTCCCAGATGTTTCATATCTTAAAAGAATTTGCTTCACTAGCATAAGTTGATAGATAGTATTTGCATGAAAAGAGCTACATGCTATAAAATATTTTTTAAAAAACTAAAAAAAAATTATATTTGGGTTAAGTAAAATATGAGTTTATATATTCAAAAATGCACGCAGTCGTACATTGAGAAAATATGTAGTTATATGTGAAAAATTGCACCTGTGAAGATTTAGAACTTTGGTGACAGTGCCCTTTTCTAAATCGTTACCTTTCTTAGAAATATAGTACAATATATTCTTAATGAAATATTATTTCTCAATGGTAACACATGATCAAAGTTTGATCTTTGTAATATATTGAAAACTACAAATTACACTTATACCCTAAAATAGGGCATTTCCAATAAACATTTGAACTACACTGCCACTCATGTCGCATACTCAAAGTTAATAGTATTAAATAATATTACATTATCCAATTCTGAGTCTGTCCCAAGAAATTAGAAGGGCTTTAAACTTTTTTTCTCAGTTTTCCTTCTCTTCATCACAGATACAGTAGCTTACAATTAGCTTTATAGTTTCAGCCTTTAGTGGTAGAGCCTGGAAATTTTTAGAACTCTAACTTGAGAATTAGTGATGAAACAAAGCATTTAAAAATAAGCCCCTCTTTCTTGTATTATTGAAAACTATTTTATTATCTGTTCTGTACTTTGCTCTTCTTCTCTGGGGATATAAAGCTATGTGACACTGTTAGAGAGCATTCCCAAAACTACTTTATTTCCTATACATTTACGATAATCTATCTCTTACTTTATTATATAATGGCTTTTATGGGCTTTTTTTTCCTTCAGGGTTTTCAAATTGTATATAAAATACACTATTTCTTAAGGACATTGATAGATGTGACAAATTATGAATTCCTTTGTGAAATGAGTTTATAAATATGCATTTTAAAAAGTTGAACAGATTTCCTGATTCCAGATATCTTAGAATTTATAGTGTGAGCAAGATGTTCTCCAAGAAAAGATGTAGCATGCTAGTATGTAAATTATTCACTGGAATTTTTCATGTAGTTCAACCCAGGATTGAGAAGACTGGTCATAAGATTTTCGGGCAAGCTATTTGTTGTTATTGTTATACCTCACACTTAGCTAATAGAATCATATCACTTTCCTCTCTGATTATTTTTTGCTCAAAAGAAAAAATATATATAAAACAAAATAGGTTTTATTATAGAAAAATACAGTCATTAATTGAAGTTAACCAAGATGCTGAATTTTTTTAATTCCACAGGGAACTTTATAGCAGCTAGAACAGATTTTAATAAAGCTTAGCAATTTCTCTTTATTTTCTTGAGAGAACTTTAACTTCTTCAAGAGAATATAAATAATCATGGCAAATTGTTTAACAGATGGTGGGTGGAGCAGGAGTGATAGCAGTAAAGATGGAGAAAAGTTTATGTTTTGAAGATTTGTTCTATAGAACAAATGATAAAATGTGGGAAGTTATAAAGACATAATTATTGATGAAGGCTGTTTGTGTTTAAAATAATTAGTGGCAAATTATAAAGGTAATTCAGGTTTACATAGGATGATCAAGAATTTACGTTTGCACATTTTGAACCTATCAAAAACATTGACTTTTATAAATAGGAAGACCATCCAAAAGATTAGGACTAGAGAGGTAAATTTGAAAACATCAATATATAGATGTTCTTATAAAAATTGAATTTAAATCCGTGGGAGTAGTTACGTCTTACTAGGTGGACAATATATAGAAATGATTTTTTAAAAAGGCTTTAGAACTGAGTCCTGAAAATGAAAGATATTCTGTGTTCATGGATTGGAATAATTAATATTGTTAAAATATCCATAAAGCCCAAAATGGTCTACCATTTGAATGCAACTTCTATCAAAATTTCAGTGACATTCTTCACAGAAATAGAAAAAGTAGTTCTAAAATTCATACAAAAGGCATAAAATACCTTGAATAACTAAAGCAGTCTTGAGCAAAATAAACAAAGGAATCACACTACCTGACTGAAAAACATACTGCAAAGCTCTAATAGTCAAAACAACATGATACTGATATAAAAAGCAGATACATAGACCAATGAAACAGATTTAAAAGCCCATAAATAAATTCATACATTTATAGAAAACTACATTCAACAAAGGCAAAAAGAATACACAATGGGAAAAGGACATTTTCTTCAATAAACTGTGTTGAGAAAACTGGATATTCCCATGTAGAAGAATAAAATTAGGCCCTTATTTCAGACGATATACAATAAACAACTCAAAGTGGATTAGAGACTTAAAATTTACACTTGATACTATGAAACTCCTGGGGAAAAAACATAAGGGAAAAAAACCCATGATATTTTTCTGGGTAATAACATTTGGATATGATCTCAAAAGTACAGGCAACCAAAGCAAAAATAGACAAATGGGATTACATCAAACTAAAAAGCTTCTGCACATCAAAGGAAATAATCAATTTAATGAAAAGACAGCTTACAGAATGGGAGAAAATATTTGTAAACTAGATATCTAATTAGTGGTGACTTTCCAAAATATATAAGGAACTCAAACCTAATAACAAAACAGCATGATTTAAAAATGAGCAGAGGAACAGAATATATATTTCTCAAAAGAAAACATACAATTGGCCAAAAGGTATACGGAAAAGTGCTCAGCATCACCAATTATCAGAGAAATGCAAATTGAAATCGTAGTGAGCTATCACCTCACACAAATTAGAATGGCTATTACCAATAGGATAAAAGACCATAAGTGTATGAGAGGATGAGAAGAAGGAACGCCTTCACAGTGTTGGTGGGAATGTAAATCAGTACAGTCATTAGAGAAAACAGTATGGAGTTTCCTCAAAAAATTAAAAGTAGAAATATTATATAATATAGTAATTTCACTACTGGGAATATATCCAAAGGAAATGAAATCAGTATGTGGAAGAGATGTCTGCACTTCCATGTTTATTGCGGTATTATTCACAATAGCCAATATATGGAATCAAACTATGTAGCAATCAATAGAGGAACTCACTTAAAAAGTGTTATATATATATCAAATAGAATACTATTAAGCCATGAAAAAAAGGAAATTCTATCACTGATGACAACATAAATGAACTTGGAGGACATTATGTTAAGTGAAATAAGTCAAGCACAGAAAGATGAATATCATGTAATCTCATAGACTGAATTTAAAATAGTTTAACTCATAGAAGTAGAGACCAAATGATGGTTATCAGGAGCTGGGATTGTTGGAGTGGAGGGATTGAGAATATGTTGCCCAAAGGATAAAAAATTTCATTTAGATAATAGTAAAAAGTTCAATAGATCTTTTGTACAAGATGATGACTATAATTAATAATCCTTGATATTCTTGAAAAATGCTAAGAGTGGATGCAAAGAAGATAACATTTTTCACCAGGAAAATTATAACTGTGTGAAATAATGCATATATTAATTAGCTATATTTAGTCATTCTCTAATGTACAATCATGTGCCAAGTAACAACACTTTGGTCAACAGTGCACTGCATATTCAATAGTGGTTCCATCAATTTATAATACCATATTTTTACTGTGTCTTTTCTATGTTTAGGTACACAAATACTTAATTGCCTACAGTATTTAGTACCATAACATGCGGTGTAGATTTTTAGCCTACAATCAATAGTCTATCCCATATAGCCTAGGCATGTGGTAGGCCGTATCATCTAGGTTTGTGTAAGTATTATACATCTATGATGTTTTCACAAGGACAAAATCACCCAAGGAAACATTTCTCAAAATTTTTCTCATTGCTAAGTGATGCTGACTGTATATATACTTCTAAATATCATGTTGTGAATGGTAAATATATACAATTTATCTGGCAACATAAATAAATAAATAAAAGGTAGATACATGTGAGAAAAATGAAGGGTCAAAGACTGGTTGGTTGTTAGTTTCAGATAGAAAAAAAATATATTTGAATTCTGAGGGAAGAAGATGAGAGAAAAAGAGAGAGAGATTGTCTCATAGCCCTCTTTGCCTATAACAATTATCCAAGTCAATCAGTAGAGTGTGACCCCAGACCTAAACATCCAACTCTCTTCTAAATGTCTGTTTCTATAAAAACACAAAAGATTTTAACATGTTCAAAATATAACTCATCTTCTGGTTCCATTTCCTCATCCCACTCCCCACTTGTATTTTTGTATATTTTCTTAGTATATAGCAAAATAGAGGTAAGTTCCTCAAACTAACAACAGTTTCCCTGTCTCCTGTTCTACTGTTCCACTGTTTCCCTGTCTCTTGTTTTAAAATCAAGCATCAAATACTGATGATACTGTTTCTCAAATATAAAGTATATTTTATGTTCCTTTTCACATCACCACAGTTAATAAATAGTGTAGCTGGATTTTAATTGAAGGCAGTCTGCTTTGGGCCTGTTTTCTTAACCACTACACCATAGGTGGTATAGTATATTACCCAACAGGACCCTTCTATGATAAAACAGAGGCATGTTAATATGAACACAGGGAAAACAGTGTAAGCTGAGATTACCCCAAGCAAATCCAAATACCTGTTTATCGCAATTACAGATTTAACTTCTGGCCATATAAAGTAAAATAAATATCAATCGTTACTTAGATGTTTCAGTAAAAAAATAAAACATATGGATGGTAAAGCCTACTCTGTGGGAGGAAACACTAGCCATTTCTCTGAGAAATAGCCTCAGAGAAGGCCAAACATTGGCAACAGTAATGTAAGACTAAGGCCAACCCAATGGATCTCCTATTCTATGCCCAGATAGGAACCATTTAATATTTGGAACCCCCCAAATGATTTTAAACTTAAAGAAATTGTAAACAACATTACTTCAATTTGAAATGATAGCCTCTGATCCCCAAATTTAACTTTTATGATACAACTTAATATTCACTAGTATTTGTATGAGTTTAGTGAGTTCAGTGCATTATTTTATTATCTTGAAAGTACTTCGTTTCTTGAAAAGATTTAAGATCATTAAGATTTTAAAAATAAAGATATATTACAAGAGTGGTTGTATATTTTGATACAAAAGTATAGAAAAAAATAGTAAAATATTTCTCATATGCAATTTAATATTTCCTAAATAATTTTTATTTGTAAATTACATGAAATACATAGGCTGCAAAATTCACTTTCTAGATCTCAGCCTGACACTCTATCCCTAGGTGGAGCTCCGGTTTCTTGCTGAGCCAGGAATCACCTATTACTATCTGATTTGCGGGGGACACAAAGAAGGAGGAAAAATCACCAGGGTGAAGGAAGGCATGAAGAGAAGGTAGTCTAAACTCTAAAGTATTAGCATTTTCTTATAGTTATATCACTGCTACATTCAGCTGATTATTACAAATGCATCTCTAATATATTTTTCTCCTGTGTTTTTCTACAAGAACTTTCTCAGAGAGGTTGGTGATAAGAATATCTTATTAGTATTTTTATACTCTGCTACTCTAGTGGAAAATCTATTCTGAAAAACATAACATTCTAAAAGCTAAATATGTTATAGGCAGAAAACGAATAAATAAACAAAATGAACATTGAATCTAATATTGAATATTGGATTGGGCATGTTATTTCTATTAACGTTAAATGGATATGTAAGCATTTTAGTAGCTATATAATAATACACATATATATGTAATATTGTATTAGATGTTTGTACATGTAGAGGTAAACTAAAAATATTAAAATTAAAAAATTAGATTTTTTTGACAACATAAAAATAAATTATTGTATAATGACGTTCGTAATCTCTGAATAGACAAAACAATAGTAGCGTTGTAATTACCTGGATGATTTTTGGAAGTGCAGAATGCCGACCTCAGATCTACTGGATCAGAATCTACAACTGAACAATTACCAGGTGCCTCATATACAATTTAAATACTTTTCCTCAACTTTTGTTTGAAATCTTACATATGAACAACAAAATTTACCAAAGTTCAGTCTGTCAAGTTTTTTTAATATATAAAGTTTTTTCCCTTTTGTTCAATATGACTTTTCTGTCTAAAAATTATTTATGCTACTGTTCTAGTTATATTATTTCTAGTATTTTTGTACTGTTTTAGTCCAATTTACTACTAGCTTTGTGTAATTTTACCACATTTTTCTAATTTATTCTACTAGAATATAAGCTTACTGAAGGCAGGCTTTATCAGTCCTAATAATGTAGTCAACCAGAACAAAATGTTAATAAGATAATTTAGGAGATTGATCTTGAAAAGAATTCTGAAACTCTTGTTACATAAATGCACATCCATTTAAATGACGTCTGTAGCTTCAGCAGTAGGTGAATGTGATCTCCTAAAACTGTTAAGGTTGTTCACACAAAAATTACCATAGCAGAGACTGCAAAGAGTTGTGGGATAATTTCTAGTTAATCAGAGGAAAATACCTCATCTATTTGTTCATTTACATTATTCTTTCCATGAACAACTACTTCTAAATCCACAGTGTCAACCATCTTGCTGGTTACTAAAGATTCAAAGAGACAAGTTTACGTCCCTGCCATCAAAGGTGCTGCTATCTTATAAGGGAGTGCACCACCTTTAAAACAGATGTGATATAAAAATGTATTTGTAGGGAGTGGAGAAATAGGTAATTATGATATTCTAGAGGTAAAGAAGAAAAAAGAAAAACATACCATTACAAGAGCACTTTAAATGTTCCTATGTATTCTGGCCTGTATTTTGAGCAGTTTGGCATAATTTGGATAAATTAATGTGTATGTACTTCTAGGAAGCTTGAAGCAAAACATTGTTCATTCTTTTGTTCAATTGGATATTACTAAAAATGTGATAGAAATGTGAACCTTTTTTCGATCACACAAGGAAGCAGAGCCTATAGTAGAAGTCTATAACTGTAAGTGAAATTTAATATTTAGCTACATATAATTTATAATTGCTCATTTAGAATTGTCCAAATTTCACATGAAGATTACAAAATAACAAAACCTCACACACGCACACACTGTGTGAAGATAAAAGTTATACAGTTTTGATGTTAGCAATCAGAATTATTGATGCACCAAATATGCAGGACCTTGCAAAAGTCTAGTTTACTTTTTACATATTCAAATTATGCATTGTTTGTAATATTCAGGTAATTTATTATTCAAACTTTTAGATGATGGCCCAGGGCACAGATAAAGGAAGCTAGGGATGATTAATGTTAATTTTGGAATTTTAGCATTCCTATGAAACAAAAAAAAGTCTTCCTTTGAAGTCCTACTGGAAGGTTTCCAAAATTAATATTATTGAGTTTGGCTGTCAATGCATTTTATAAATGTAGAGTTGGCATCTTTTTAATATTGTAATGGCTTGTATATTCAAAACACAATGAACATCTTGTTATAGTCTGCACATTCTAAATTATTCTTTTCATTAAAGATAGCTAATATCTTAAAATGAAGACATTGAATATATGAATAATAAAACTACAGAATTATTTCCAACTTAAATTTGTACTAAAGATATTTCCAGCTCCTTAAGTGTTTATTTTATAGTTTCTCAATATATTTAAATTATATCACAATGAAGCATTATATATTAGTAAAGTAATGCCATATATCTCAGTGCATGTTGACGTATCAAGTATAAGCTTGCATATTTCTCATATTTCTAAAGTAAATAAGAAAAAGTAATAACTATTTTAAATTCTTTTACACTGACAAAGATTCTCTCCTTGACCAAACACTAGCCAGACTTCTCTAAGCTTTTTTCCCAACTAGGCTTCAATCTTGTTCTATAAAGACTTGGACAAAACACTAACAGTTTCTAATAGCACAAAGCAACATTCCTAGCATGACCTTAAGCTTCTTAAAGTGCTTGCTTGAAAAAAAAAAGTCAAGACTGCCAAATGAATTTACTGTTTGTTTTAGCCAACACCTGAAGAAAGCTCCTGTCTAGTCTACGTGAGAAGATAGGAGCCTGACTTTCATAAGCACCAGTTAGCAAACCCAGATGGTTTCACATGGACAAATTTTCGTTTCCCGTTTTTTGTAATTTGTCACTTCCTCGCGTCTACTGAGCCCCTGCTCACCCATCATTTTCCCTTTTAAACACCCAGGCACCTCTGCATAAATCAAAGTTCGGTTCAGTTCACACTGGACTCTGTTCCCAATTATCCTGATTAAAATCTTTCCTTACCACTTTAGCTCATGTCTGGCTCTGTTTATCTCTGATAATACACACCACCATTATATCAGTCAGTGTTCAACCAGAGAATAGTAGGAGATATAGTAGAGATTCAGTACAAGGAATTGGTTTGCACTATCGTGGGGGCTGGTTAAGTAGTCTTTGTAAGGCTATTGTCTTGGCATCTAATGCTGAAGATTGAAATCCGCAGGGGAGGCAATCAGGAAACGAAGATCAATTAGTAGGCTGGAACTTACAAGCACTTGCTGGGACTTAAAAGGATGGAATGAAATGCACATCCACTATTGCTGCATTTGGTGACAGGTTAAGCTGCAGAAACCAGTATCCTCTGCCAGAGATCCTCACCAAGGAACTAAAGTCACGTTAAAGTCTTGCCCAGTAGTAAGAAATGCTGAAGGAAGATCCAGCCCAAGGTAAAGTAATTCCAAGCCCAGCTGATGCTTTATGTCAACAAAGTGAAACAGCAAACATGAGATGTGTGTGTGTGCATCCATGTGCACATATGCACTGTAAAATGACTACTGCTCTCTTCTGCCCACCAAATCTAGAATCTCTCGTGTCCACCCCTGAAATGGAACCACATAAGAAATAGATCCTGTGAAATGTAGTTCAGCCTAGCCAAGCTGACATATTCCAAAGCTGACGCTGTAGTTTTGAAATTTAACAAATTCATTATAACTATTGCAACATAATATATTTTTTAAATGAGCTTTTTATTGATTAATGTTCAATCTATACTTTATGTAGTTTAGACAAGCCTAGCTATGATTCTATTAATACTCAACATCACCACTGATTTCCATGTTCTGGTACAAGCACAAAAGCAAACAAAACAACAGATAGAAAGAAATAAAAGAGAAAGGATTGTATTCACCTCTGACAACATCATATTTTTCTAAAATTGAGATTGGGAACAAGTTCCTGGTCTCAATGGCAGAAGCAACTCATTAAAATATGTTTGAAATTCCAAAACAATCATTTATTTTTAAATATTATTCAATATATTTTTTAATTAAATTTCAAATTTTGAGATAAATATGGTCACATGAAGTTGTAAGATATTACACAGACAGAACCTATGAATATTTAACCATTTGCCACAAATGCTAAGTTATTCAAAACTATAGTACAATATCACAACCAGATTACTCACATTGATACAATTAAAACACAAAACATTTATGTCACCAAAAGGATTCCTCATATTGATCTATTATTGCCACACCTACTTCCCTTTACCCTTACCCCCTCCTTAGTCCTTGGTAACCATTATCTGTTCCCCTTTTGTAGGGAAAAGAGAGATCAGACTGTTACTGTGTCTATATAGAAAAGGAGGACTTAAGGAACTTCATTTTGACCTGTATGCTAAACAATTGCTTTGCCCTGAGATGCTGTTAATCTGTAACTTTAGCCCCAACCTTGAGCTCACAGAAACATGTGTTGCGTGGAATCAAGGTTTAAGGGATCTAGGGCTGTGCAAGATGTGCTTTGCTAACAAAATGTTTACAGGCATATGCTTGATAAAAGTCGTCATCATTCTCCATTCTCAAGTACCTTGGGGCACAATGCACTGTGGAAAGCTGCAGGGACCTTTGCCCTGGAAAGCCAGGTATTGTCTAAGGTTTCTCCCCACGTGGTAGTCTGAAATATGGCCTCATGGGATGGGAAAGACCTGACCATTCCCCCAGCCCGACACCCCTGGAGAGTCTCGGCTGAGGAGGATTAGTAACAGAGGAAGGCCTCTTGCAGCTGAGATAAGAGGAAGGCCTCTGTCTCCTGCCTGCCCCTGGGTACGGAATGTCTCGGTATAAAACCTGATTGTACATTTGTTCTTTTTTTTTTTTTAATACTTTAAGTTTTAGAGTACATGTGCACAATGTGCAGGTTAGTTACATATGTATACATGTGCCATGTTTGTGTGCTGCACCCAGTAACTCGTCATTTAACATTAGGTATATCTCCAAATGCTATCCCCCCCCTCCCCTCACCCCACAACAGGCCCCGGCGTGTGATGTTCCCCTTCCTGTGTCCATGTGTTCTCATTGTTCAATTCCCACCTATGAGTGAGAACATGCGGTGTTTGGTTCTTTGTCCCTGCGATAGTTTGCTGAGAATGATGGTTTCCAGCTTCATCCATGTCCCTACAAAGGACATGAACTCATCATTTTTTATGGCTGCATAGTATTCCATGGTGTATATGTGCCACATTTTCTTAATCCAGTCTATCATTGTTGGACATTTGGGTTGGTTCCAAGTCTTTGCTATTGTGAATAGTGCCACAATAAACATACATGTGCATGTGTCTTTATAGCAGCATGATTTATAGTCCTCTGGGTATATACCCAGTAATGGGATGGCTGGGTCAAATGGTATTTCTAGTTCTAGATCCCTGAGGAATCGCCACACTGACTTCCACAATGGTTGAACTAGTTTACAGTCCCACCAACAGTGTAAAAGTGTTCCTATTTCTCCACATCCTCTCCAGCACCTGTTGTTTCCTGACTTTTGAATGATCACCATTCTAACTGGTGTGAGATGGTATCTCACTGTGGTTTTGATTTGCATTTCTCTGATGGCCAGTGTTGATGAGCATTTTTTCATGTGTGTGTTGGCTGCATAAATATCTTCTTTTGAGAAGTGTCTGTTCATATCCTTTGCCCACTTTTTGATGGGGTTGTTTGTTTTTTTCTTGTAAATTTGTTGGAGTTCATTGTAGATTCTGGATATTAGCCCTTTGTCAGATGAGTAGATTGCAAAAATTTTCTCCACTCTGTAGGCTGCCTGTTCACTCTGATGGCAGTTTCTTTTGCTGTGCAGTAGCTCTTTAGTTTAATTAGATCCCATTTGTCAATTCTGGCTTTTGTTGCCATTGCTTTTGGTTTTAGACATGAAGTCCTTGCCCATGCCTGTGTCCTGAATGGTGTTGCCTAGGTTTTCTTCTAGGGTTTTTATGGTTTTAGATCTAATATTTAAGTCTTTAATCCATCTTGAATTAATTTTTGTATAAGGTGTAAAGAAGTGATCCAGTTTCAGCTTTCTACTTATGGCTAGCCAGTTTTCCCAGCACCATTTATTAAATAGGGAATCCTTTCCCCGTTTCTTGTTTTTGTCAAGTTTGTCAAAGATCAGATGGTTGTAGATATGCGGCATCATTTCTGAGGGCTCTGTCCTGTTCCATTGGTCTATATCTCTGTTTTGGTACCAGTACCATGCTGTTTTGGTTACTGTAGCCTTGTAGTATAGTTTGAAGTCAGGTAGTGTGATGCCTCCGGCTTTGTTCTTTTGGCTTAGGATTGACTTGGCAATGCGGGCTCTTTTTTGGTTCCATATGAACTTTAGTTTTTCCAATTCTGTGAAGAAAGTCATTGGTAGCTTGATGGGGATGGCATTGAATCTATAAATTACCTCGGGCAGCATGACCATTTCCACGATATTGATTCTTCCTACCCATGAGTATGGAATGTTCTTCCATTTGTTTGTATCCTCAAAAACCACCATGTGGCGGGAGGCGAGACATGTTGGCAGCAATACTGCTTTGTTACTCTTTACTCCACTGAGATGTTTGGGTGAAGAAAAGCAAAAATCTGGCCTATGTGCACATCTAGGCATAGTACCTTCCCTTGAACTTATTTGTGACACAGATTCCTTTGCTCACATGTTTTCTTGCTTACCTTCTCCCCACTATCACCCTGCTCTCCTGCCGCATTCCCCTTGCTGAGATAGTAAAAATAGTAATCAATAAATACTGAGGGAAATCAGAGACCGGTGCCAGTGTGGGTCCTCCCTATGCTGAGCACTAGTCCCCTGGGCCCACTGTTCTTTCTCTATACTTTGTCTCTGTGTCTTATTTCTTTTCTCAGTCTCTTGTCCCACCTGACAAGAAATACCCACAGGTGTGGAGGGGCTGGCTCCCTTTGCCTTTTCTGTAAGTTTGTCATATGAATAATGTTACATTAATGGAATCATACAGTATGCAACTTTTGGGAATTAGTTTTTTCACTAAGAACAATTTTCTGGAGATTCAGGTAGGTTGTTGTAGTAGTATTTAGTGGTATAAATGCACAAAAGTTTAACAATTCATGCATTGAAATACATCTGTATTGTTTCCTGTTCTTAGCTACCATAAACAAGGTTGCTATGTGCATTCCTCTATAGGTTTTTGTGTGAAACACGTGTCTTTGTTTCTTCTGGATAAATGCTCAAGACAGCAATTGGTGAGTTATATGGTAGTTGAATGTTTAGTTTGTCTTAGAAAATGTCAAACTGTTTTTCAGAATGATTGTAGCATTTTACATTCAAATTCCCACCAACATTTTGTAAATAATCCAGTTCCTCCAAATCCTTGTCCACATTTGGTGTTATCACATAAAAAACAATTAGCGATTCTGATAAGCGTGTAGCAATATCTCATTGAGGCTTAAATCTGATTGCTCCAATGGATAATGAAAGTAAAAATATTTTCATTTGCTTATGAAACTATATCCTCTTCAGTGAAATGTAGGTCTATGTCTTTTGCACGTTTTCTAATAGGATTTTTATTTCCTTACTGTTTAGTTCTGAGAGTTTATTTTTTGTATATTCTGGACAACCTTTGTCAAATAAGAAGAGGATGTTAGCTTTAGGATTTTTGTAAATATACTTGATGTAAATGGGGACAGTTCCCTCTATTTCTATTTTTCTGAAAGTTGTTATTATAATGGAATGTTGGATATTGTGAGATGCTTTTCCTATATCGATTAATGTGATCTTGTGGTTTTTTTTCTTCTTGAGCTTGATAATATGGTGGATTACTTTGATTAAGTTTCAAACGTCATACTAGGCTTGCATCTCTGGGAAAAAACTTCACTCAATCGTAGTACAAAATTCTTTCCTATACTGCTGAATTATTTTTGCTCCACCATTGTGTCGAGGATTTTTATGTTTATATTCATGAGAGATATTGGCCTGGCATTGCCTTATGTTTGTATTGTCCTTGTATGGTTTTGGAATCATGGTAAGACTAGGGTCATAAAATAAATTTAGAAATGTTTCCTCTTTTTCTTTTTCTGAAATAGCCTGTGTTGAATTGCTTACTTCTTTAAAGAGTTCGTAGAATTCTCAACTCAAATAATTTGAACATGGAGATTTACTTTATGAGAACTTTAAATTGTGAATTCAATTTTCTTAATAGTTCCAGGGATATAATTATCTATTTGATATTTGATAAACTGTGGTAGTTTGTATTTTTTAAAAGAATTGGTTCATTTTATATATATTGTCAACTTTATGTATGTAGGATTTTCTGTATCATTTCCTTATTCTCCATTCAATGTTTGCATTGTTTGTAGAAATGTCCTGTTTCATTTCTGATATTGGTAATTTATATTTTCCCTTTTTATTCTTTATCAGTCTTACTAGGTGATTTTCGATTCTATTGATCTTTCAAAAAACCATTGATTTTTAAAATTAATTTTGATTTTTGTTTTGTTTTGTTTTGAAATCATTGATTTTTGGTTTTGGTATGGTTTGGATCTGTGTCCCTGCTGAAATTTCATGTAGAACTATAATCCCCAGTGTTGGAGGTGGGGCCTGGTGATAGGTAATTGGATCATGGGGGTGGTTTCTCATGAATGGATGCCCTTTATTTCCTTCAATTGTTTAATTGCTAGGTCTTCTAGTAACATGTTGAATATAAGCAGTAAAAATGGGCATCTTTATCTTATTCCAGATCTCAGAGAAAGGCTTTCATTTTTTCTCCATTCCGTATGATACTGTCTGTGGGTTTATCTTACGTGGCTTTTATGGTGTTGAGGTTTTCACCTTCCAAAACCAATTTTTGAGAGGTTTTTATCATAAAGGGATGTTGAATTTAATCAAATGCTTTTTTGGCACCTATTGAGATGATCATATGGCTTTTATCCTTCATTCTGATAGTATAATGTATCACATTTATTGTTTTATGTATATTGAGCCATTTTTGCATCCCTGAAATAAAGCCTACTTAATTTTGATGAATGATCCTTTAATGTTATTGATTTGCATACATTGAGCCATCCTTGCAACCCTGGACTAAATCCCACTTGATCATGATAAATGATGTTTTAATTTATTGTTGAATTCAATTTGCTAGGATTTTGTTGAGGATTTTTGCATCTATGTTTATCAGAGATATTTGCCTGTAGTTTTCTTTCTTGGTTGTGTCCTTGTCTGGTTTTGCTATCAAGGTAATACTTGTTTTATAGAATTAATATAGAAGTACTCTCTTCTCCTCGACTATTTGGAATAATTTGAAGAGTAGAATTGGTGTCAGTTCTTCTTTAAATATTTGATAGAAGTCGTCAGTGAAGGAATGTGGTGAGATAAGATGCTTTTTTTGATGAGATTTTTTATTACTGCTTCTATCTCATTATTTGTTATTGGGCTATTCAGGTTTTAGATATCTTCATGGTTGAATTTTAGAAGGTTTATGTATCTAGTCATTTCTAGTCACATAAAATGATGAAAACCTTTAGAAAATCTTTATTTTCCTAAAGAAACTAAAGAAAACCTTTAGTTTCCTTTAGATACTATTTTCTATATCTTGTATGTGTGTTTCATTTTTTTAATCCTTTTTTCTTTCTTCTACTCTGACCATGTATTTTGTATAGCCTGTCTTCGAATTCAGCAATTATTCCTTTTGCTTGATCAATTCTGCAGTTGAGAGACTCCAAAGTCATTTCTTCTAGGTTTTTCAACTTATTGGCATATAATTGCCTAGAGAAACTACTAATAATCCTTTGAATTTCTGTAGTACCATTTGTAATGTCTCCTTTTTGATCTATGATTTTATTTGAGTCTTGTTCATTTCTGTTTGGTTAATGGTTTATCAATTTTGTTGCTCTTTTTTAAAACAACTTTTCATTTTGTTGATCTTTTGTATTACTTTTTAGTCTGAATTTCATTTATTTCTTGTCTGGTCTTTATTATTTAGTTTCTTCTAATAATTTTGAGTTTTGTTTGTTCTTGCTTTGCTAGTTCTTTAAGATGCATTAGTAGGTATTTTATTTAAAGTTTTTCTACTTTTTTGATGTAGGCCTTTATTAATGTAAACTTCCCTTTTAGTACTGCCTTTGCAGTGTCCCCTAGGTTTTGGTGTGTTGTTTTCTATTTGCTTCAGATATTATTAAAATTTTCTTTTAATTTTGTCATTGACCCCAGTGGTCATTCAGGAACATATTGTTTAATTTATATGAGTTTGTATAGCTTCCAAAGTTCCTCTTGTTGTTTAATTTTAGTTTTATTCCATCTTGGTCAGAAAAGATACTTGATATAATATTTTTATTTTTATTTTTGAGACTTATTTTGTAGGCCTAACACATAGTCTATCCTTGGAAGTGCTGATAAATTTCTATGTGCTTAGGAGAAGAATGTAATATATTCTGCAGTAAAAGAATATGTTGCATACAATGTTACCACTATTCATTAAATCCATGTAATCTATACTACAGAGTTTCATGTTTCTTTGTTGACTTTCTGTCTAGATGATCTGTGCAATGCTGAAAATATGATGTTAAAGTCCCCAGCTATTACTGTATGAGGGTCTATGTCTCTTTAGCTCTAACGATATTTGCTTTATTTATCTGCATGCTCCAGCATTGAGTGCATATATTTTCAATCATTATATCATCTGGCTGAATTGACCCTTTTAATAATGACCTTCTTGCTCGTTTTACAATTTTTGATTTGACATCTATTTTATCTAAGTAGAGTTACTCCTGTGAATTTCTGGTTTTTGTTTGCATAGAATAACTTTTTCCATCACTTTATTTTCAGTCCATGTGTTTTTATTGGTGAAGTGAGTTTCTTGTAGGTATCATGTTGTTGAATTCTGTTTTTTAATCCATTCAGCCATTCTATCTCTTTTGAGTGGATAATTTAGACCATTTTCATTCAATGTCATTGATAGGTAAGGACTTACTTCTACCATTTTAGTATTTTTTTCTGGTTATTTTATTGGTTCTTTCTTTTCTCCTTGTTTCTTATGTTCTTTGAGTAAGAGTAATTTTCTCTGTTGATACGTTTAATTTCTTGTTTTTTGTTTTGTGTTTGCCATAAGGGTTACAAATAATAAAACCTATTATTTCAAACTAATGGCAACTTAACTCTGATTACAAAGAAAAGAAAAAAAAAAAACAAGCAAAGATAAAAACCTCTACTCTTTAACCCCATCCCCTTCAACCCTGCCTTTTGACATTGTGTTGTCTGTATTTACATCTTTTTATGCTGTCTTTCTTTTAAAAATATGTTTTAGTTATTATTTTGATAGGTTTGCTTTTTAACTTCCCACTAACAATATGAAAGTCTTAAATACTGCAATTACAGTGTTAGAGTACTTTATATTTGTCTGTGTTCTTACTGTTACTACTGAGTTTTATGCTTTCAGGTGATTTCCTGTTGCTCATTAACATCCTTTTCATTCAGATTGAAGAACTCCCTTTATTATTTTTTTGTAAGATAGGTCTTTTCTCAGCTTTTATTTTTATTTTTCTAGGGGCGTTTTTATTTCTCCTTTATGTTTGAAGTATAATTTTGCTTGATGTAATATTCTGCATTGGAAATTATTTCCCTACAGCGTTTCAAATACGTCATCCTATTTTCTTCAAACCTGTAGAGTTTCTGCTGAAAAGTCTACTGCCAGACATCATAACTCCTTTATATGTTTTTTGTTTGTTTCTTTGCTCCTGCTGCTTTTAGGGTCATTTCTTTATCATTGACCTTTGAGTGATTATTGTATGCCTTCATGCAGTCTTATTTGTGTTGAATCTGCTTTCTTTTCTTTTACTTTATTGTACCTGGATGTTGTTATCTTTCTCTAAGTTTGCAAAGTTCTCTGTAATTATTTCTCTGAATAAACTTTCTACTCTAATCTCTCTCTGTACATCCCTTTAATGCCAATAACTCCTAGATTTTTCCTTTAGATACTGTTTTCTATATCTTGTGTGTGTGCTTCATTTTTTAATCCTTTTTTCTTTCTTCTACTCTGACCACGTATTTTGTATAGCCTGTCTTCGAATTCACTAATTATTCCTTTTGCTTGATCAATTCTGCAGTTGAGAGACTCTGAAGCATTTTTCAGTTTGTCAAATTATTTTTTAAGCTCCAGAATTTTTTCTTTTTTCTATTATTTCAATCTCCTTGTGAACTTTCTCTGATAGAAATCTGAATTATTTCTCTGTGTTATCTTGAACTTTGTTAAGCTTCTTCAAGACAGCTATTTTGAATTTCCTGTCTGAAAGATCAGATGTCTCTGTCACTCTAAGATTTGTCACTTTGGTGAGGTCATTTTTTTTTCGATATTCATGGTGCTTTGGTATTTGTCTATGTCTGAACATTGAAGAGTTGGGTGTTGATTCATATTTTTGCAGTCTAGACTTGTTTGTACCTATTTTTTGAAAAGGCTTTTCACAAATTTAAAGGGGATTGAGTGTTGTTACCAAATCCTGTGGTCCCTGCAACTAATTCAGCACTAGGGTCACCCTAAGCCCAGGAATGCTGCATTTCTTGCAGACTCTTCGAAATACAGGCTTGGTGAACTTGAGTAAGATAAGAACTTCCTGAGTTACCAGTAAAAGTCTCTCCCTTTCTTCTTTTATCCCTAATCAGGAGTCTCTATCCATACTGGGCTGCCTGGAGTTAGGGGAATGGTGACATGGGCTTACCCATAGCTACCATAGCTGACACTGTATAGGATCATACCTGAAGCCTTGTAGACCAGCACAGTACTGGGGCTTGACCAAGGCCCATGGCCACTACTGCCTGGCTAACACTGATGTTTATTCAAGGCCCAAGGTTATTTCAGTCAGAAGCTAGTAAATCCTGCAAGAACCAGGTCTATCTCTTCAAGACAGCAGATTTCCTTCTGGCCCAGTGTGGGTCTAGGAATGCTGTCTAGGAGCAAAGACCTAGAATCAAGGGCTCCAGGAATCTGCCTGGTGTTTCGGGAATCTGCCTGATGCTTTATGCTGCTAAGATGGTACCCAAGTGGCAAGACAAAATTATCTCTACTCTTCCCTTTCCTTCCTTCAAGTTGAAGGAATCTCTCCTGGAGTTGCAATGCCTGGAGTTGGGTGAGGGTTGACATGGGTACTCCCTTTTCTTGCCACAACTGGTATCGCACTGGGTCATGCACATCCCAAGTCCACTGGCTCCAAGATCAGTGCAGCATGAGTGTTTGTCCAAAAACTCCAGTTATTGTGGCCTATCACTCAAATTTGTTCTGGACCAGTGGGCACCTTAATCAGCTGGTGGTAAAGCTGGCCAGGAATCAATTTCCTCCCACTGGAGTGGAGAATCCTCTTCTGGCAAGATCTGGTCTAAATGTTCCTTCCACGAACACCAGTAGAAATCTGTCGTGTGTTGTGCTTTGCTGTTACAGGGAAACACTGAGTTCCAGTGCAAAGACCCACACTCACTTCACTCTCCCTTCCTGAGCATACTGATTCTCTTTCCATGCTGCTCTGCCTCGGGTTGGTGGAGGGGTGGTGTAGAAAATGTAAGTGTCTTTCCTATCATCTTTAATGCGAATTCCCTTGATATTATATTTAAACCAGGTATGTGGTTTCTCACCTGATTTATTTATTCTTATGAAGGCGTTTTCTTGGAGGGATAGCTGTTTAATTTGGCATTCCTTAGTGAAGAGAATGAAGTATGAGCTGGAAGGTTCTATTTGGCCATCTTGTTCCACTTCCCAAATAAGTGATCTATTCAGTCACCTATGTAATCAAATTTTTGTATTAAATACCCTCTGATTAAAATACCTAGAGGGGTTTGTGTTTTCTTTTCTTTTCTTTTTTTTTTTTTTTAAGAGATGGGGTCTGCTTTATTGCCCAGGTGCAGTGGCATAACCATGGCTTATTTCTGTATCAATCTCCTGGGCTCAAGGAATGTATCAGTCAGTTTTTGTAATTGAAAGCTGACTGATACATCCCTTTAGGATATTTCCATACTATTAATTACATCTTTAGGACAAATAATAATTAAGATAATTTTTTCATTTAATGTTTTATTTTTTGTCCTTCCCAAAGTAATATGATGCTATTGATCCAGGAAATGCAATGAATTTTTGGCATGTCTATTTGTTTTCTATTAAAACTCTATATATTTTTTTCTATTCAAGACATTTGAGAAGGAAAAAAAGCAACTTTTTTTCTCCTTGACAGCCCATGAATTTTGCAAAACCTTTAAAATGATAGCCATCTAATAATCAATCTTGTTGTGAGCACACATTTACCTGAAGTTTATTGTTGCTTCAGTAGTTTTTAATTAACAGACTTTGAGTAGTTGGGGCTTTACGAAAAACAAAATTAATGGCAAGTATAAGAGTTTTCATATACCCCGATTTTATATTAATGTGGTACATTTGTTTTAACTGAGGAGCCAATATTGACCTATCATTATTAACTGAAGTCTGTATTTTACATTAGGGTTCACTCTTTGTGTTATACAAACTTGTGCTGTTCAAACTATGTTTCACAAAAATATAATGACATATATACGCCTTTACAATATCATAAAGAATAAAAGATTCACTGCTCTAAAAACTCTGTGTCTGTTGTCCTTTACCTGTTCATCCTTTTCTGCCTTTGTCCTAACATCTGACAAGTAATGTTTTTTTTTCTGTCTTCATTATTTTTCTTTTCCTGGCATATCAGATAGTTGGAAACATAGAGTTGGCAGCCTTTTCAGATTGATTTCTTTGATTTAGCAATATGCATTTATATTTCCCTAGTGTCTATTTATGGCTTAATTACTCATTATTCACTTAAACGAATCAGTTACTTTCTTTTTTCTATCAACCTCAAAAAAGATAAATGAAATCAGTTTAACTAAAAACTGAATTGATGTCATGGTCTCAGGTTTATAAAATAATTTCTATCCTGTGATATACACACATACATATTTGTGTTTACATTTAGATTTTGAATCATGTTTTTCTTATCTTTTCTCCATTGTATAGGTTTTTGTATATATGCTTACATTATTTACCCAAAATAAAAATCACTGTTGAAACAAAAGAGCAATCAGGCAATATATATGTTATTTCTTGAAAACTTTACAAGGGCATGAGCTAAAATATCTGTACCTATAAGCTTATGGCATTTTGATAAAAATGCGAGCCCATTTTTACATTTCTAATTGTGACTATGTATATCTGAAATGAGTTTACATATGAAACTACTGGAAAGTAACTCAGACTAAGCTATGACCCAAATGATAGCCCTATTCAGAGAATGGAAACGCAGTGAATAAATGCAGATGTTAGCTCAAATTAACATGAATTTGTGTCCAATAATGCAACACAGTGTTATAAAATGTTGGATTGAGTTTTAAATGAATATAATAATACTAAAATTCAGAGGATACTCAACTCCTGAGCTCTGTAATATTTCTAATTTTAACATTTTCATCAAAAGAACAAGATTTTCTATAAAATAATAAAGAGAAAATTATACATACTACAAAGTTTAACAAAACTAGCTATAAATGTCTTGAAATGTATTGCTTACCTTTGGTACAAGTTGTCTCTTTACTATGATAAACAAGACACTAGTTTTTTCATAATCTGAGATATATGGTACCTATACATTTTTCTCATAATGCATTTATTTACATAAAGATTTTCTTATCCACCTTCTCTGTTTATATTCTCTCTCTCTCATTTCTATCACTGCCTCTCTCTTTTCTTGACCAAAATTAATTATAACAGAAATACAATATACAAAATAAAATTTCACTTTGTTTGCCTGTAAAATAACAAAACAAAAACCACAAAAATAAATTTCTGGAAGTGTGAGTTAAAATATACATTGAGATGTTTATTAAGCCCTATGTGTTAATAAAATTTGATCAGCTCAGTGTATGTTGTTCTTTTTGATCATTGGTAATATTTGTCTTCTTCATCTTTATTTTTCCTTAGTTATTCCTCATCTTCCTAGAAACCCCCAGATGAAAACCTGGTCACCATAAGCCATGGGTGTACAGACCACTCTAGACATGTTATGTGGGTCACAACTTTGGAGGCAGCAGTTCAGGGGAGCTACTCCCACCACCTCATGAAATAAATTTTGAGGAATCAATCTTCCTACTCTAAAGAAGTTTCTGTTTAACTTTTCACAATAATCTCTTTGGAAAAATAGCATACATTTTTTTCTCCCTCGCTTTCTTTGAGGAATAGAATGAAAGGGATAAAGAAAGGCACTAAAAATACAATCACAGTGGTTGGGTGCAGTGGTTCATGCCTGTAATCGCAACACTTTGGGAGGCCCAGACAGGTGGATCAATTGAGCCCAGGATTTCGACATCAGCCTGGCCAACATGGCAAAAACCTGTACCTACTAAAAATAACAAAAAATTAGCTGGGCATAATGGCGGGCGCCTGTAATCCCAGCTACTCTGGAGGCTGAGGCACAAGAATCGCTTGAACCGGGAGAGGTTCCTTTGAGCCAAGATCATGCCACTGCATTCCAGTCCAAGACTGTCTCAAAAATCAAACAAAAAAAGAACGAAAGAAAGAAAGAAAGAAGAAAAGCAATATAATCACAGTAAATGAATGATACATTTTTGAGAAACTAGTATTTGATAAAGTAGATGACAGAAGAGCCTACATTCTCTAAATCCTGCCATAATTTGAATACATTGTCAAAAATTCCAATATTAAAAGTATTAGGGAAATAAGTTTAAATTAAACTTGTTTTTATTAAAATTGTACCCACTTTATTATATTTTCTTCCTGGTATACTTGTAAATTTTATTCATCACTTAAGAACTCAATGTTTTCAAATTGCTTTGTTCAAAAATCACCATACAAAAATATCTTTGCATTATAGGTAAGTATATTCATATTTACTTTAAATGATGTTGAATTAATTTTTAAGTTGTCATCTTATTTTCATTTATTTGGTTTGTCAAAGAAAGACAAAATGATTAAAAGAACAAGTAAAGCTTTCTATAAATTATATTTGTATTAAAATCAATTCAAAGGAATTTAGTCATGCAGGTGTTCTTTCAAACTCATCAGAGAAAGTAAAGGAAAATGTAGATTATATAAATCGAGAAAAATATTGTTTCTAATGAAAAGATTTGTTAAAATTAAGAAAAATCTTGACATTTATCAAACAACACATTTACATATAAACTGAATATTTAAACAAATTTAATTTAGTCAGAATAGCACCTATGCCTTGATTAGTTTCTAACTAAAATGAAATTATTTTTCTAAAACTACTCTGATTTCTATGAAATTCAGTGCATATTCATTTCAATTGTTATATCCAAGATGAATGTGATTTTACTTTCTAGCAACACAAGCCATTTGTGGACACATTTACAAAACTCTGTTTACTTACTAAAGTACATTTTTCTGCTTGCATGTTTAGTTTATTTATTACCTGTCATAATGATATCTTGGAACTCACGAAAATCACACATCTGTTTTGTATTTTTATTGTTATTTACTGCATCTCCTAAATGTTAGAAGATTGAGTAAAATATGTAGAACAAACAAAAATAATTAATTTTTATAGAAACCAAGATATCAAAATAAGGCATAATTTTAATTCTCATGTCATTATAATAACTACTCCCCTTCTGCTGGTCACAATTTATTTACTGCTGTTACTTGTTGGAGATATTTTATATATATTCCACAATTTTATCCTTATAATAATATGGCATAATAAGCATTTTCTAAAGATTGTAAGTTAAGGAAATTGAGGTTCAACAAGTTCAAACGGGAAGTGTGTAGTAAATCAAGAAGGTAATTCTAGGTTTTTCTGACTCTGTACACATACACAGGCCCATATACATATACACACATACCAGCGCAAGCATTATTTGTATCATATATACAATCTATGTCAATTAGCATTCAGCTCAAGAAACAGAAATTACTTCAGGTGTTTCAACAAGAGATAATTTAGTAAGAATAATTAAGTCTTACAAAATCACTGGACATGCTGGAGAAATAAATGACATTTAGATTTAATGTCAATGCTCTTGCAAACTAGCATGAGAAAATTGCTGCTGCTTTCATCATTATTACTACAACCATCACAACCACCACACAGTCATGGAGCTGGTGACTAGACTCTGGAAATGGAAACTAGCGACTGTCAATGGTCATATCTGACTTTGCTTGTCAGCTTACACTTCCAGCTCTAAAAGAATAAATCTCACTGGCAGAAACTAAGTGACAACCAGAACATACAAAATAATTTGGGAAATACAATATTTAGCCTTGTATGCTAGCTGATGTCTAGGAGAAGACAGAAGTAGATGAGGATGCGGAATGATAATGGTCCTTATTAAGCACAACACATTACATGTCTGCTTATGTGACTTTCACAGTCCAAGAGGAAAGTGAACACAGGTATAGCATGAATTCTGGTACCTATTGGGTGTTCAATTTATTTTCTTGAAAAAAATACATTAAAATTTAACATTTGTACTATGTGACATAGAGAGTTTGAGACTGACACACTGTGTTGCTTTCCAATTTTTTTAATATTGCATGCTAAAATATGGAAGAAGATAGTCTTAGCATATGCCAACAAAGAATTAGAAAGACATCCAATTCTTCAGTGCGCTTCAGGTATTTAAATACTATAACTTGTTTATTTTTGAGAAAAAAGTTGAGGTTCAATTAGTCAAAGATAGTTTTAAATGGGAAAATCAATCACAAGTAGAACTGCAATCAATAGTATATCAGTCAAAGTATTGTTCATCTACCACAGCCAGCAGATTTAGACAGTCACCCACAGTCTTGATTAAATATAATTGGAAAAAAGCAGTGTATTCAAACTTTAAATAATTCAGAGTGAAGACTATAACAGAAGAAATGAAACTAGAAGTAAAAAAGGTGAATAATGAGTCTTAAATTATACATAATTAATTTTAAGTTGCTGACAATCTCCTTTATGTCCCCAAACTCCTCTCATTCAGTTGCTCCTTCTTTTCTCTCCATCTCAGCCATGCCACTCTACTTCTCTGCCACTCTTCTGCTCTTCTGTTCCTCTCTTTATGGAGCTTGGGGTTTATATGGGTACAAGATAGAGTTGTGGAGGGCCAAGGTGGTCTTGGAAAAGACAACAGTTGGGCGCAAAACAGGAATGCCTCTTCCCAGTTAGGGCTGGGATTTTCCAGGCTTGAGGGTGGGCCTTTGCCAGGGAACCACCCTCTTCTACCCTGTATTTTCCTGCCTCTTGTCTGTATTATTATTAGATCAGTTGTGTGTGTGTGTGTTTGTGAATAGTTCTAAAATGTACAAGAGTTGTTTAACCGAGTACCTGCTTAGAAAATGGCCACTGTGAATAATTCTTCAATTTAAGATGTCCTCTATCCTGTATTCTATTACCACTGAAGCACTTAACCAAAGATATTTGCAGAAGAATTATGAATATTTTACATATAAAGATATATTTTATGTACAAAAGGATACAGTTAAATTTCTCATTGCGTTTTCAACTTGCCCAAAAGACATAAGATTCTAATGAGAAAAAAATCTGTTGATAAAAAAGGAGATTGTCTCTACACTGACAAAACCTGAACCTCTCAAAATTACCCTAAATCCAGGAGACCATTTAACTTGCCTGTACAAAATGGCTGAGTTCTGATGGTTTAAAACTAAACATTTAAAAATGAACAACTTCTCCCTTAGGTTGTTTTCATTTTCAGTTGGATAACTTAGCATAAATCACCATCTCTCTCATACTGTTTCATCATACCCTCAACCAAAACATGAAATTATTTCTCAAACCTTGATACAAATACAGAACATACAAACACACACACACACACACACACACACACACAAATCTGATCTAATAATGATACAGACAAGAGGCAGGGAAATACTGGGTAGAAGAGGGTGGTTACCTGGCAAAGGCCCACTCTCAAGTCTGGAAACCCACAGCCCTAAATGAGAACAGGCATTTCTGTTTTCGCACCCAAATGTTGTCTTTTCCAAGAACACTATGGCCCTCCACGCCCCTATCTTGGGCCCATGTAAATCCCAAGCTCCAAAAACAGAGGAACAAAGAGCAGAAGAGTGGCAGAGCAGCAGAGTGGCATGGCTGAGAAGGAGAGAAAAGAAGGAGCATCTGAACAAGGAGTTTGGCTGGGGACAGAAATAGAGAAGATTGGCTGTTGGATGACCGTACTTCAGGTAAAGATCATCTTCCCACTCCATTCCCTTTCCAGCTCCCCATCCATCCTGCTGAAAGTCACCTCCATCACTCAATAAAATCCCCTTATTCACCAACCTTCAAGTCCAAGTGACCTGATTCTTCCTGGATGCTGGACAAGGACCCGGGTACCAAGAGGGCAGGGTGTTAAAGGCTGTCACCTTGGCTCTCCACTGAGCTGGTTTAACACTTAGCTGTCCAGTGAACTGGTTTAAAAATTAGCCATCCACTGATCTGGTTTAACACTTAGCTGTCAGCTAAAAAAGCATTAATAGTAACACACTCCTAGATGCTATTGTGGGGCCAGAGCTCAAACGCTCACCCCAGCTCCTGCATCTGCCCATCTGCATGTCCCTCTCCTGTAAGGGGTTTGAACATGTTACAGCCCAGCAAGCAAGCCACACCCCTGTTAAAAGTCCCACAAGGGGTTTAGGGAACTCTCCCATTTCAGTAACACTAGTGCAATGGCTAAATGAGTTGCTTCTCCTTATTTATTCCTAGTGAAATAATCCTAGTGATTACCATTCTATCTACATTAATATCAGTTTAATACCATATACTAAATTGTTTGCTTATGAATTAAAGTAAAGCTAATGAGTGTGTAGTTTCTGAAACATACCTAAAACTGATACATAAAAGTAAAGAGATTTTTCTCATCTATCTTTTGTCAGTTCTTAAACTTCATGATATCTCAGATACCATTTGGAATGACTTATGGAAGTGATAGATTCACTGTGACTAATTTACCCTCCCATAGGAAAAAGAAAACAAAATGAACAGAAGATAAAAATCCATGTTACAGACATTGTACATGAGATGTCACAATGCTGTAGTTCCTGGGACAAGGGAAATCATGGACAAAAGCTCATTTAACCCCAGCTTTCTGCTTGGAGGCACTTCAAGACCATCATACAAGGAGAATGATCCCAAGTAAAGCGAGTGAGTTTTATTGAATTAAATAGATATCAGAATTTGAAGAGGATGAAATAGCTAGAAATTGAATAGCTGAGAATGAGGTGGTTTTTCATACACAAAACTTCAGGAATCTTCATATGGACATAATTAGGTGATACAGAAAACTATGTTTGAAGGCATTACAGAAATTTTACAATGTCAGGAAAAGAACAACTGAGAATAAATGAGCCAAAGTTTTGGAAATGTATACAGAGCTGGGTGACCTTCACATTCAAACAAAGCAGAGTGAAGAATCTTTATCAAACTCCTCAGTCATTAAGAAGAGACCTAGATTGTCATTCAGGTGAGACTTTAGTAATATTAAAGTAGACTTAAAAACTAAAAACCACTCTAAAACTCCTCTACCAAAGTTGAAAATAAGTCACAAAAGGATCAAGCTGGGTAAACTGTAGGTTAGCTGATTGCCAGAAAAAATAGGGACATTCTTTGGGATAGGGAGGATAATAAAATCTGTTACACACACCAAAAATAGAAAAAACAAAATGCTCAATATTCAATAAAAAATCAATAGTAATAAAAGAAGGAAAGTATGACCCTAAAGCAAGAGAAAATCAGTAAATAGAAACAGAGTCCATATTATAGAAACAAACCTTAAAAAGCTATTATAAATATACTTTATTCACTCAACAATGTTGAATATAACATTAACACAAGGAGATAAAATAGACCACATCAAAAAAGCCAAGTAGAACTTCCCAAGATAAAAACATATATGAAATTCAATATTCATTGGATGAGATTTAGAACATACTATATACACTAGAGAAAAAAGAACAGTGAATTTACACATATAGAATGAAGAGATAAAAATTACAGCAAAGGCCGGACATGATGGCTCACGCCTGTAATCCCAGCACTTTGGGAGACTGAGGAGGGCAGATCACGAGGTCAGGAGATTGAGAACATCCTGGCTAACACGGTGAAACCCCGTCTCTACTAAAAAACACAAAAATAGCCTGGCGTGGTGGTGGGTGCCTGTAGTCCCAGCTACTGGGGAGGTTGAGGCAGGAGAATGGCGTGAACCTGGGAGGCAGAGCTTGCAGTGAGCTGAGATGGCACCACTGCACTCCAGCCTGGGCAGCAGAGCAAGACTCCATCTCAAAAAAAAAAAAAAAATTGCAGCAAAAACAACCTCAGTGATCTCTGGAAAAATGTTAAGTGGACTAACAGGCATGTAACAGGAGTGCCAAGAAAATCAACAAAACAGAAAACTATTTGAAGAAATAAAGAATAAAGCTTTCAAAATCCAAAGGAAAATTACAGTGTCACAGATTCAAAATCTCAATGAATTCAAGACCAATAAACACAGAGAATATCACCTCAAGAGACAAGACATCACACATAAGTTGTTAAAACCCTGTGATAAAGATAATTTGTTATAACCTTGAGAGAAAATGATACATTACAAAGAAAGAAAGATAAGAATTTCGCTAGACTACTTATCATTAATTATCCTTGCCAGCAATGAAAAAGCATCTGTAAGGTTAAAAATAAACCTATTAATGATAGATTCTAGATAGAGTGATAGTTGTTTTCCAGATGAAGTAAATGAAGACTTTATCGCACAATGCAAAGCCTGAGAAAATTAATATACTGTGAGCAAACCTGAACTATAAAAATGTAAAAAAAAAAAAATGGGGGCTGAAGGAAAATAATAAAAGATGAAAACTTGGATCAGCACAAAGGAATAAAAAGCCCAAAGAATGGTAACTGTCAGGGCTCTGAGCCCAAGCCAAGCCATCGCATCCCCTGTGACTTGCATGTATACGCCCAGATGGCCTGAAGTAACTGAAGAATCACAAAAGAAGTGAAAAGGCCCTGCCCTGCCTTAATTGATGACATTCCACCATTGTGATTTGTTCCTGCCCCACCTTAACTGAGTGATTAACCCTGTGAATTTCCTTCTCCTGGCTCAGAAGCTCCCCCACTGAGCACCTTGTGACCCCCGCCCCTGCCCACCAGAGAACAACCCCCTTTGACTGTAATTTTCCATTACCTTCCCAAATCCTATAAAATGGCCCCACCCCTATCTCCCTTGGCTGACTCTCTTTTCAGACTCAGCCCACCTGCACCCAGGTGAAATAAACAGCTTTATTGCTCACACAAAGCCTGTTTGGTGGTCTCTTCACATGGACGCGCATGAAATTTGGTGCCGTGACTTGGATCAGGGGACCTCCCTTGGGAGATCAGTCCCCTCCTCCTGCTCTTTGCTCCATGAGAAAGATCCACCTATGACCTCAGGTCCTCAGACTGACCAGCCCAAGAAACATCTCACCAATTTCAAATCTGGTAAGCGGCCTCTTTTTACTCTCTTCTCCAACTTCCCTCACTATCCCTCAACTTCTTTCTCCTTTCAATCTTGGCGCCACACTTCAATCTCTCCCTTCTCTTAATTTCAATTCCTTTCATTTTCTGGTAGAGATAAAGGAGACATGTTTTATCCGTGGACCCAAAACTCTGGCGCCAGTCATGGACTGGGAAGGCAGCCTTCCCTTGGTGTTTAATCATTGCAGGGACGCCTTTCTGATTATTCATCCACGTTTCAAAGGTGTCAGACCACGCAGGGACGCCTGCCTTGGTCCTTCACCCTTAGTGGCAAGTCCCACTTTTCTGGGGGAGGGGCAAGTACCCCAACCCCTTCTCTCCATGTCTCTACCCCTTCTCTGCTTTTCTGGGGGAGGGGCAAGTACCCCTCAACCCCTTCTCCTTCACCCTTAGCGGCAAGTCCCGCTTTTCTGGGGGAGGGGCAAGTACCCCAACCCCTTCTCTTGGTGTCTCTATCCCTTCTCTGCTTTTCTGGGGGAGGGGCAAGTACCCCAACCCTTTCTCTCTGTGTCTCTACCCCTTCTCTGCTTTTCTGGGGGAGGGGCAAGTACCCCAACACCTTCTCTCCGTGTCTTTACCCCTTCTCTGCTTTTCTTGGGGAGGGGCAAGTACCCCTCAACCCCTTCTCCTTCACCCTTTGCGGCAAGTCCCGCTTTTCTGGGGGAGGGGCAAGTACCCCTCAACTCCTTCTCCTTCACCGTTAGCAGCAAGTCCCGCTTTTCTAGGGGGCAAGAACCCCCAATCCGTTATTCCCACACCCCGACCTCTTATCTCTGTGCCCCAATCCCTTATTTCTGTGCCCCAACCCTTTCTCTGCTTTTCTGGGAGGCAACAAACCCTCACTCCTTCTCCGTGTCTCTACTCTTTTCTCTGGGCTTGCCTCCTTCACTATGGGCAAGCTTCCACCTTCCATTCCTCCTTCTTCTCCCTTAGCCTGTATTCTTAAGAACTTCAGACCTCTTCAGCTCTCACCTGACCTGAAATCTAAGCGTCTTTTTTTCTTCTGCAATGCCGCTTGACCCCAATACAAACTGGACAGTAGTTCCAAATAGCTGGAAAATGGCACTTTCAGTTTTTCCATCCTGCAAGATCTAAATAATTCTTGTCGTAAAATGGGCAAATGGTCTGAGGTGCCTGATGTCCAGGCATTCTTTTACACATCAGTCCCTTCCTAGTCTCTGTGCCCAGTGCAACTCATCCCAAATCTTCCTTCTTTCCCTCCCACCTGTCCCCTCAGTCCCAACCCCAAGCATCGCTGAGTCTTTCTAATCTTCCTTTTCTACAGACCCATCTGACCTCTCCCCTCCTCGCCAGGCCAAGCTAGGTCCCAATTCTTCCTCAGCCTCCGCTCCTCCACCCTGTAATCTTTTTATCGCCTCCCCTCCTCACACCTGGTCTGGCTTACAGTTTCGTTCAGTGACTAGCCCTTCCCCACCTGCCCAGCAATTTATTCTTAAAAAGGTGGCTGGAGCTAAAGGCATAGTCAAGGTTAATGCTCCTTTTTCTTTATCCCAAATCAGATAGCGTCTAGGCTCTTTTTCATCAAATATAAAAATCCAGCCCAGTTCATGACTCGTTTGGCAGCAACCCTGAGACGCTTTACAGCCCTAGACCCTAAAAGGTCAAAAGGCCATCTTATTCTCAATATACATTTTATTGCCCAATCTGCTCCCGACATTAAATAAAACTCCAAAAATTGGAATCTGGCCCTCAAACCCCACAACAGGACTTAATTAACCTCACCTTCAAGGTGTGCAATAACAGAAAAAAGTTGCAATTCCTTGCCTACACTGTGAGACAAACCTCAGCCACATCTCCAGCACACAAGAACTTCCAAACACCTGAACTGCAGCAGCCAGGCATTCCTCCAGAACCTCCTCCCCCAGGAGCTTGCTACACATGCTGGAAATCTGCCACTGGGCCAAGGAATGCCCACAGCACGGTATTCCTCCTAAGCCACGTCCCATCTGTGTGGGACCCCACCGAAAATCGGACTGTTCATCTCACCTGGCAGCCACTCCCAGAGCCCCTGGAACTCTGGCCCAAGGCTCTCTGACTGACTCCTTCCCAGATCTTCTCGGCTTAGCGGCTGAAGACTGACACTGCCCGATCACCTCGGAAGCCCCCTAACCCATCACAGACGCTGAGATTTGGGTAACTCTCACGGTGGAAGGTAAGCCCGTCCCCTTCTTAATACAGAGGCTACCCATTCCACATTACCTTCTTTTTAAGGGCCTGTTTCCCTTGCCTCCATAACTGTTGTGGGTATTGACGGCCAGGCTTCTAAACCTCTTAAAACTCCCCAACTCTGGTGCCAACTTAGACAATACTCTTTTAAGCACTCCTTTTTAGTTATCCCCACTTGCCCAGTTCCCTTATTAGGCTGAGACACTTTAACTAAATTATCTGCTTCCCTGACTATTCCTGGACTACAGCTATATCTCATTGCCACCCTTCTTCCCAATCCAAAGCCTACTTTGCGTCCTCCTCTTGTATCCCCCCACCTTAACACAGAAGTATAAGATACCTCTACTCCCTCCTTGGCAACCGATCATGCACCCCTTACCATCTCATTAAAACCTAATCACCCTTACCCCGCTCAATGTCAAGATCCCATCCCACAGCACACTTTAAAAGGATTAAAGCCTGTTATCACTCGCCTGCTATAGCATGGCCTTTTAAAGCCTATAAACGCTTCTTACCATTCCCCCATTTTACCTGTCCTAAAACCAGACAAGACTTACAAGTTAGTTCAGAATCTGCGCCTTATCAACCAAATTGTTTTGCCTATCCACCCCGTGGTGCCAAACCCATATACTCTCCTATCCTCAATACCTCCCTCTACTACCCATTATTCTGTTCTAGATCTCAAACATGCTTTCTTTACTATTCCTTTGCACCCTTCATCCCAGCCTCTCCTTGCTTTCACTTAGACTGACCCTGACACCCATTAGGCTCAGCAAATTACCAAGGCTGTACTGCCGCAAGGCTTCACAGACAGCCCCCATTACTTCAGTCAAGCCCAAATTTCATCCTCATCTGTTACCTATCTCGGCATAATTCTCATAAAAACACACATGCTCTCCCTGCTGATCGTGTCCGATTAATCTCCCAAACCTCAATCCCTTACAAAACAACAACTCCTTTCCTTCCTAGGCATGGTTAGTGCGGTCAGAATTCTTACACAAGAGCCAGCACCGCACCCTGCAGCCTTTCTGTCCAAACAACTTGACCTTACTGTTTTAGCCTAGCCCTCATGTCTGCATGCAGCGGCTGCCACTGCTTTAATACTTTTAGAGGCCCTCAAAATCACAAACTATGCTCAACTCACTCTCTACATTTCTCATAACTTCCAAAATCTATTTTCTTCCTCATACCTGACGCATATACTTTCTGCTCCCCGGCTCCTTCAGCTGTACTCACTCTTTGTTAAGTCCCACAATTACCATTGTTCATGGCCAGGACTTCAATCCAGCCTCCCACATTATTCCAGATACCACACCTGATCTTCATGACTGCATCTGTCTGATCCACCTGATGTTCATCCCATTTCCCCACATTTCCTTCTTCCCTGCTTCTCACCCTGATCACGCTTGATTTACTGATGGCAGTTCCACCAGGCCTAATCACCATACACCAGCAAAGGCAGGCTATGCTATAGTACAAGCCACTAGCCTGCCTCTTAGAACCTTTCATTTCCTTTCCATCATAGAAATCTATCCTCAAGGAAATAACTTCTCAGTGTTCCATCTGCTATTCTATCTGCTATTCTACTACTCCTCAAGGATTATTCAGGCCCCCTCCCTTCCCTACACATCAAGCTCGAGGATTTGTCCCTGCCCAGGACTGGCAAATTAGCTTTACTCAACATGCCCTGAGTCAGATAACTAAAATACCTCTTAGTCTAAGTAGACACTTTCACTAGATAGGTAGAGGCCTTTCCTACAGGGTCTGAGAAGGCTACCGCAGTCATTTCTTCCCTTCTGTCAGACATAATTCCTCAGTTTAGCCTTCCCACCTCTATACAGTCTGATAACAGACCAACCTTTATTAGTCAAATCAGCCAAGCATTTTTTCAGGCTCTTAGTATTCAGTGACAGACTAATGGTCTATTAAAAACACACCTCACCAAGCTCAGCCACCAACTTAAAAAGGACTGGACAATACTTTTACCACTTTCCCTTCTCAGAAGTCAGACCTGTCCTCAGAATGCTACAAGGTACAGCCCATTTAAGCTCCTGTATAGATGCTCCTTTTTATTAGGCCCCAGTCTCATTCCAGACACCAGACCAACTTAGACTGTGCCCCCAAATAACTTGTCATCCCTACTATCTTCTCTCTAGTCATACTCCTATTCACCGTTCTCAACTACTCATACATGCCCTGCTCTTGTTTACACTGCTGGTTTACACTGTTTCTCCAAGCCATCACAGCTGATATCTCCTTGTGCTATCCCCAAACTGCCACTCTTAACTCTTGAAGTAAATAAATAATCTTTGCTGGCAGGACTATGACGAAGCTCTGTAGGCACTCTCTAATTAGATGTCCTAGGTCCTCCCAATTCTTAGTCCTTTTATACCTGTTTTTCTCCTTCTCTTATTCCATTTAGTTTTTCAATTCATACAAAACCGTATCCAGGCCATCACCAATCATTCTATACGACAAATGTTTCTTCTAACAACCCCACAATATCACCCCTTACCACAAAATCTTCCTTCAGCTTAATCTCTCCCACTCTAGGTTCCCACACCACCCCTAATCCCGCTTGAAGGAGCCCTGAGAAACATCGCCCATTCTCTCTCCATACCGCCCCCCAAAAATTGTCGCCGACCCAACGCTTCAACACTATTTTGTTTTATTTTTCTTATTAATATAAGAAGGCAGGAATGTCAGGCCTCTGAGCCCAAGCCAGGTCATTGCATCCCCTGTGACTTGCACATATATGCCCAGATGGCCTGAAGTAACTGAAGAATCACAAAAGAAGTGAAAAGGCCCTGCCCCGCCTTAACTGATGACATTCCACCATTGTGATTTGTTCCTGCCCCACCTTAACTGAGTGATTAACCCTGTGAATTTCCTTCTCCTGGCTCAGAAGCTCCCCCACTGAGCACCTTGTGACCCCCGCCCCTGCCCACCAGAGAACAACCCCCTTTGACTGTAATTTTCCATTACCTTTCCAAATCCTATAAAATGGCCCCACCGCTATCTCCCTTGGCTGACTCTCTTTTCGGACTCAGCCCACCTGCACCCAGGTGAAATAAACAGCTTTATTGCTCACACAAAGCCTGTTTGGTGGTCTCTTCACACGGATGCGCATGAAAGTAACTATGTGGTTAAGTATTTAAGTGATTCTCATAGTTACATATGTTGAATGAAAATTGTCAGTACAAAGTTATGAACATATATTGTAGGGTGTCACCACATATAGAAGTAAATTATATGAAATCAGTGGCAAAGAATAAGAAAGAAAGTAAGTGGAAATGTCAGAGATGTTTGAACCAGAGCAACTCCATCTTGAATAGGAGCTGGGTTAAAATAAAGCTGAAACCTACTGGGCTGCATTCTCAGATTAGGTATTCTAAGTCACAGATGTGGGGAAAAGAAAGAGAAATCAGATTGTTACTGTGTCTGTGTAGAAAGAAGTAGACATAGGAGACTCCATTTTGTTCTGTACTAAGAAAAATTCTTCTGCCTTGAGATGCTGTTGATCTGTAACCCTACCCCCAACCGTGTGCTCCCTGAAACATGTGCCCTGTCAACTCAGGGTTAAATACATTAAGGGCTGTGCAGGGTGTGCTTTGTTAAACAAATGCTTGAAGGCAGCATGTTTGTTAAAAGTCATCACCACGCCCTAATCTCAAACCACTCCCTAATCTCAAGTACCCAGAGATATAAAATACTGCGGAAGGCCGCAGGGACCTCTGCCTAGGAAAGCCAGGTATTGTCCAAGGTTTCTCCCCATGTGATAGTCTGAAATATGGCCTCGTGGAAAGGGAAAGACCTGACCGTCCCCCAGCCCGACACCCGTAAAGGGTCTGTGCTGAGGAGGATTAGTAACAGAGGAAGGAGCGCCTCTTTGCAGCTGAGATAAGAGGAAGGCTTCTGTCTCCTGCTCGTCTCTGGGCAATGGAATGTCTCGGTGTAAAGCCAATTGTATATTCCATCTACTGAGATAGGGGAAAACCACCTTAGGGCTGGAGGTGGGACATGCTGGCAGCAATACTGCTCCTTAAGGCATTGAGATGTTTATGTATATGCACATCAAAAGCACAGCACTTTTTTCTTTACCTTGTTTATGATGCAGAGACATTTGTTCACGTCTTTACCTTCTGACCTTCTCTCCACTATTATCCTATTATCCTGCCACACCCGATAATGATCAATAAATACTAAGGGAACTCAGAGGACGGTGCCGGCGTGGATCCTCCTTATGCTGAACGCCAGTCCCCTGGGCCCCTTTTTCTTTCTCTATACTTTGTCTCTGTGTCTCTTTCTTTTCCAAGTCTCTCGTTCCACCTAACGAGAAACACCCACAGGTGTGGAGGGGCAACCCACCCCTTCAATAGAATGAGATAGGGGGTCAGCACAAGATACAGGTCATAAAGACCTTGCTGCTAAAACAGGTTGCAGTAAAGAAGCTGACCAAAACTAGACGGCTACAAGAATGACCTCTGGTCGTCCTCATTGCTATACTCCCACTAGTGCTATGACAGTTTACAAATACCATAGCAACATCAGGAAGTTACCCTATATGGTCTAAAGAAGGGAGGCATGAAGAATCCACTCTTTGTTTAGCACATAATCAAGAAATAACGATAAAAATGGGCAACCAGCAACCCTCAGGGCTTCTCTGTCTGATGTAGCCATTGTTGATTCCTTTACTTTCTTAATAAATTTAGTTTCCTTTACTCTAAGGGCTCACCCTGAAATCTTTCTTGTGCAAGATCCAAGAACACTCTCTTGGGGTCTGGATCAGGACCCCTTTCCAGTAACCGTAACATATTGCTAAATAATAACAAAAAACATAGAAATAAAAGATAAAGGTTATAAGCCAAAATAAACAATAAAATAGAACATCAAATCACCATTACTCCAAAAAGACGCAGCAAAACAAGAAAATTTAGAAAAGAACAAAGTACATAGGTGACAAAGAGAAAACAGCAAGTTAGATATAGATTTTATTTTTCAGCCAAGATGGGCATAACGAAGTGGGAGAAGTTCCCTTATCCCCCTCACAGGACATGCAACAGTGGTGTGGCTCTCTTCTTCAGTGCCCACCCACTACTCAAACCCCTAGGAGGAGCATGCAGACAGGCAGCTGCAGAAGTCGTGGGGAGCATTTTTGGGCTTCGATCCCACGACACCATCTAGGGATGAGTGTTTATAGCTATTGAAGCCCCAGTGGGCACATGTTACAGTGTGCTCTTTCAGGTTTGCCAACTGCAGGAAGCTTGTGTTAATCAGCTAAATTAGACCCTCTGCCTCTTCGCAAGAACAGAGAGCTTTCCATATCCTGAGTACTTGCCCTAGTGTACAGGAAAAATTGGATCACACATGGGTTTGGAGGATGAGTGTAAGTTTTTATTGAGTGATGGAGGTAGCTCTCAGCGAGGTGAATGGGGAGCCAGAAGAGGAATGCATTGGGAACGTGGTCTTCCCCTGGAGTCAGGCCACCAGTGGCCAGACTCTCCTCTGACCGCCCCAGGCCAAATTCCCCTTGGCATCCACATCTTTCCACCATCAATGGCCTACCAGTGTCTGCTGGTGTGTGTCAGTGTGTTCTTTTACTCCTCCCAATGTCCAACTACTTGTGTCTGTGCCCACTAGGTCTCAGGTTTTTATGGATACAGAATGGCGGGGGGTGTAGTGGGCCAAAAGACAATTTTTTGGGTGTGAAAACAGAAATGTTTTTCCTCACTTAGGTTCCTGGCACAGGTCCAAGGTGTAGCCCTCACCAGGTACCCCACCCTTCTCTAACTAGTACTTCCCTGCTCCCCTCCAGTATCAATAACAGAGACCAAATTTACTGTCTACTTTGGAACAATCATACCACAGACAAAATGTTTGCAAGATACTGGATACTGGGTAGTGCAAGTTAGCGATAGCTGTGAGATGGTGTGTGTGTGTGTGTATTTGTGTGTGTGTCCCATCCTAATAGTCTGCCTTGGAACAGGTACAAAAAGAGTATTTTTAGGCTATTGCACAGAAAGGGAGGATTCTGTCATAGCATGTTGGACTCCCTGAGTTAGCAGGTGTAGCTGAGAATTCAGAAAAATTAAGGTGGCAAGAATTTGCATCACAGAGAACTGGAGAGCAGAGAGAGAACTTAAGAGATATGCAGAGGATCTGCTCAAATATTCAGATGACTACTAAGCTTAGCTTGTGTGCAAAGTCCCCAAGGGAAGAAATGGGAACATAAAATAAAGTTTGAGTAATATTGAGAATTATGAAAATGTTCAAATTTTGATAAAAATTATAAACTCGCATATCTAAGAAACTCAACAATCTCCAAGTAAAAGAAACATAAAGAAAATTACACCGAGACAATTTAATTAAATTGCTCATACAAAGGAAGTAGCAGAAAGTATTACAATCTTCCCAAAGAAAAACCCATGTTATGTGCATGGAAGCAAAGATAAACTTGTCAGAATATTTATTTTAGTATGGGACAATGCAAACAAGAAAATAGTGGAACATTACATGCAATAACCTCTTAAAAGAGAGGGTGAAGACTTCTCTCAAACGTATAAAACCTAAACAAATTCACCAACAGACACACATTACAAGAAATGTTTAAGGAAGTCCTTCAATCAAAGTGAAAATGGTACCAGAGGGATATGTGGAACTACACAAAAGAATAAGAAACATTGGAAAAGAAACTATACAGGTAAACATAGGAGTTTTTTAAGGTATAAATTCTTCTGAAATATACTTACCTGGTTGCAAAAAAAATGATAACAATATAATGAATGTATAACATATATAAAATAAAAATGTATAACAATAACACAAAAGTTAAAAAGTGAGAAATGAAAATATACTAGTATAAGTTTCTTACAGTATATGTAAAGTAGTATGATATAATTAGAAGTTACAATATGATGAATTAAAAACATATGCTATTAACTCTAAGCAGCTATTAAAACATGAAACCAAAATTATAGTTAATAAGCCGAGAGGTAAAATAATACAATAAAAATAATAGTTTAGCTAGAATGTTGGCTAAAAAGAAAAAAAAAGGAAGAATGGAAGAAGGGACAAAAAAGGACTAATAGAAAAAATGATTTAATTGAAATCTAATTGCTGGGCGTGGTGGCTCATGCCTGTGATCCCAGCATTTGGGAGGCAGAGGACCACTTGAGACCTGAAGTTCAAGAATGGCCTGGGCAATAGGGTGAGACCTCTTCTCCAACAATTTTAAACATTAGCTGGGCATGGTGATGCACACCTCTGGTCCTAGCTACTCAAAAGGCAGAATATTTGGGAGGCTGAGGTGGGAGGGTCATTTGATCCCAGAAAGTCAAGGCTGTAGTGAGCCTGATTGTGCCATTGCTTTCCCTGGGTGACAGAGCAAGACCCTGAGTCCAAAAAGAAAAAAAAAATAAAAGGAAGAAAGAAGAAAAAGAAAAAAATTCAATAATATCAATAATCACATTAAAAGTCAATGTTCTAAATATTCAACATAATACAACTGAATTCAAAATTTAAAAAGACTACACTACATCCTGCCTTAAAATAAAATAAACTCTTAACACACATTATTTTAAAAATTGTAAAAATTTTTTAAATAATCAAAAAACAGTTGAAATGGCTATTTCAATATCTAAGTATTTTTCAGAACAAAGAATATTACCAGTTATAAATAGTCATTTCATAATGGCAAAAGCGATGTAATAACCTTAAACTCATATTCATCAAATAACAGAAATTTCAAATTACCTAATGCATAGTGCTGACAACCACAAAGAAAGATAAATTCACAAATACAGTAGGAATTTTGAATAACTGATAGAGCCAGAAGACAGTTAGTCAGTAGAAATATAGAAGATTTGAACACTACCAACAACCAACATGACCAAATTGACATTTATAAAATAACCTTAAAATAGCTGGCAATTCTTTCCAAATATTCACAAATTATTTACCAATATCATGCGTATTGTTGGCCATAAAGGAAATCTCAATATGTTTTTAAAAATTCCAGGGCCCGGCGTGGTGGCTCACGCCTGTGATCCCAGCACTTTGGGAGGCCGAGGCGGGTGGATCACGAGGTCAGGAAATCGAGACCATCCTGGCTCACACGGTGAAACCCCGTCTCTACTAAAAATACAAAAAATTAGCCAGGCGTGGTTGTGGGCGCCTATAGTCCCAGCTACTCTGGAGGCTGAGGCAGGAAAATGGCGTGAACCCAGTAGGCAGAGCTTGCAGTGAGCTGAGATCGCACCACTGCACTCCAGCCTGGGCGACAGAGCAAGACTCCACCTCAAAAAAAAAGAAAAAAAAAATCCAGCTGTCTGACCACAAAATAATTACATTTGAAATAAATAACAGAGCTATCCCTAGAGAACTCCAAAATATTTGAAAAGTAGATGCACAATTCTAAATAACCCATGACCCAAAAAACAAATCACAAAGAAAAGTAGTTTCTTGGACATTAATGAACATGTAACTACAACATACACAAGTTTATGGGATGCTTATAAAGCTAGAAAGGAAATTAATAGCTCTAAGTGCTTATATTGGATTAAAATAAAAATTTTTAAACTGTTGATTTAATCACCCACTCTAAGAATTTAATAAAAAAAGAAAAGCAAAATTCAAATGAAAATAAGTTAAAGAAAGAAAATAATAAAGAGCTGAGTAGAAAAAAATGTAAAAATATGGACAAAAACAACATTCCATAAGATCAATTCTGATTAGTTAACAATAGTTATGAAGTTGATAAACTTCTTGCAAGATTGATCAAAGAAAGATAAATTTATAAATAATTAAACTAAAGAGCTTCTGCACAGCAAAAGAAACTACCATCAGAGTGAACAGGCAACCCACAGAATGGGAGAATATTTTTGCAATCTACTCATCTGACAAAGGGCTAATATTCAGAATCTACAATGAACTCAAACAAATTTACAAGAAAAAAAAACAACTCCATCAAAATGGGTGAAGAATATGAACAGACACTTTTCAAAAGAAGACATTTATGCAGCCAACACACACATGAAAAAATGCTCATCATCACTGGCCATCAGAGAAATGCAAATCAAAACCACAGTGAGATACCATCTCACATCAGTTAGAATGGCGATCATTAAAAAGTCAGGAAACAACAGGTGCTGGAGAGGATGTGGAGAAATAGGAACACTTTACACTGTTGGTGGGACTGTAAACTAGTTCAACCATTGTGGAAGTCAGTGTGGCGATTCCTCAGGGATCTAGAACTAGAAATACCATTTGACCCAGCCATCCCATTACTGGGTATATACCCAGAAGATTATAAATCATGCTGCTATAATCACACGTGTACATGTGCGTTTATTGCGGCACTAAACACAATAGCAAAGACTTGGAACCAACCCAAATGTCCAACAAGGATAAACTGGATTAAGAAAATGTGGCACATATACACCATGGAATACTGTGCAGCCATAAAAAATGATGAGTTCATGTCCTTTGTAGGGACATGGATGAAGCTGGAAACCATCATTCTGAGCAAACTATCACAAGGACAAAAAACCAAACACCGCATGTTCTCACTCATAGGTGGGAATTGAACAATGAGAACACATGGACACAGGAAGGGGAACATCACACACCAGTGCCTGTTGTGGGGGAGGGGGAGGGGGAAGGGATAGCATTAGGACATATACCTAATGCTAAATGACAAGTTAATGGGTGCAGCACACCAACATGGCACATGTATACATATGTAACTAACCTGCACGTTGTGCACATATACCCTAAAACTTAAAGTATAATAAAAATAAAAATAAAAAAACAAAAAAAGAAAAAATAATAATAATACATGAATGAGGAGACATTACTATACATTCTGCAAACATTGAAATTATAAGAAAATATTACGAACTTTTTTTTTTTTTTTTGGGTCGGAGTTTCACTCTTGTAGCCCAGGCTGGAGTGCAATGGCACGATCTTGGCTCACTGCAACCTCCGCCTCGGGGTTCAAGCAATTCTTCCGCCTCAGCCTCCCAAGTAGCTGGGATTACAGATGCTCGACACCATGCCTAGCTAATTTTTTGTATTTTTAGTATAGACCGGGTTTCACCATACTGGCCAGGCTGGTCTTGAACTCCTGACCTCAGATGATCCACCCGCCTTCGCCTCCCAAAGTGATGGGGTTAGACTGAGCCACTGCCATGAACAATTTCATGTAACAATTTCGACTATCTAGATATATTAGAAAATTTCTTTAAAATACAGATTGCAGCTCTCATGTTCCTTTCTTGGTCACACAAGGCAGCTTCTTCGGATTTTGAAATAGCAGATACATATGAAACACTTTAGTTTCAGGGAAGCTACAGTTTCATACCAAGAATTTTTTTTAATTACTCTTCTGATCATGTAAGTAAAACCAGGTATGACAAGGCTAAATAGCAAGAATTATGAAAACATAAACTAGGTGCAAAATACTGATTCATTTATTTTTCACCAGAAAATACGCTGAGAAGATAGTGCAAGTTGTCTTTGATATAGGAATATATTAATGTCTTGATAGTACATTTCTTTCAGGTTTGATCAATTGTTAGCACTGTGACTCCAGGTCACTCAGAGGTTGCGCAAAGTTGTAGCAGGCAAGCTGAGTTTAACCATATATGCTTAATTAGTAGTAGTGTGACAGTGTTAATCGCCTAATGTTGATTATGTTCTACAATTATGCAGGTGTGACACTGGGGGAAGCTGGGTGAAGATGTGTAATACCTTTTTGTGATATTTTTTGCAACTTCTTGTTTGTCTACAATTACTGCAAAATAAAAAGTAAAAATAAGGGCAGTCTGTTACCATAATTGTCTATTCTCTGTTCAGTCTTCTGTAAAACATGAGACAATCTGCCTGTTCTGAAAGTCTAACTGACAAAATCACATTTTTAGACCTAAGTTTAAAGAAGGCATGTTTTGCAGAAGCTCCTATTAGTCTTGCCCATTATAAGCTTGTAATACTTGAGAATGATATGACGTAGTGAAAAGAAAAATATGTCCAGAGAACTCCTATATAGCAAGTAAAGGTATTATCAAATACCAAGTTATCAGCAATGCTACCTCTTTATCTTCTATTTTCTTCAGTAATTATTTTGTCTTTAACTATGTAACTCTTATATGCAGGTGTGAGTTTTAACTTTAGGATAAAAGAGAGTAACTGATAAATATAGTTTATTTTAAAATCAAATTATTCTTACTTAAAATATTAGAGCCCATTTTAACAGTTTTACTAAAGTTCCAATAAAGCTCTTTAATTATAAAGGAAAATTAATCTCTCTCTTTTTCATACACACATGCACACACAACACACATACATACACACAAAAAAAGACACATACACAATGACATCTAAAGGGCTTTTTGTGGCATTTTAAAAATACATTAAATAACATTTTCTACATATTTGCCAACCCCAGTTCCTATACAATATCTGGTATGACTGTATATTTTTTAAATTTTGTACTTTTGCTGTATACTAATCTGCAAAGAAGGATAATTTGCATTCTTTCTTTCCAGTTTGGATGACCTTTATTTCTTTCATTTGTCTGATTTCTCTAGCTAGTAATATGTTGAAAAACAGTGGTGAAAGTACACATCCTTGTTGTGTTCCCAGTCTTAGAGGAAAGGTGTTCTGTTTTTCCCTACTCAGTGTGATAGTAGCTATGGGTCTGTTGTATATGGCTTTTATTATGTCCAGGTACGTTCTTAATATACCCCGGTTTTTGAGGTTTTTATGAGGAAGCGATGTTGAATTTTATCAAATGCTTTCTCAGCATCAATTGAAATTATCATATGGTTTTTGTCTCTTATTCTGTTGATATGATGAATCACATTGATTGATTTACATATGTTGAACCTCCCTTGCATCCCAGGGATAAATCCCACTTCACCATGATGAATGATTTCTTTAACTTATTGTTTAATTTGATACACTAGTGTTTTGATGAGCATATTTATATTCATCAGTGATATTGCTTATAGTCATCTTTATTTGAGGTCTCTTTGTCTGGTTTTGGTATCAGGGTAATACTGGCTTCATACAATGAATCTAGAGATATTCACTCTTCCTCTGCTTTTTAGGATGGTTTGAGTAGGATTTGTGTTAGTATTTTCTTAAATGTTTGGTAGAACTCAGTGAGGAAACCATCAAGTCTGAGGCTTTTCTTTTTGGGAGAATTTTATGATTGCTTCAATCTTGTTACTTGTTATTGGTCTGTGCAGGTTTTGGATGTCTTCCTGATTCAATATTGGCAGGTTGTATGTATCTAGGAATTTATTAATTTCTTCTCTATTTTCCAATTTATTGGCATACATTTGCTTATAGTAGCCTCTAATGATCCTTTGAATTCCTGCAGCAACAATCATAATGGTAATGTCTTCTTTTTCATTTCTGATTATATTTATTTGGATATTCTCCTTTTTTTTCTTAGTTAGCCTGGCTAAAAGTTTTCAATTTTGTTTATCTTTTCAAAAAACAAACTTTTTGTTTTGTTGATCTTTTGTATTGTTTTCTTCATTTTAAATTTATTTATTTGTGCTCTGATCTTTATTATGTATTTTCTTCTACTAACTTTGGGTTTGGTTTGATCCCGCTTTTCTAATTCTTCAAGATGCATTTTAGGTAGTTTATTTGAAGTTTTTCTTCTTTTATGATGTAAGTATATATAGCTATAAAGTTCCCTCTTAGTACTGTTTTTGCTGTATCCCATAGGTTTTGGTATGTTGTGTTTTCATTATCATTTGCTTCAAAATATTTTTCAATTTTCTTAATTTCTTCATTGATGCACTCATCATTCAGGTACATATTGTTTAATTTCCATTTGTTTATAAAGTTTCCAAATTACCTGTTTGATTTATGAGTAGTTTTATTCCACTGAAGTCAGAGAAGATGCTTAATATTATTTCAATTATTTTGAGCACTTTAAGAATTGTTCTGTGACCCAACATATGGTCTATCTTCGAGAAAGATCCGTGTGCTGAGGAAAAGAATGTGTATTCTGTAGCTTTTGGAGGAAATATTCTGTAAATATTTATGGGTCAATTTGGTCAGTAGTGCATATTAAGCCTGATGTGTCTTTGTTGATTTTATGTCTGGAAGATCTGTCCGGTGCTGAAAATGTGATGGTGAAGTTTCCAGCTCTTATTGTATTGAGGCCTATCTTTCTATTTATCTCTAGAATTATTTGCTTTACATATCTGGGTGCTCCTGTGTTGGGTGTTGTATTAGCCAGGGTTTTTTACAGGGATAGAATTAATAGGATAGATGTATATATAAAGGGGAGATTATTAAGGAGTATTAACTCACACAATCACAAGGTGAAGTCCCACAGTAGGCTATCTGCAAGCTGAGGGGCAAGGAAGCCAATATGAGTCTCAAAGCTGAAGAACTTGGAGTCTGATGTTCAAGGGCAGGAAGCATCCAGCATGGGAGAAAGATGTAGGCTTGGAGGCTAAGATTGTCTAATCTGTCTGCGTTCTTTTGCCTACTTTTATTCTGACCATGCTGGCAAATGATTAGATTGTGCCCACCCTAATTAAGGATGGGTCTTCCTTTTCCAGTCCACTGACTCAAATGTTAATCTCCTTTGTCAACACCCCCACAGACACACCAAGCAACAATACTTTGCATGCTTCAATCCAATCAAGTTGACACTCAATATTAACCATCATATATATGATAAAGTTGTAAATTGAGAAAGAAGATATAACAATTATATATATGTGTGTATATATAGATATTTATATATGTGCATATATATACACACACATATATACATGCACACATATATATAAAGAGAAAGAGAATTGTTATATACATATATGTGTGTTTGTAAATATATATCCTCTCACTGAATTTACTATTGTTATATTCCCTTCATGAATTTACAATTTTATCATTATAAAATGGACTTCTTTGTCTGTTCTTATCATTTTTGCCTTGAAGTCTCTTTTTTCTGATATAAGTATAGCTACTCCTGGTCTTTCTTAGTTTTCAATTGCATAGAATATCCTTTCCCATCCCTTTATTTTTACTTTGTGTTTTTTATAGGTGAAGTGTTTTCTCGTTGGCAAGAGATTTGTGGGTCTTGTTTTTTCTTCCATTCAGCCAGGCTGAAACTCTCTTCATTAGAGAGTTTAGTCCATTTGCATTTAATGTTATAATCAATAATAACCATTTTGTTATTTGTTTTATGGTTGTTTTATGATATTTTCTTTCTTATTTTTTTGTTTCCTTTTAGTCTTCCTTTTAGTAAAGGTGATATTCTCTGATAATATGTTTTAATTTCTTGCTTTTTTATTTTTTGTATATTCATTGTGTTTCTTGACATGAGTTTATCATGAGACTGGCAAATTATATGATTTTAAACTTATAACAACTTAACACTGTTAAGTAAACAAACCAAAAGCAAAAAAAAAAAAAAACTAATAAAAACTATATACCTTAACTTCATACCCCTGCTTTTTAAGTTTTTATTGTTTCTGTTAATATTTTATTATACTGTCTATGTCTTGAAAGGTTTTTGTTGCTATTATTTTTTATTGGTTCATTACTGAGTCTTTCTAGTTAAGATAAGAGTAGTTTACACATCACAGTTACAATGTTATAATATTCTGCTTTTTCTGTGTACTTACAATTACCAGTGAGTTTTGTACCTTCAGCTGATTTCTTATTGCTCATTAACATGTTTTTCTTTCTGATTGAACTACACCGTTTAGTATTTCTTGTAGGAAACATCTAGTGTTGATGAAAAACCCCAGCTTTTGTTTTCATAGGAGTTTTTATTTTTTCTTCCTGTTTGAAGGATATTTTTGCCAGATATACTATTCTAGGGGAAAAGGTTTTTTCTTCATTACTTAAAATATGTCATGCCACTCTCTCCTGGCCTGTAATATTTCCAATGAAAAGTCTACTGCTAGCCCTTTTGGAGCTCCATTGTATGTTTTTTGTTTCTTTTCTCTTGATGGTTTTAGAATCCTTTTTTTTTAACCCTGATCTTTGGGAGTTTGAATATTAAATGCCTTGAAGTAGTCTTCTTTGTTTTAAATCTGCTTGGTGTTCTATAACCTTCTTGTATTTGGATATTGATGTCTTTCTCTAGGTTTGGGAAATTCTCTGTTATTATCTCTTTGAATAAACTTTCTATTACTATCTCTTTCTCTACCTCCTCTTTAAGGCCAATAACTCTTAACATTTGTCCCTTTGAGGCTATTTTCTAGATTCTGTAAATGTGCTTAATTATTTTTTATTCTTTTTAATTTTGTCTCATCCAGTTGTGTATTTTTAAATAGCCTGTCTTCAAGCTCATTAATTCTTTTTTCTGTTTGACCAGTTCTGCTATTAAAGGACTCTGATGCATTCTTCATGCCAGTTGCATTATTCAGCTTCAGAATGTCTGCTTGCTTCTATTTAATTATTTCTATCTCTTTGTTAAATGTATCTGATAGAATTCTGAAATCCTTCTGTGTGTTTATCTAGAAATTCTTTGGGTTTCCTCAACACAGTTATTTTGAATTATCTGTCTGAAAGATCACGTATCTCTGTTTCTCAAGGACTGGTCCCTAGTGCCTTATTTAGTTCATTTGGTGTGGTCATGTTTTCCTGTATGGCCTTGATGCTTATAGATGTTTGTCTCTGTCTGGGCATTGAAGAGTAGTTATTTATTGTATTCTTCTCAGTTTGGGATTGTTTGTACCCATCTTTCTTGGGAACAATTTTTAGGTATTTGAAAAAACTTGTGTGTTTTTACGTAAGCTGTATCTGAATTAGGGGGTACCCAAAGCCTACTACAGCTTTGTTCTTGCAGATTTGCACTGGTATCACTTTGATCATCTTGGGTAAGATCCAGAAGAATTTTCTGGATTACCAAGCAGATACTTTGTTTTCTTCCCTTAAGTTCTCCTGTACAAATTGAGTCTCTCTCTCTCTCTCTGTTTTCTTAGCCCCCATGAACTGGGTGTGGAGTGACACAAGCATCCCTGTGGCCACAACTGGGAGTGTACTGGATCAAATATTCCACCTCCTTCTTTTGCTTGTAAAGGCTTTATGATTACATTAAACCCACCAGAATCACCCAGGATAATCTTCTTATTTCATGATTATTATATTAGGAAACTCATTTCTGTCTGAAACTTTAATTCATTTTGCCTTGAAGGTAACATATTCACAGGCATAACATAAGAAGGTGAAAATCCTGGGGACAAAAATCCTACCATGCCCTGACTACCGTCACTACCAGCGGCTCATTGTGCTTCCTACTGCTGAATCTCTGGCCACTATGCTTAGACGTGTCATTTCCCAGAGGGAAAACATTTTATACAAAGGACACAGCAAGATTCTCGTAAAGCTTAAGCTGTGTTGAATACTTCAGGGTCCTGTGTGAACAGATCAGCAGGCAAGAAAAGGAGCCACCATCTTGGCAGGAGATTGTTCTTCATGGTCAGGAAGCAGGACTGCTACTACACAGGAAGGAAGGAAAGAATACCTTTCACAATACATTCTTCTACCTCCTTACCCAATTTTGACTGTAAGTGGATAAGGGTGACAGACTTGGCCTAAGAATGTGAGTGTCTCAGACAGCTGCGGGATAAGATATCTGAATCACACAAACAGGCAATCCATTTAGAGCTGTAAAGTTGATAGAGGAGGAGGGTAAGAGGAGTCAAAATCTGTGGGATGCAGCAAAGCTGTTTTTATATAGGGATACATTTTTTTTAAAAAAGTAAAAATCTAAAAGGTAACTAAAACTATTTCTCAGGAGCACCTAGAGCTGCAAGAGGTATCCAGCAATATTTTTGAATACAAATTAATATTAAACTAAATTATAAGGATAGTTAATAATATATAAAAGTATTCTTTCAATACAGTCTGTGATGCTCTATCAGAGATAAAAATTAAAATAAACTGGCAAAGTTCCCAGTCTTGAAAATATATTTGAAGCCATATTGAAGGATTAAAAAGAGCAGTTTCATAGTGAACTAGAAAATTAAAAAAAAAACAAAAACGGTTGTTATCAATACCAGTGCAAGGGGAACACACACACACACCACACACAAACACACACACACACACACATGCATACACACACACACACTTCTTTTAGGCAATGTTCACAAGAAATTTATAGGTAAAAACCAGAGAGAATCTTCACAGTGTCTTGTTGCATCATAGACAAGCTGATGATGTCAATCTAATTGAAGAGAGTAACTTAAATTATCTAAGAAAAATTATTTTTTATTTTCTATGCCAAAATTTAAACATATACTCTCTCTCTCTTAGTTCTCTGCAAGATAAAAAGGCTATATAAAATTTTGACTAAAATTTAAAACTTCACTGTAAGGCATTACTGAGATGATATACCACCAATAATCATGTCTGCTTCTCATATATGAAAAATAGTATAAACAATCCAGAATAATTTTCCAATTTAAAAAAAATCTGAACTAGATGCTTTTTGACTGTCATTATTCAGTAATCTGCTTATAAAAATATGCTCTATTATTTCAAAAGGAAAGTTTTACTTGGGAGACTATTCCTACAATAGCCTTATTCGCAATTTGTTAGAAGAGAAAATGTATTACACTGGTTGAACTTTTTCATTAAAATACGCTACTCTGAGTATCAATATATTATAGGTTGAAATATGCACAACAATATAATGTTATACTAAGATCACAAATTAAAGAGCTAAACTGCCTCAATTTGAGCCCATGAAGGCTGGGGTTGGGGTTGCTGAGGAATTTCTTCCTTTTGGAAAGGAAAAGAGAGTGAAGGATGAGGAACAAGAACAGCTTTGGAGTGAGAACAATAGATATAATATGAACAGTATTTCTAATTTAAGATGTTTGAGAAACGTAATTCAAGAAAGTATGTTTTTTGAAATGACTTTGAATTACAGGACTGCATTCTTTTGATACCAACACTACTGTAGATTTAATCAAAGTGGTTGCATCTTTATAAGTCTGGCACAGATACATGCATTCATACCTACTCAAGGCAGAAAGACAGAGACAGAGATAAAGGAAGTATAGTATAGCATATATGAAGTCCATATTACTTATGGACTTAATATACAAATGTATTCAATACTGAAAAATAAAGGGATGTAACAATACAAGATAGTTTTTAAATAGTAAAACAAGGAGAGCAAAATTTTTAAAAAGAAGTTTCTGAAATTTTGAAATTTAGTTTAATTTTCAAATGGCAATGCTTGCTTGGAAATAACTCAATAAAGTGTCTTCTTTCTAAGGAAAACAAGGAGTTCAGAGCTACTTTAGTTATATAGATATACAGACTACAACATTTTTTCATTCCTGAATTTGTTCTAGTGTAATTCATTATGACATATAAAGGCGGCATATAAAGGAAACATTTAGGTTTCAAAAGAATCATTCTGCAAAATGTCACCAAAGTCTGTATAGTTTTGATACAGAGAGATGAGTTATATTGTATCTTAGCAATGTTCTATCTGAAAAGTCTGAATAGCTAATGGAACTTCTTATTAGAGAAGAAACACTAATTCTAAAATAACCACTTCAGACTGTAAGTTTGGTGACTTTAGGTAAATTTGGAGAGAAAGTACTTACTTTGAGGAAAGAAACTGGACTCCATCGCAAGGCTTGGGGAAGAACTCATAGTCACATAGACGACATTAAGTGTGGCTTGGATCTCTCTGAACCAGAGACTGGACCCATGTGGAGCCCATGAGAACACAACCTTAGCCAGTGCCACATCCCCCCCAAATCTGAATGGCTCAGCAATAAAATTCCTTAGTAGAAACCATAGACTGACATAGAATTATAATGATGTAAGGTCATTTTTCCAATCCCGAAAGAGAAAATAGTTTGATATGTGATAAAATATTGAGGACCAAAGCAGATGTGTATACAAAATAAACCTTGCATCTCCTCTATCTATTAAAATTATTGGGGAAGTATGTGTCAGGAGGAAATCCCAGAGGATTTTTAAGAATTTCCTGGAAAAGAAAATCTGTGTCTTGTATACTGTGTGAAAGTTGAGGAAACAAAGCTAAAACAAATACAGCAACAACAAAATTCACTCTCAATACCACCACCACGACCACCACCACCATTTTTCTTTGAATCTGAAGTAGCATGAAAGAATATCCCCAAGTATTCTACATCCCCAGGAGATGTGGTTGAGAATAGAAAAGTACATGCGGAAATAATTCTCTGTTGGGTAAAGGTAACTGCACTGACATGGTGACTAGAAAACAAAATGAGAGTAATTCAATTGTTGCCATATAAGTCCCTGCCCACTTCACTCATCTTCTAAACCAAGGAGAGAAAGAGAAAAAATAGTGAAGGATGAGATAAAATACTGAATTGACTAATTATCTAACTACTGGGATAAGAGAGACAGAGAAAATTGTTTGGCATCAATTTTCTAATAACAGCAGAAATGGGACTCAGGACCTAAGTCTGTGTACAAAAGATAAAGTTCTATGTTTGCAGACTATAAACTTTGTACCTGCTCCACCAGTGAAGACCATCTCAGTATAGTAATAACCATCTTCTAACATAAAGTTAATGCCATTATATGTACCAACAAGTTCTTCCTCATGTTTCAGAATGTTTGAGCAAGGAAAGATACCAAGAAAAAAATGCCCACAAAGAGAAGAAGCAGGAGTAAAAGGAGGAAGAGGAGAAGGAGATAAGGAAGAACTTCTCTGTAAATCTTCTTTTAAATATTGGAATAGAGTAATTTGCATGATGGTGGATATACCATCCATGCAAGCTTAAGTAAAAGGAAAGGTGAAAAAAAAAATGTGTGAGGTAGCCGCTATCTACACTGCCATTATTAACCTTTTACAGAGAACGGAATTAAACTAGATGATTTATCAAAGTACAATCCAGAGCTGTCATTGTATAATTCTACGGTTATTTGATATCAGAATATAATTCAGAGCTTTTAATGTATGTTAGAAAATGCAGTATAACTATCTGTCTCCTGAGCCACAAGCCAAATTGACACTTATGAAGGAAATTGTCAAGAATGGAGTTTACTAAGGAAGCAAAATTCATCCAAAGAAATGGAAAAAAGAAGGAGTAAGATAGGGAAGGATACATTATGAGGGGAAGTAAACAGTAGAGTTGTAAGATGCTCAAGCAGAAAGAACCTGAATTAGGATGGCATATATGAAGAATAGTGCTTATCTAGTTTTATCTATTTCAGATACCTGATTTTTTAATTTATTAGGCAAGTATGTTTCAGGTACAGCACAGGAAACTAAAGAACTGTGTCTTAAGGAATTTGTGTAATCACAATGTAATCAAGACAAAAGCTTAACTAAGAATATTTGAAATTCTGGAAACAAAGTGTGTGTGTATATGTGTGTGTATATATTTGTTTTTATTTATATATGTATAAGATATAATAGGAATACATATTTGGGGACACTGACATCATTAATCCATCAAATAAATACTTATGAAAACCTACTATGAACTAGGCAAAGGCCATATTCTGAAAATAGTAAACAGGAAAAGCACAGTCTTTTTCCTCTTAAAATAAACAATTGTTCAAAACATACTGTGAGTGCTGGTCATGTGTCCCCTACCTATCTTCCCCTGACTCTCTGTATTCTAGTGGGGCTGATGTTTCTGGACAGCATCTCCTTCCCATGTTACTAGGCTTCAGTTTGGGTTCTGCCACAAAAACACACTAGTGGGAGGTCAGAGGTAGAGCCAGAGAGACAAGCAAATCTAAGGTATTCCTTTCTTTTACTGTACTTCCTGCCACTATTTCTAACAGTGGCTACATCTCTTCAGCATTTCCCGGTTCCTCCAGGTGGCCACTCAGCCCATGGTCCCACATCTCACTGGACAGTCTTTTCCATGGTTTCAACTCACATCTGGCCACCCTGGATTTGGGGCACTTATGGCACCACCTTTTCCCTTTGTTCCTATAGATTCCAATTGTTGCTTAAATTTGGGTAGCCCTCTCATCTAGTTTGGCTTTTCAACTCTTCTAAAATCTATATTTAAAAAACTATGTTGTGTGAGCCTTTTTTTTTCTAAACCCTAACTGTTAATAGTGTAATTAAATTAAAGGGAATTATTGATTTTAGATGCTTAGACACACTTGTCACTGGAAACTAACTTATTCTTAGGTCAAGAAAATGTCTCAAGGCATATGTGTTGGGACCTGAAAGTGAGTGGGCATCAGCCAGGTAAAAGGGGAGGAAGATTTCAGACCTGGCAAAAGCATCCTCAAAGACACATGGGGAAAAGTGACACAACACATTCTTGGAGACAAGAGCAGTCCAGAGTATCTATGCCTTATAAAATGATAGCGATTATGACAAGGCAAGACTGAGTAGGTAGAGAAACCTAGAATTATGAAGAGAATTGTAAGTTATGTGAAGGAACTTAGACTTCAACATATAGACTTTGACATAAAGGTAACAGGAAGCTAAAAAGGTCTAATATAGCTCGCAACATGAACAGATTTGCATTTTTTTAGATTACTCAAAAGCTATTAAGAGTACCAAATGATTAGAGTGATATACATATCTTTCTGGAGATTGTAGATGAGAGAAATTTGTTAAATTTCAGCTTGGAATTAAAAGTGTGTCAGTGGAGATGGAAAGAAAGGGTAGGATCAAGAGCTGAGAAGTACATTAGGCAGGAATTCAATATTGATTGCATGTAGGGGAAAATGAAGAAAGATTTGTCCAGTCTGATAAGTGAGTAGATATGGGGATACTTTTACTAAACTGAACACTGAAAAAGATGTGTTTAAAGGGGAAAACTGAGCCAGCATGATTAGTTTAGTGTTTAACATGTGCATGAGGTATTTAAAAAATATTTCAGAAGAAATGTCTAGAAGAGAGTTGTGTTTGGCACTCAGGAAGGGAATACAGATTAACTTGGATTAGGGAGTCATTGGCATGTACAAGGCAATGGAATTCATATAAGTATGGTTATATAACAGAGAGAGCTTGTGTGAGAAGAGAAGGGAGTTTAGTCATCATCATGGGAGAGCATTTAAAGAATGGCAGTGAGAAAGATACAGCAAGGGAAAATAAAAGTGAATATATCTCAAGGAGAAAGAAAGAAAGAACCAAAATTATGTCATCAAATCAGTGGAAAGAATTTTTAAAGGTGTAATAGTCTCAAGTGTGTCACATCCTTCTGAGACATATGTAAAATAGGAAGTAAAAATACATTGGATTAACAATAGGTGAGATATCAGTACCCTTTATGAGAGCAGTTGAAAGGAATGAGGACGATGAAAGCCAGATGTCAGTGGGTTGAGATATGTGTAAGTAGTGAAAAAAATGAGACAAAGAGTCTTGATAATGCCTTATGGGAGCTTATTTCTGGAAAAAAAAATAAGTTATAGATCTGGCAAAACAGGGAAGAATGATCAAGCAGAACTTTCCTGTCTGTGAAGCAGAGAGAAAAGAGGATTTTTAAAGGACTTCAGTAAAGAACCAGTAGATAGAAATTGGCATACAAGAAAATGATGACTAATTAATAATTCTAGCTTCCTCCAGGGAAAGCAGGACAGGGAATTCTGGAGCTCAGAAGGAAGATTGACTACAGATGCAATTGGTTTGTAGATTTAGACATAGGAGAGTCACTATTTCTAGTCAAAGAGTTTCTGTGTGTTTCTTTTTTTTTCAAATTTATTTTAAAAAATAAAGAAATTTTTAAAAAACATATAAAACTCTATGTATTTATCATGTGCAATATGGGGTTGAAAGTATATAAACATTGTGGAATGGTTATCTGGCTAATTAACAAATACATTGACTTCACTATAATATAATATAATATAATATAATATAATATAATATAATATAATATAAATGAAATGTATATGTATTCCATTGCCTTGTGGTGAGAACACAGTATCCACTCAGCATGTTTGAAAAATACAATATATTGTCATTCACAATAGACGTCATGCTGTGCAATAAATTACTTGACCATATTCCTCCTGTCTAACTGTTATTATGTATTTTATGACCAACATCTCACCAAATCCCCTTTTCCAATTCAACCCCATCCATGTAGAATTGAACACAATTCTGCTCTCTACTTCTAAGATCAACTTTTTCAGATTTATATATGAGTGAGATTATACAGCTTTTTTGGGGGGTAGGGGGGTCTTCTTCCACTTAACATAATGTCCTCTTGGGTCATTCATGTTGTCAGAAATTATAAGACTTTCTTCTTTTTAAGGGTAAATATTGTACATACACCATATTTTCTTTATCCATTCATCCTTAGAGGGTCACATGGTTGGTTCCCTATCTTGACTATTGAGAATAATGCTGCAATGACCATGGAATTATAGACATTTCTTCCACATACTGATTTTATTTCCTTTGGATATATACCCAGTAGTGAAATTTCTGGATAACATGGGAGTTCTATTTTTAATGTTTTGAGAAAACTACATACTATTTTCCATAATGGCTGTACATAACAGCATTACATTTCCATTAACAGTGTGTCAGGCTCCTTTTCCCCACATCTTTGCTTACTCTGGTCTTTTTGATAAAAGCCATTCTAATAGAAGTGAGGTGATATCTCTCTGTGGATTTGATTCACATTTCCTTGATAGTGATTTGACCACATTTTCATATACCTGATAGATATTTTTTACAGTGTTTTAAAAAAATCTATTTAGGTATTTTGCCCATTTTAAAATCAGGTTATTTGTTTTCTTGCTATTGAGTTGTTTAAGTTTCTTATATAATCTAGATATTCACCGTTTATCAGATGAATAGTTTGCAAATGTTTTCTCCTATTCTATAGATTCTCTCTTCATTTTGTTGATTTCCTCCTTTGCTATAGAGAAGCTTTTTAATTTGATGTAATCCAATTTGTCTATTTTTGCTTTTGTTGTCTGTGATTTTGTCCTATCCAAAAAGTTGTTGCTCAAGCCAATGTCATGGAACATTCCCCCTATGATTTCTTCTAGTAGTTTCAAAGTTTTGTTATCTTAGGCTTAAGTCTTTAATCGATTTTGAGTTGATTTAATACATTGTAAGAGATGTGGGCCTAATTTCATTCTTCTGCATATGGATATCCAGTTTTACCAACATCATTTATTGAAGATTCTGTCCTTTCCCTAATGTGTGTTCCCGGCACCTTTATCAAAAAATCAGGTGGCTATAAATATACGGATTTATTTATGGGACTTTTATTGTATTCTATTGGTCTGCATATCTATTTTTATGCAACCATGATGATTGGGTTACTATAGCTTTGTAATATATTTTAAAGTCAGGTAGTATGTCTCCTCCAGCTTTGTTCTTTTTGCATAAGATTGTTTTGGCTATTCAAGGCTTTTGTAGCTCCATACAAATTTTAGATTTTTTTTCTGTTTCTGTGAAAAATAATATTAGAATTTTGATTGCATTGAAACTGTATGTCACTTTGGGTAATATGGATATTTTAACAATATTGTCTTCCAATCCTTAAACAGAGGGTATCTTTTCACTTTTTTTGTGTATTCTCCAATTCCTTTAGTAAATATGTTACAGTTTTCAGTATACAGATTTTTTTATCTCCTTGGTTAAAATTATTCTAAAGTACTTATTTTTCGTAGTTATTGTAAAGTTTTTGTAAATGCAATTATTTTCTTGATTTTGTTGCCGATAGTTTAATGTTAGTATAAAAATGCTACTGGTTTTTGTATGTTGGTTTTGCGTCCTGTACCTTTACTGAATTCATTCATCAGTTCTAAAAGTTTTTTATGGACTCAAATAAATAAATTCAGAGATTAAGAAGAAGCCATTACAATTGATACCACATCAATAAAAAGAATTGTATGAGACTACTATGAAGAATTGTATGCCATCAAATTTGATAACCTAAAAAAATGAATAAATTCCTAGACTCATACAGCCTACCAAGATTGAGTTATGAAGAAAGAGATATCTAAACAGACCAATAAAAGGTAAGGAGATTGAATCAGAAATAAAAAGATACTCATCAAAGAAAAGCCCAAGAACTGGTAAGTTTACTATGACTTCTACTAAATATTTGAAAAGGAAGTAATACCAATGTTTCTCGAATTCTTCCAAATAATTATAGGAGAAAATATGTCCAAACTTATTTTGAAAGACCAACATTATCCTTACACCAAAACCATGCAGAGGCACTATGAGAAAAGAAAACTACAGACCAATATGCCTGATGAACATAAATGTAAAAATTCTCAACAAAATACTAGCAAACAGAATTCAAAAGCACACTAAAAAGACCATTCAACATGATCCAGTTGGATTCATCCCTGAGGTTCAAGGATGTTTCAATGTATAAAATCAATACTTCAGATTTTTCTCTATATAAGATTATGTTGCCTGCAAACAGGGACAATTTAACATCTTCCTTTCCAGTTTGATAGCTTTTATTTCTTTCTCTTGCCAGATTGCTGTGGCTAGGACTTCCAATACTATGTTGAATAGAAGCATGAAACTGGGCATCTTTGTCTTATTGCTGATCTTAGAGAAAAGCTTTCAGCTTTCCTTCATTCAGTACAATCTTAGCTTAAGGGTTTGTCGTATGTCACACTTAGCATGTTGTGGTACCTTCTTTCTGTAACCAATTTGTTGAAAGTTTTTATCATGAAGAGATGTTTAATTTTATCAAATATTTTTCTGCATCTATTGAAATGTTCAAGTGGGTTTTGTTATTCTGTTACTTTCATGTATCACATATATTGATTTGTATATTTTGAATCATTCTTGATTACCTGAGATGCATCCTACTTGATCATGGTGAATGATCTTCTTAATGTATTGTTGAATTTGGTTTACTAGTATTTTGTTGAGGATTTTTGCTTTTATATTCATTAGTGATTTTGGCCTGGAAGTAATGCTGACCTTATAAAATGAGTTTGGAAGTATTCCCCCCATTAAACTTTTTGGAATAGTTAGAGTAGAATGGATATTAGTTCTTCAATTGTTTGGTAGACTTAGCAGTGAAGCTGTCAGGTTTTGGGCTTTTCTTTTATGGGAGATTTTTATTACTGCTTCAGTCTTGTTACTTGTTATTGATCTGTTTAGGTTTTCTATTTCTTCATGATTCAATCTTGTCAAGTTGTGTGTGTGCAGGAATTTATCCATTTCTTCTAGATTTTCCAATTTGCTGGCTTATGGTTCTTCTTAGTAGCATTTTTTATCCTTTCTTTTTCTTTGTCATCAGTTATATTGTCTTCTTTTTTGTTTCTGATTTTATTTAGGTCATCTCTCCTTTTTTGTTTTTTTCTTAAAAATTTTTTTGTAGGTCCATCATATATCGTTATAAGGTGCATGCGATGTTTTGCTACAGGCATGCAATGTGAAATAAGCAAATCATGGAAAATGGGGTATCCATCCCCTCAAGCATTTATCGTTTGAATTACCAACAATCCAGTTATACTCTTTAAGTTATCTTAAAATGTACAATTAAGTTATTATTGTCTATATTCACCCTATTGTGTTATCAAATAGTAGGTCTTATTCTCTCTGTTTTTTTTAATTTTTTTAATAACCATTAACCATCACCATCTTCCCCCGAAGCTCCTCACTACCCTTCCTAACCTCTGATAACCATCCTTCTAGTCTCTATGTCCATGAGTTCAAATGTTTAGATTTTTAGATCCCACAGGTAAATGAAATATGTGATGATTATCTTTCTGCTCCTGGCTTATTTCACTTAACATAATAATCTCCAGTTCCATCCACATTGCTGCAAATTACTGGATCTGTATTCTTTTTTTTTTTATGGCTGAAGAGTACTCCATTGTATATATGTACCACATTTTTTTATACATTATCTGTTGATGGACACTTAGGTTGCTTCCAACTCTTAGCTATTTTAAACAGTGCTGCAACTGTTTGGAAGTATTCCCTCCTCTATTTTTCAGAATAGTTTGAATAGTACTGGTATTATTTCTTCTTTAGATGTTTGGTAGAATTCAGTGGTAAAACCATCAAATCTTAAACTTTTATTAGGTGACACTTATTACAATTTTGATCTCATTACTTATTGGTCTGATCAAGTTTTGGATTTATTCATGGTTCAATCTTGGTAGGTTGTATGTATCTAGAAATTTGTCCATTTCCACTAGATTTTCCCACTTGTTGGCATATAGTTGCTCATAGTAGTCATTAATAAACCTTTAAATTTCTGCAGTGTCAGTTGTCTTCTTTTACATTTCTGATTTTATTTATTTGGATTCATTTTTTTCTTAGTCTGGCTAATGTTTTCTCAATTTTGTTTAAATTTTCAAACAACAAACTTTGAGGTTATTGATCTTTTGTATCTTTAAATTTAAATTTCATTTATTTTTGCTCTGAGATTTCTTATTTTTTTTCTTCTACTTATTTTGAGTTTGGTTTTCTCTAGCTTTTCTAGTTCTTTAAGACGCATATGTAGATAATTCATTTGCTGTTTTTCCTCATTATTATATAGGCACCTATAGCTGTAACTTCCCTCTTAGTACTCCTTTTTTTGTATCTCATCAATTTTGGTATGTTGTGCTTCCATTATCATTTGTTTCAAGAATTTTTTTGATTTCCTCCTTTATTTCTTTATTTACCCATTGATCATTCAGGAGTATATTGTTTAATTTCCATGTATTAGTACCATTTTCAAAATTACTCTTGTTATTAATTTCTAGTTTTATTTCATTTTGGCCAGACAAGATACTTGATAGTATTTCAATTTTTTGAATGTTTCAAGGCTTGTTTTGTGGCCTAACATATGGTTTATCCTTGAGAATAATCTATGTGCTGAGAAAAAGAATGTGTATTCTGCAGCTCAAGGATGAAATGTTCTCTAAATATATATTAGATTCATTTGGTCTACAGTACAGATTAAGTCTGATATTTGTTTGTTGATTTTCTGTCCATACGATCTGTCCAATGCTGAAGGTGAGGTGTTGAAGTCACCAGCTATTATTGTATTGGGACCTATCTCTTTCTTTAGCTCTAATATATTTTTTTATATACATCTGGGTGCTCCAGAATTGGGTGCATATATACTTAAAATTGTTATATTCCCTTACTGAATTGCCTCCTTTATTGTTATATAATGTCCTTCTTTATCACTTCTTACAATTTTTGTCTTGGTATCTATTTTGTCTGATATAAGTATAGTGACTCCTACTCTTTTTCAGTTTCTATAGGCATGAAATATCTTTTTCCATCCCTTTATTTTCAGTCCATATATGTCTTTATAGGTGAAGTGTATTTCTTGTAGGCAATAAATCCATGGGTTTTGTTTTTTTTTTATCCATTCAGCCAGTCAATGTATTTTTATTAAGGAGTTTACTCCATTTACATTCAATGTTATTGCTGATAATTAAGGATTTATTCCTGCCAATTTGTTATTTGTTTTCTAGTTGTTTTGTGGTTTTCTCTTCCTGCTTTCTTTCCTTCCTGTTTTCCTCTACTGAAGGTGATTTTCTCTTGTGATGTGATTTAGTTCCTTGCTTTTTGTTTTTTGTGCAATTTATTCTTTTTTTTTTTTTTTTTTTTGCTTTAGGTTACTATAGGGCTTGCAAATGCTATCTTATAACCATTATTTTAAACTGATAACAACGTAACAGTATTTCTGTAAACAAACAAACAAGCAAAAAGGATAATAATGAAACTCTATGCCTTAATTTCATCCTTCTGCTTTTTAACTTTTTGTTGTTTCTATTTATATCTTATTGTATTAACTATGTCTTTAAAATTGTTGTAGTTATTACTTTTGATTGAGTCATCTCTACGTTGGCAAGTTCTCTTATTATCCCTTTGAATAAACATTCTATTTCTATCTCTTTCTCTACCTCATCTTTAAGGCCAGTAACTCTTACATTTGCCCCTTTGTGGGTATTTTCTAGATTTTGTAGATGTGCTTTATTGCTTTTTATTTTTTTATTTTGTCTCTTCCAATTTTTATTTTCAAATATCCTGTTTTTAAGTTCACTAATTCTTTTTTCTGCTTGATCAGTTCTCCTGTTAAAGGACTTGGATGCATTCTTCAGTATGCCAGTTATATTTTTCAGTTCCAGAATGTCTGTTTGATTCTATTTAATTATTTCGATTTATCTGTTAAGTTTATGTGATAGAATTCTGGATTCCTTCTCTATGTTTATCTAGAATTTCTTTTTTTTTTCTTTTGAGATGGAGACTCATTCTGTCACCCAGGCTGGAGTGCAGGAGCATGATCTCGGCTCATTGCAACCTCCGTCTCCCAAGTTCAAGCGATTCTCCCACCCCAGCCTCCCAAGTAGCTGGGATTATAGGTGCCTGCCACCATGCCCGACTAATTTTTGTATTTTTAGTAGAGATGGGGTTTAACCATGTTGGCCAGGGTGGTCTCAATTTCCTGACCGCAGGTGATCTGCCTGCCTTGGCCTCCCAAAGTGCTGGGATTACAGGCATGAGCCACCGTGACAGCCTTTATCTAGAATTTATTTGAGTTTCCTCAACAGCTATTTTGAGTTCTCTTTCTGAAAAGTCACATATCTCTGTTTCTCCAGGATTGATTCTTGGTTTCTTATTTAGTTCATTTGGTGAAGTCATGATTTTCTGGATGATTTTGATGCTAGTAGATGTTCGTTGGTGTCTGGCCATTGAAGAGTTAGGTATTTATTGTAGTCTTCACTGTCTGGGTTTATTTGTAGTCATCCTTTTTGGGAAGGCCTTTCAGATATTTGAAAGGCCTTCAGTGTTGTGATCTAAGCTGTATCTGCTGTACAGGGCACCCCAAGTACAGTAATGCTGTAGTTCTTGCAGACTCATAGAGGTACTGCCTAGCAGGTCTTGGATAAAATCCGGGAGAATTCTCTGGATTACCAGGCAGAGACTCTTGTTCTCTTCCCTTACTTTCTTCTTTCTTCCAAACATACAGAGTTTCTCTTTCTTTCTCTCGCTCTCTCTCTCTTTCTGAATCTTCTAAAGCTGGGGTTGGAATGGCCTAAACACTCCCATGGCCACTACTACTGTGTCTGCCTTGGCTCACATCTGAAGCCAGCACAGTTCTGGGTCTTGCCCAAGGCCTGTTTCATCCACTCCCTGGCTACTGCCTGTGTTCCCTCAAGGCCCTGGGGCTCTACAATCAGCAGGTGGCAAAGCCAGCCAGATCTTTGTCCTTCCCTTCAAGTCAGTGAGATCCCCCAGGCCCTGGATGAGTCCAGAAATGCCATTCAGGAGTTAGGGACTTCAGTCAAAAACCTTAGAATTTTACCTGGTATTCTATTGTATTGCAGCTAGGCTGGCACTCAAACCCAAGATGAAGTCCTTCCCACTCTTCCCTCCCCTTTCCAAAAGCAGAGGAGCCTCACCTCCTAGCCACTTCTATCCCAGTCCACGAGGATTATTGCCAGACTACCACCAATGTTCCCTTAAGGCCTAAGGTCTCTTAGTTAGCTTGTTGTGAATGTTTTTTGACCTGGGACTTATCCCTCAGGGGCAGTGGGTTCTGGCCCCGGGAATGTTCAGAAATGCTGTTCAAAAGTGAATTTATTGGATCATTGACCCCAGGAGCCCACTTGGTGCTCTACCGCCCTGTACTCATGCTGGTATCTAAGGTGCAAGACAAAGTCTCCTCTACTTTTCTCTCTGCTTTTCTCAAGCAGAAGGGGTTTCACCACATATTCACCACTGCTGGCAATTTGCTGAGTCTCACCTGAAGCCAGTAATTATAAGAGGTTCATCAAGGTCCTTGATGTAGTACATGAGTATTGCTGCTTGTTATTTGAGGCCCAAGGGCTCTTCTGTTAGCAGATGCTGAATGCTGCCAAGACTAGGACTTTTCCTTCAAGGTAGTGGATTCTCTTCTGGCTCAGGGTGAGTCTAGTAATGTCATCTAGGAGCTAGGACCTGGAACGGGGGCCTCATAACTCTGACCAGTGTCCTATCCTTCTGTGGTTGAGCTGTGGTTAAACTGATAGCCTAGATGCAAGACATAGTTCTTCCCACTTTTCCTTCTTCTTTCCTCAAGCAGAAGGAAGGGGTCTGGCCTTGAGGAATGAGTGATGGCAGCACTTCCTTGGCTGCCCTAGTTGGACCTCAGTATGTCATGTGCCCCCCAAGTCCATTGTCTCTGGGCTGAGTTTAACACTAGGACTCACCTAATAGTTGTAGTCCTTATGACCTAGACCAAGCTTGTCCAACCCAATTGAATGTGGCCCAACACAAATTTGTAAACTTTCTTAAAAGTTTACAAGTAAGATTTTGTTGTGACTTTTTTTTTTCAGTCCATCAGCTATCGTTAGTTTTAGTGTTTTTATGTGTGGCACAAGGCAATTCTTCTTCTTCCAATGTGGCTCAGGGAATCCAAAAAATTGGACACCCCTGGCTTAGACTGCTTTTCAAGTTTACTTGGAGACACAGAATGCTGTAGCCTGCAGTGGCAAGACTAATGGGAACTCAAGTTCCAACCACTGGAATGAGCAATTCTTTTCTGGCTAGGGCTGGTTTAAATGCTCTCTCTGTGGACACAGCTGAATTTGGTCGTTTTTCCTTCTGCTGTAACAGGACTGCACTTGAGTTCAATGCCTCACAAGTAATATTCAAACTCTAAAAGGTGAAGGATGAACAGAGGACCCTAAAAGCAGCAAGAAAAAATAAGAAAATAGCAGATAAAGAAGCTCCTCAATGTGTTGAAGCAGACTTCTCAGCAGAAATCACGCAGTCAGGAAGGAGTGGGTGACATATTTAAAGTGCTGAAATACAAAAACAAAAACAGAAACAAAAACCTGCCAACACAGAATGATGTATCCAGCAAAACTATCCTCAAACATGGAGCAGAAATAAAGATTTTGCCAGGCAAACAAAAGTTGAGGGAATGTGTGACCACCAGATCCACCTTAGAAGAAGTACTAAATAAAGTACTGCAATTTAAATGGAAAGGACAGTAATATTTAACAACAAAATTTAAAGGCATAAAACTCAATGATAAAAGTAAATGTCAGACAAATTCAGAATACTCCAATGATGAAATTGTGGTTTGTAAACCTGTCATATATTTAACATAAAAAGTAAAAGACAAAATTATTAACAATAATAAAAATAAAAATATATTGAGGTAAACAATATAAAAGATGTAAATTGAGACATCTAGAAGTCAAAATATTTATGCCTGGGGGAGAGATGCAGAAAATGAAGTTAATATGGAGAGTTTCTGTATTTTAGAGTTTCTTGCTTTAGAGTTTCTTTATTTCCATTCTTATACTGTGATCAAAGTTAAGGGGTCATCAGTTTAAAATAAGCTGTTGTAATTATAACGTGTTACTTGCCTTGAAGTAGTCTTATTTGAGTTAAATCTTTGGTGATCTCCGACACTCCTTCACTTGGATATCTATGTATTTATTCTAGGCTTGGAAAGTTTTCTGTTATTATTTCTTTCAATAATCTTTCTACCCTTTATTCCTTCTCAACTCCCTTTTGAAGGTCAATGACTCTTAGATTTGTACTTTTGAGGCTGTTTTCTAGATTTTATGTTTTTCATTTTTTGTTCTTTTCCTGTTTTCTTCCCTGACTTTTTTTTTTTTAATTTATAAAGAAAAGAGGTTTAATTGACTGCCAGTTCCACATGGCTGGGGAGACCTCAGGAAACTTACAATCATGGCAGGAGGCAAAAGGGAAGCAAGGCACATCTTACATGGCAGCAGGCAAGAGAGAGGAGAGGAACTGCCAAACACTTTTAAATCATCAGAACTCATGAGAACTCACTATCACAAGAACAGCATGAGTGAAACCACCCCTATGATCCAATCACTTCCCACCAGGTCCCTCCCTCAACATGTGGGGATTACAGTTCGAGATGAAATTTGGGTGGTGACACAGAGCCAAACCATATCACATGTGGTGTTTAACTTTCTGTTCATAGTTTATTTCACTTAATGTCCTCCAGTTCCATCCACATTGTGAATGACAGGATTCCATTCCTTTGTTGTTGTTGTTGTTGTGAGACAGGATATTTGCTTAGTTACCCATGCTGGAGTGCAGTGGCTCGATCATAACTCACTGTGGCCTTGATCTTCCAAGCCCAAGTGATTCTCCTGCCTAAGCCTCCTGAGTAGCTGTGACTACAGGTGTGCATCTCCATGTCTGGCTACCTTTTGTATTTTTTGTAGAGATGGGTTTTTGCCACGTTGCCCCAGTTGTTCTTGAACTCCTGAGCTCAAGTGATCCTCCGCTCTCAGTCTCCCAAAGTGCTGGGATTACAGGCATGAGCCACTGCACCTGGCCATAGAATTTCATTCTTTTTTTTTTCTCTGACTTTTTGATATTTCTAAATAGCTGTCTTTGAGCTCACTGATGTTTTTTCTTCTGCTTGATCAATTTTGCTGTTGAGAACCTCAAATGCATCTTCAGCTCCAGGACTTCCATTTGATTTTTTTCAACCTCTTTGTCAAGTTTCTCTGATAAAATTTTGAATTCCTTCTCTGTATTTTCCTAAAGTCGGTTGAGTTCCTCAAAGCAGTAATTTTGAATTATCTGTCTGAGAGGTCACACATATCCCTCTATTTAAAGTTAGTCACTGGCACCTTATTTAGTTTGTTTCATGAAGTCATAATGCCTTTCATATTCTTGATGCTTGTGAACATTCATCAATGTCTGTGCATCAAGGCATTAGGTATTTACTCTAGTCTTTGCCCTCAGACCTTGTTTGCTTTATCAAGCATAACATCAATGAAAAACTTGTATCCAGAAAGATATACAGAAAGAACTCCTAAAACTCAGCAGTAATATAGGCATTGTGAAAACACTGATATTCTGTTGAAATGTGACCTCCAATGTTGCAGGTAGGCCTAATGCGAGATGTTTGGGTCATAGACATGGATCCTTCACGAATGACTTGGTGTTGTCTTCACAGGAATAAGTAAGTCCTTACTCTGTTAGCTCGTGCGAGAGCTGGTTGTTTAAAAGAGCTTGGCACTTTCTCTCTCTTGCTTGCTCCCTTCTTCACCATGTGACATGCTGGATCCCTTCCCTTCTGCTATGAGTAAAAGCTTCCTGAGGCCTCACCAGAAGCCAAGCAGATACTGGTGCCATGATTGTACAGCACATGCAGAACTATGAGCCAAATAAAATTCTTTTCTTTATACATTTCCTAGCCTCAGGTATTCCTTTACAGCAACACAAAATGAACTAATACAAACAGATGGAGGTTCTTCAAAAATTTAAAAGTAAAGCTACCAGACAAAAAAGTGACCCCACTTCTATGTTTTCTTGCCTTTCTGCTCCCATCCATGAAATGGTGCAGTAAGAAGGCCTTATCCAGATGTGTGCCATTTGATCTTGGACTTTCCAGTCTCCAGTACTATAAGAAATAAATTTACCCTCTTTAAAATTACCCAGTCTATGATATGCTATTACAGCAACACTAAAGAATCTAAGGCAGTCTGTTTCTTAAAAAGTTAAACATGTAATTACCATCTGACTCAACAATCCCATTTCTACATGTTTATTTTAGAGAAATGAAAAGTTACTTTCACCCCAAAATCTATATAAGAATGTTTATGCCAGGATAACTCAAACTGGCATTAATTCAAATGCATAGGTGATGGAATAGACAAACTTAGCCTATACAAACAAGGGAGTATTACTGAACAATAAAATGTAATCAACTACTGACACACACAACAACATAGATGAATTGCAAATGCATTGTGCTGTAACAGAAGCCAGTCTCAAAGGTTACATATTTTAAGATTGTATTTATTTGACATTCTAGAAAAGGAGAAACTGCAGGAATGATGAACAGGTCAGTAGTTGTCAGAGTTTGGGGTGGGAGGGGAAAGAAAAATAGGATAGATAAGTAATAAGTAATTGAATAAAAAAAAGCACAAAACGAAGGACACAGGGAAGAATAAACAACTTTACAGACTATTTCAAACAACAGGGAAACCACAGAATTATGAGGAGTGTAGATTTACCTGGTCATGAATACCTGGTGTGAATTACTCACATAATAATAAATCAGTCCTTGGCCACCATATGGAGTATAAATTAAGAAATTCCTGTTGCTCAGTGGATGGAAGACTTAGAATGTGAGGGTGTGTTTACAATTCTTTCATTTGCCCTTTACTGAAATGGTGATAGATGCTAGAACCTATTTCACAGAGAGAATAAGTCTGGATTAGTTGTAGACTACATGATGCTTAAGTTTAGCTATCAAGGTTCAAGAGGGGTAGGGATATAAAACAGACTGGCAGAGTGCTAGATATGATGCAGAGTAAACAAGTGAAGGATTCAAAACTGAGAGGTAGATAGAGAATAGGTAGGTAAGAAACTCTTGATTCTCCATCACTAAGGAAGTAGAGAAATGTTAACCATATTACCCTCCATAAAATCTCTATTACAACATTTTCTAAAGCTTAAGTTTTTTGTTGTTGTTGTTGTTGTTGTTGTTGTTGTTGTTTTGCTTTCTGGTTTTTTTTTTTTGAGATGGAGTCTCACTCTGTGACCCAGGCTGGAGTTCAGTGGCAGGATCTTGGCTCACTGCAACCTCAGCCTCCCAGATTCAAGCGATTCTCCTGCCTCAGCCTCCCAAGTAACATCTAGAACAAAGCTAGAAAATATAGGAAGAATTTAGTATTCAATATTTAATTGAATTTGACTAGATTGTCCCAACTCTGCTGATCCTCTTCCTTCTGATGACAGTTTTAAGAGCCATTACCACTAAATACTTAGCCTTTGAAGTCATGAAAAATTATACAATTTACTTTAAGTAAATCTACCACAATTGATGTCCAGAGGGACATTGCTTCCCTCTGAGATGTTCTGCAATATTTTCTGTAACTGCTGACTGACAGTTTCACTTGTTTTCCACAAAAAAAGCCTATGTCTGTCTGCTTAGACTACGGTTTTCTGTACTGATATTTCCTATCTTCTTTAATTATTTTGCCGTGTTAAGCGTGAGAGCAAAAAAAAAAAAAAAAAAAAAAATTCATTTAGTTTATTTAAGGTTTGAACTGAAAATGGGCTCCCCTTCTTATACAGAACCTTCACATTTTTGTGTGTAATCCCAATAAACATTTCCTTGCAACACTAGCTGGATGTACCTTTGAATAATCCCTTTGTCATTTTGCCTGCAAAGTAGACTAAGAGACAGACATTTTTATGCAGGAAAGGCATTGGGTCGTTTTCAGTCGCAGTATCTATGAGGAAACACAAGAAGCTGAATTGGAAAAGGAGAAGGGAGGAATTGGTTACAGTAGGAACAGAAACTTCAGCCAATCACACAGGGCTTATGAAATGGAGACGGCCCTACAGAGAAGTTCTGAATCATGCAAGGGGGCTGGGCATCTCAAACCTCACATTAAACCGTCATTGGACCCTGACCTCTCCCAGGGATGTATCATTACATCTTTGATGGCCCAACTCCCTTCAGCAAAAGGCATTTCTAAAGGACTCAGCTGCCAGCCATCTTCATGCAATACAGTTTCTGATAGATTTTGTCCTAGGGCCACACAGAACATCCATGACAAACTTCATACTCATTTATGGAATTAAAAAGAAAGGATACAGTGGAAAGAAATTAGAGGTGCAAGAAAGAACAGAATTGCTTTCTTGGAGGTAAATTTAAAAGAGGGTATAAATGGAGCAGATGAATCTAGAAGATATAATTTGGTTAATATTAGTGTCTGATCATAGTAAAACAAAGTAGTTCTGTTGAAGGAAGTAATTATAAGTATAGTATATACTAAATAATATATTCTATTTATAATCATTAATACATACTTTGTGCAATTATTTTTATTAAAATAGTCATATATATTCATAATGACACTGTAAAATGCTTTTGAAAGTGTAAGAAGAAAATTAAGAACACCTAATTCTACTACCCAGATGATGATTATTATAATTCTTTGGGTTATAATTCTTTTAAAGTACTTACCTGCTCTTACCATCTTTGTCTCTCTCTCATTTTCTACACACATTAAATATTTACATATATACCCAACAAAATTTTCATCATTCACTCACAAAATTTTCATCATAAGCTGTATATTATTCAACAAGTGCACTTTGTTTAACATATCTGAACATTTTAATAACCTTAAACATTCTTGTAAAGTAATATTCTACCAGTTACACATTATTCTATTACATAGAAGCACCTTAATTACTGTATTTCACAAAGTTATCATAATTTATTTAACTGACAAAATGCTGCTCTTGATGTAGACAGATAATACTTTAAACACTTTTTTGTTAAGCCTTGGGCAGATTTTACTGAAACACAGTTGTTGGAGAATATATGACAACATGTTTTACACAAGATGTTTATAATTCCTCAGTATGTTTCTCAGCATGTATGGAGGCTTTGAGGCAGAATATATCTTAGAAGGTAATTAACACTTTAAAATGTTGAACCACTTAAACATATGATTATTTATATTGTTTATATTTTGGTGAATCCAATTTTGCTTTGTTAAAGAAATTTAGTAATTACTAACAACTTCCCTAAGATAAATATACACTGCTTCTATCTTCATTCCTATAACTGAAGATTATAGATATGAAATTTATTTTGCTTTATTTAAATATCTCCTTTAATAAAAAATGCACAATATATTTTAAATATTTAATTCTGGGTAGCTATTAAAGGCACATTAATGAGAGTAATTAAAGAAATCAGCAATGCGTTAGATAGTAATTCTTGACATTCTTTTATACTAGAGGCATTTTGTGTAGAAATAAGCTTTGTCATTACAAATAAAACACACCACCTGGCGTAATTATTGTTATGCCTCTTCTTAATTTTTTAGTACATCCCAGAACTGTAGTACAATGTTATAATTTGCATTCTCATAGCTCAAACTGCTAGAAATTGATTTTTAAAATGTCTTATTCCTGATAAATGCCATGGACTTTTTAAAGACAGCCTAGCATTGTAAAACTATGGTAGAGGTTTATATATAAGTGGCTAAAATGTTCAGGTAAGAGTACCTGACTCGCATAATCCAGTAAAAAATTTGAGTGTTATATTAAAATATAAACTCAGTACAACTAATCATGTCAGTGTATTAAACTATCCAAAGGTATAACTATAATAATATTCAGCAAAAGCACACAAATTTTCCTTCCAGTATACCCTGAGAAGATGGGAGGAATACTAAAAGGAATGATGTATTCAACAGACAAGTCCTTATTAATTAAATTGAGAGCAGTTCTCAGTAGGATAAGTATAGCACTATAGCCATGGAATTTAAAAATAATGATTCTAATAAATGTCAAAAAAATATAGTGAATTTCTCACTTATGAGGCAGATTACTAAGAGTATCTTATTCTATTTCACCTTCTATTAAAATCGTTCATGACCATATAAATGAGAACAGATATCACAAAAATCCAGAAATCTAAAGATAACATATGAACATAATGTATCTATATCTGGAAAAAATTATGTTAAGGGTATCAAATGAAGAAACTCTATTGATGATTGACATAACCTAAAGTTTCATAATAATACACAGCTGGGAATGTGTAACCTTTGGTAAATAACTATTGTTTGATCATAAAACAGGTCATCATTTTATACTAAAACATTTAAACTCTTAATGAACAGGATATTTTTCCTTGACGATTGACTCACGTAGCATTGGGAAAAATGGAAAATTATTGAGAGAATTTAAATAAAGAAAAACTTGTATCTAAGTGTTTAATAAAGAATTTCAAGACAAATGAACAGATAATTTTATGGTAGATAATAGTGCTTATAAGGTAGAAATTTAAAAGATGGAACTATGTATTTCACTCTAGAAAAAATAGATAACATTATACTAAATGAGTTTTTGATACAAAATTCTTAAATGCCTATTATTTTAGACTAAACCTTCTGATTGGTTCTATGTGTATTGTGGTAAACAGTATAGAAAAGACCTCTGCCCTTATGAAATTTGCAAATAAATTAGACATACATAACTCAGCCCTAAGAAACTTTATGGACTTACATTGTTGAATATTGTAGTCTCTAGCCATGTGTGGCTATTGACCGCTTCAAATATAGTGAGTCCAAATGGAGACATGCTTGCAGTAAGTATAAAATGCACATTGGATATTGAACACTTTATACCAAAAAAAAGAAAAAACTCATATTAACAATTTAATATTGATTGTATTTTTAGATGGTTATATTTTGAATATTTGGAATTAAATATACTACTAAATTTCATTTTATCTTTTTATTTCACTATGGGTATTAAAATTTAAAACTACATATATGTCTTATACTTATCATTCACAGTATATTTCAATTGGACAGCATTGCTGTAGAATCTTTGTATTGTGTAATATGATGATAATAATAAAATGACATATTTATATTGTGTAATACAATAGAATGTACTATGAAGGGAAAACAAAGGAAACTAAGAGAAATAGCAAGCAAAAGTAATAGAAGTTGAGAGAACTAACAGTGCAGCTACTACTGGATCAAGCATCATCACTAGCTAAATATGTTTACTTGAATTCTGCATTGCCATCAGTTTATGTGATTTTTGTTGTGGAGAGCACAGGTCACGGCCAACTTTGTGGAAGCCAATAAGTGAAAAATAAGCTGGCCATGGCAAGGAGAGAAGTGAAGTTCTCTATATTTGAGGAAAAGTACAGGATTCTCAAATGGGAGTTAGTATAAAGAGAAGTTTTCTGTCCACTGTAAAGATTAAGCTGGAAAACTGGATTTAGAAATTCCTAAGGCTCTTAGGAAGAAAAGTAATAAAGTAGCAAAGGCCACAGTGAGATGTATTGTTCTTTAAGCCAAGATCACAAAGAATTTGTCAGCCTCTTTATATATTCTACCTTCTTCAAATTTTGTTTTATTCTTAACCACTTAGGATTCTTTATTTGGAAGTAAGCAATACCAATTTCCACAAAATTAAGAAGAGGGGAATCTTTTATATATTGTTTAGTTCAAATTTACACAGAGACTAGGAACTAGCATAAGAAACAACATGTATACCAGCAATTACTGGGCTCTTAGGAAACAGATATAGCTTGCTCAACTCTCTCTTTCTTAGGTGCTAATAAAGTGAATATTTTACACATACATTTTGCCTTTGTGGCTCTCAATGCCTGGTAGATTTCATTACTGACTCTAATACTTCTCCTTCTTCTGTATCTACTCTTGTTATTTAACTTTGCAAGTCTTCTCATCTCCATGAGGGAAATGAATTCCTCCATCTCTTTTGGCTTAGTTATGTGACTTGTTTTGGCAAATAGTACATGGAGAAAAGTGTCAGTTAGCCAAATGCTCTTTATCATCTTTGGTGTTGCTATGAGAGTAACGTCTCTTGTTAAGCTCACTCATCCAACGATGATCAGTGAAACACAGAACTTATCATCTCAGCTAGTCTTTTTGTCATCTCAGATGTATAATGACAAGAATAATTCGTGACAGTCCTGCCTGGAAGGTCAGAAACCAAACCAACTCATAGATATGTGAGCAATAATTAATATATTTTTGGCTTGTTTTCACCGAGTTTTGGAGTTTTTTTACTCAAGAAGAGTGAACAAATGTTCAGTCAAGATGCAAAGTCCTGGGATAGTATTATTGACCTAGAGTGAGTCATTGGCTATATAAGAGTGGTCAAGGTAACTTGATTTATCATTCTATCAATTTATCAACAATAAGGGGAAGTGATAGATCCCTCCCCCCAAAAAATAGAATGTTCTTAGGAAGAGAAAATGGATGCTGTCTGGGTCACCAAAAAACAGATTAAACAAAAACAGAAAAGCAAGCAAGAAATAAAGTGAGAGAGAAAGAAAGAAGAAGGGAAGAAAGAGAAAGAAAATTCAGCATACATTATATATATATATAAATAAGGCATATATGTATTTAATATAATGTAATATATGGTGTATAAAACACACACATATATACTTTGATATTTATATATTTGAAATGACATATTAGTGATTAGTGTTATTCTGTAGCCAACATGACAAAGCAGGACTTTTAAATATATTTTTATAGCTAATTAACATAATAAAGCATTAGTATATTACTGAATATAATAAAAATATACATGATTGCATGATAAAATTTGTTAGCATTTCTCAGTAAAAACATTAAGAAAAATATAAGGAAATTGATAAACCAGAAGAAGGAATTTGAAAACAACAATTACTTCAATTACTAAAAAGCAAAAACAAAACACTATAACTAAAAGCATGTGAGGCCAGTGTGGAGGCTCACGCCTGTAATCCCAGCATTTCGGGAGGCCAAAGCAGGCTGATCACGAGTTCAGGAGTTCAAGACCAGCATGGCCAACATAGTGAAACCCCGTCTCTACTAAAAATACAAAAATTAGCCGAGTATGGTGGCATGCACCTGTATTCCTAGCTACTCAGGAGGCTAAGGCAGGAGAATCACTTGAACCTAGGAGGTGGAGGTTGCAGTGAGCTGAGACTGTGCCATTGCACTCCAGCCTGGGTGACAGAGAGAGGCTCTGTCTCAAAAAATAATAATAATAATTAATTAAATAAATAAATAATAAAAGTATATTTCTAATGTTGCTACAATGAACAAAAATGTAGAATTATTGGAAAAGAAAATAACAAAAATTGCAATGTGTTATAAAAATAAAAATTACTGGAGTTTAATAGTACCTGATTTCAAGCTGAAGGTGCAAAAATCATAAAGTATGAAAGGAAAGCACTGAAATTCATTACCACAGTTAAAGCTATTAAGTAATAATGAAACAAAAATGACTCCACTTTAGTAATACAATATGATATTTATAGAGAAAAGAAACTTATGAAAACACGCCTGTAATCTCAGCACTTTGGGAGGCCGAGGCGGGCAGAACACCTGAGGTCAGGAGTTCCAGACCAGCCTGGTCAACATGATGAAACCCAGTATCTATTAAAAATACAAAAAATTCAGGTGTGGTGGCTGGCACCTATAATCCCAACTACTCGGGAGACTGAGGCAGAAGAATCGCTTGAAACCGGGAGGTGGAGGTTACAGTGAGCCACGATCGCGCCACTGCACTGCAGCCTGGGCAACAAGTGTGAGACTCCATCTCAAAATAAGAAAAAAAAGTAAAAAAAAAGAAAAAAGAAAAAAGAAAACACGTAGGTAAACTTTTAGAAAAACTATAAAACCTGACAAGATAAATCGTATTCCTAACCAACTTTCTATGTAAAAATAACTTCCCAATAGATTACAATAATAAATATGAAAAACTAAATATGAAATATGAAAAGTTATTTGAATTACAGAAATACTAAGAAAAGGGTGGGGGCAGTAAATATTTGACAGACTTCTATAGCAGGGTTCTCCACACTTAGTATAATAAGTTCCTTGGCTGGGAGCCGTGGCTTATGCCCGTAATCCCAACACTTTGGGAGGCCGAGGTGGGCAGATCACCTCAGGTCAGGAGTTCAAAACTACTAAAAATACAAAAATTAGCCGGGCATGGTGGTGCACGCCTGTAATCCCAGCTACTTGGGAGGCTGAGCCACGAGAATCACCTGAACCGGAGAGGCAGAGGTTGCAGTGAGCAGAGATGGTGCCACTGCACTCCAACCTGGGCGACAGGGTGAGACTCAATCTCAAAAAAATAAAAAATAAAAATAAAGAAGTTCCTGTGTCAAAATAAATTTCAACTGCCTGCATTATAGGTGTACTTCTTTTGGTATCTGTTAGATCAATTCAATGTTGCATATGCTATCTATAAATTTATTAGTTTTAAATACATATATGGCTTATTAAGCTTAAAATATTTCACACAATTAAAAGTACACAAACTATTACTTATGATGTCTTCAGAAAATACTTGATATTCAGTTGGATTTCAGGAATCCTCCATTTGCTATGGATCCTTAAGTTCCACTGAGATTAATTTAATACAAGCTAGATAGGAAACTTGTTCAAGAGGAAGGATATTCATTTTAAGCTTTATTACAATAAGGAAAAAAATCATAATGGAAAAAACCAATAGATTTAATATATAATTTACAACTACTGTATGTCAGAAGCTTTAACTAAAATTAAGAGAAAAAGAAAGCAGTACTAAATTATGAGCAACTATTTCAGAACGTAGCTTGATAGAAAAGCCCACATAAATCCATAAAATAATTAATAGAACCTCAATTGTTAAGTGGAGCCAAAAAAGATGAATCAAATAATTAAAATGCCATCACTTTAGCCATTTTATACTATTCTTAAAAATGTAAATTAAGTCAACCAAATAGTAAATACAATTTTTTGAATTATAATGACAATGTTTGCAATGGTGAGATGAATGATCTCATACGTTACTAGCGGTAGTAACGTATAAATTTGGCAAAATAATTTGATATAAAAATATTTTGTTCTTTCACTTACTGAATTCATTTCTAAAGCTCTTTTAAAGAGATAACTTGCATGCTGTAAAATACGCAAAATATCTGTAATGCATCACTGTATTTGTACATTTATACTATATTATGTTATTCACTACAAAAGTACTATTGCTTTGAATTATTTTATCCATAGATTTTTAAATCTATACTATCTTATTTATTTTGTTTTCTAAGAAAATAAATCCAAGCAGTAAAATTGCAAGGTGTATGAAAATATATATTACTTATGTGTATGCCCCATATATATATAATATATATGCATGTATTTAAATATATGAATGCTGTATATGTACAGTCATGACATGCTAACGATTCTTCAGTCAATGATGGACCACATGGATGACCATGGTCTCATAAGATTATAATACTGTATTTTTGTATGTGCCTTTTCTATGTTTAGATACATTAAGATCCACAAATACTTAACATCCAGTTACAATTGCCTACAATATTTGGAACAGTAGCATGTTGTACAGGTTTGTAGCCTGGAAGCAATAGTCTATACCAGATAGCCAAAGTGTGAACTAGGTTTGTGTAAATACACTCTATGATATTTGCACAAGGACAAAATTGCCTGACAACACATTTCTCAGAATGTATATCCATCGTTAAGTGACACATAATTATTTAGTGAACATAAACATTATATATATATGTGTGTGTATGTGTACCCATGTATTGATACCGTTCTGTGGGTATATGTATGTACATTTAATCAATTCCTTCTCATTTAACTTTGCTTCTAATTTTTATACCACTTTAGTTGTACAAATCACATATGTAATTTTAAACAAATGTAAAGTATAACATTCATATTACATTTTAGTGTATTATGGTTTTATATTTTTTATACTACCCCATTTATCTTCTTCACTACTCCCATTACACACCCATGGGATATGACAATCAAGCATGCATTCTTTCATATTTTTCTCAGTACTCACATAGTTTGGTAAACATACATATACATATATGAAATTTTTAAATAATTTATATTGAAAACATGAAATGATATTACAATGTTTGTATCTTGTTTTCTTACATAACCGTTTTTTGGAAATCTGCCTATTACAACTGGTTTAGTTGCTTTAACTATTTGCTTTAAGACTGAATATTATTTTTTAATATGAATATATTATAATTATTTAACATTCTCTGATTTTTCAATTCTGTGAGTATTTCTTCAATACTCATTCTTTAAATACATCCTTACTGTGTTTTACTTCAATAGGATATGTTCTCAAATGTCTGATGACTTGGTATAAAATATAGATATTTTTAAAATATGGGCCGGGCACGGTGGCTCACGCCTGTAATCCCGAGGCGGGTGGATCACCTGAGGTTAGGAGTTCAAAACCACCCTAGCCAACATGGCGAAACCCTGTCTCTACTAAAAATACAAAAAAAAAATATTAGCTGAGCATGGTAGTAGTAGCCTGTAATCCCAGCTACTTGGGAGACTGAGGCAGGAGAATTGCTTGAACCCGGGAGGCAGAGGTTGCAGTGAGCCAAGATTACGCCACTGCACTCCAGCCTAGGCGATGGAGTGAGACTGTCTCAAAAAAAAAAAAAAGAATTGCTTCACATTGTTTTTCTCTTTCTCTTTCTTTTTAGTATTCCACCCCATGTATTTTGTTGCAATTGATATTGTCTCTGATATTAATATTGAGGCCATTAATATCTTGTTTTTTACCTTTGTGCATTTATTTATATTTATTTTATATTTTAATTTTTGTTGCCATGTTTTCAATTTCACTGACTTTCTATTTCAGGGCCTAATCTACCAATCAGAATAATTTTAATTTTTGGTATCATAATTTTATCTTTAGAATTTCCCTTTGGTTCTTTTTTTATATCCCTATGACTCTCCTCATTATGTTCATTTTAAAAAATATTTGCACATGCTGCACATGATAATTATACCTATTTTAAAAAATGTTTTCTACTTTTGTCATCATCTATGTTATTTTTTGATTTGTTTTACCTGGGTATAGAGGTATTTTATCCTCCTTCTTTGTATGTGTGGTAATTCTGGATTGGATGACAGACATTGAAAATGTTAAATATTTGATTACTGAATTTTGTTGTCAGACTTTTATCAGTGTTGAATTTTGTTCTGATAGGCTGTTGAGTTGCATGAAAGTCCTTTGATTAGGGCAAGTCTAGAGGAGGAATCAGCAAGGGATTTTTTTTCTGTCAAGAGCCACACAGTATTTATCTAAAGCTTTGCAGACCGTTTGATTTCTATCACTCTATTGTTGTAACACTGAAGTCTCTATAGATAATATGTAAATAAGTGAAAAGCCATTTTGCAATAAAATTTTAGTTACTGGAAAGTAGTGGTTCAGATTGGTCCTTAATTTGCTGATCCCTGGTACAGAATAATCTATTTTATGGGACTAGTTTAGCCCAATTACTAGAGCATGGGCCTATCTTGCGTCTCTACTACTGCCCATGTATTCAATGATGTTACTTCACTTTGTTTGCTAGCACTTGGAAGGAGTCATGACACTGTTTGTCCTGTGGAAATTGTTTTGACTTATATGTACCTGGAAATTATTCTTTCCTCAGAAATTTTCTTTGCCTATCCTCAGGGAGTTTCACCTTAACATGCAGATTGGCATTCAACTAAAGACTTCGTTGATTCGTTATGTAGATTTCTGGAGCTGTTTCTCTGAGTAACTCTTTCTTCATTGGTGATCCGTCCCAAAATATTCTAGCAATCTCAGATTTATGCTACAAACACCATCTCCTCAAATCAAAAAATAATAAATAAAATGTTAGCTACAGCTCTTGGGAGCTAGTGGGTTGGCTCTCCCTGCCCCAAGATTTATAAATATCCTGTAGGCCAGAAAGTCAGAATGATTGTAGGTAGTTACCTATTTTATTTCTTTAGCTCACAGTATTTACTGTTGTCTAGTATCTAAAAACATGTTTTATCTAAGTTTTCAATTATTTATGGAGAGAAGTAAGACCTTACCTGAAAGTAGAAGTAATCTATGCAGTTTTTAAGAGAAACATTTTATCAAGAAACTTATTACCTGTATTTTTTTTCCCTGAGGAAAAAATTTGGATACTTCTGAAAAAAAATACAGAATAGATAGATTACTGTTTTCCACATAATCTACAAGAGGTCAAAGGCCTGTAGAAGTTTTCTAGTGTTTTAGGACGGCCGAACACTACTTTTGAAGTATATGTTGGGAACAACTGCTATAGTTAAAAATGTCCTTACATATAAATTTTGTATGTTACCTGTCAGATAATTAAAACCAGTTATATTTTTAAAAGTTTAGAATTTTATTTAATATTCTCACTCTTTTACCCATCTAGAAAGGTGTTCAGCAGGAGAATTTTAGAAGAAAATTCAAGTTTTAACAGTGACTTTAAAAATTTTTCCTTATCTAGCCATTGTTTATCTACTTATTGTTACTTTTTCCTAAAACAAGTAATGTTAATACTTTTACTCATTTTTAATTCCCTCTTTCTTCATTTTCCATTTGCTATTGTTGTACTCTAGGATTTCAAATATGAAAAAAATTGCTTTTATTATCACTTTCTTGAGAAAGATAGGTGGTATGTAGTCAAAAACCTGTCCTGGCAATACAGTTAGAGATACAATCTCTCCACTAAGCAAACCCTGCTGTCTAAGCAGAGAATACTTAAGGACTTAGGATAAAGCCATAGAGACAAGCTAACAATGTGATCCTGGTACATTTCTGAAATATACTTTTATCTAATTTGAATATCCAAGTTTTTCATGACAGCTGTATTAGGTTCTCCAGAGTAAAAGAACCAATTGAATGTCTTGTTTAATATCTCGAAAGAGATTCTTATCTCTTAAGGAATTGGCTCACATGATTACAAAGGCTAGTGAGTTAGAATCTTGCAGCACGGGCCAGGAGGTTTGAGGCGTAGGACAGCCAATGGCATTGTTCCAGTCCAAATGCTGACAGGATGGAGACTCTGGAAAGCTGATGGTGCAGGTGAAGTTGAAAGGCAGTCTGCTAGAAAATTTCTTCATGCTCACAGAGGTTGGAAATTTTGTTCCATTCAGGTATTCAACAATTTGGATGAGGCTCACCAACATTGTGGATAATAATCTGCTTTACCTAAAATTAACCAATTTAAACATTAATCTCATCCAAAAATACCCTACAGGTTGACACTTAAAATTAACCATCACAATAGCATTTATGCTCTTTCCTTAGGCCTTATTAAAATGCCAACAGGAAGAGAGACAATTTGCAATTGATACAACCAATAAACTAACAAAGAAATGCCAATTTTATAGAACATAATGTAGAGGTAGTTTCATGAGGAGGGGAAAGAGGAGATTAAAGAAAATGCATTAGAATGGGGAACACTCAGGAAATTGAGATAATGGCAAACAGTAGTATATTTTTTGTAATCTATTATTAAATTTCTAGAGTGTCTACTGTTACCCCAAAGGCCTTACATAAAGAGAGCTGTTAAGACTCATGAGCACTAATGACTTCAGATACTTCAAAGAATAATACGTGAAACCCATACAATTAATGTGATAATTAGTTAGCAGTTTTAGTAACACAAGAAATAAATTTTTTCAACCATACCCTCTGGTGTGAATATTCTCAAAGAGAAAGAAATATTATACACAGTAATAATTAAATAATTAAACTTTATTAAAGGGAGTTCTTTTTTTACCTACCAACATACAGAAATCAGATTTATTTATGTATTTTTATATATATATATTTTTATATGTGGCTTTTTTTCTGCAGATCTTTTATCAGTCTTAAAGTAAGAGTCAAAAAATGAGCGTGTTCCTTTTCTTAAGTGGGTTCCTTTTTTCCTTGCTTATTTGCTATTGAATTGCATAAATTTCTTACATATTTTGCATACTAACCTCTTATCAGATATATGGTTCACAAATATTTCCTCTCATTCTGTGGATTCTCTTTTCACACGATTGATTATTTGCTGTGCAGAAGCTTTGCAGTTTAATGAAGTTCTACTATTTTTTCTAAATTTGTCTATTTTTGCTTTTGTTGTTGTGTGTTTAGTATCATATCCAAAAAAACTTATTGCCCAAACCAATATCAAGGAGCTTTTTCCTGTAGTTTCTTCAAGTAGTTTTATGGTTTCAGGCCTTATGTCTAAGACTTGAATAGATTTTCAGTTGATTTTTGTATATGGTGAAAGGGTTCAAAATCATTCTTCTATGTGTAGATACTAGTTTTCCCAGTACAATTTATTGAAGATACCATCCTTTCCCCATCATATGTTCTTGGCACCCTGTCAAAGATCAGTTGACCATACATGCATAAATTTCTGGGCCCTCTATTTTGTTCCTTTGGTTTATATATCTGTTTTTATGCTAGTACCATGCTGTTTTGGCTACTATAGTTTTGTAGTGTTTTGAAGTCAAGATAGGACAAAGAACCTGAATAGACATTTTTCAAAAGAAGTCATACAAAGAACCCAAAGCTGTAGGAAAAGGTGTTCAATATCACTAATGATTGGAAAAATCCAAGTAAAAATCACAATTAGATATCACCTCACCCCAGTTAAAATGGCAATTATCAAAAAGACAAAAGGCAACACATACTGACAAGAATCTGGTGGAAAGGTAACACTTGTACCCTGCTGGTGGGAATGTAAATTGATACACTCATTATAGAAAACAGTCTAGAAATTCATCAAAAAGTTAAAGATACAGCTATCATATAATATCCAGCAATCCCGTTTCTGGTGTATATCTGAAGATAATGATATAACTATGTCAAACAAATATTTGCACTCTCATGTTTATATTGCAGCATTATTCACCATTGCCGTGATATAGAAACAATCTAAATGTCCACTGATAGATGAATGGACAAGAAAACCCAAGATATGTAGATAGGTGGGTAGGTTGGTAGGTATGTAAACACAGTGGAATATTATTCAGCTTTAAAAAATAAGATAGTCCTGATATTTATGACAAGATGATTGAACTGGAGGACATTACACTAAATAAAGTAAGCCAGACACAAAAGGACAAATACTGTGTGATCTGACTTATATGTGGAATCTAAAATAGTCAAACTCAGAAGCAGAGAGTTAGAATGGTGGTTGTCAGAGCTGAGCGAGAAAAAAATGGAGAGATGTTAAAGCTTACAAAGTTTTAGTTATGCAAAATAATATGTTCTGAAGATCTCCTGTACATCCATTAACAATAATGACTTACATACTTAAACTTTGCTAAGATGATAGATCTTAAGTGTTTTCATCAAAAATAAAAATAAATTTAAATGTGTGAGGTGACACATATGTTAATTAGCTTGATTGTGGTGATTATTTTATAATATAACACATGTATCAAAACATCAAGTTATACTCCTTAAATACATACAACTTCTACTTGTCAATTGTACCTGAATAAAGCTGAAAGAAATGAATTAGCATGTTCTTGAGTGATTTGTAAGGAATTCTTCCCAGCCACCTTGTTTTATTTCTATCTCTTCCCTCAGGATACTTAGAACGTGTAAAATTCCTATGCTTCCTTGATTCTAACCCACCACCCTCAAAGCTAAATGCTTTATTCGGTGATGATGAATATTTTGGTTCAGCTATGCAACCACACTGAGTAAAACTGGGGGAACAAAGAAGTAGAATCCTGCTCTTTTGTGTCAAACATGGCACATAACCAGCACACTCCAGGTACTGAAAGGTAATTAAGCCACATCCATTTTCACAAGCTTCTAAAACACCTCTTTGGAAAATGTCTCTCATTATATTTCTTTAAACTATGAAAAATACTAAAATGACTTCTAATTCATTTGTATTATTTCTTAATTCTTTTGGGATAACTAGTAAAATATTTTTCAAGCTCTCATATTGCATTTTGTTATTTTATTTGAAAACAATACCAAGAACTATATAAACATTAGAGAGAGTAGATGAGGCTAGAACAATATTAAGTAGATCTATTTTCATCAATCATACATTCAAATGTGTGCTTTCAGGCTTTGTATATGAATGTATCTCAGCAATATGAAAACATTCAGGTAAGTGTTACTGAACATTAAGTGCAACCGTGTGATTATTCATGAACAGTTGTATAAATTTTTCATTGCCCATCCAAATACATGCCACATTGAGTATTCAATATGTTTGAATGTGAAATCTCTCACAAAAATACTCTTTCTTCAAACCATAATGTTATATATTAACTTACTACAGGGCTTTTAAATATTATGTTAGAGTATAATTCTCTGCATATCTTAGTTGGGATTCTGTGCTATGAGCCATGTGATGCTCTTACACAGTCGTTCCTGGATCAATGGACCTAAGCTTTATTATCCCACTGCAATGAGATAGTAGAGCAGAGGTGTTTGCCACTTACATGACTGTTTCTTATTTTGATTGTTTCATTTAGATAGTAAATCTCAGTGGCATTAAAAGTGATCCAAAAGTAAATATTGTAAAAGATTTCCAAAATTAACAATGGCTGCTTCAAACAGCAAGATGAACAAAATTTACTTAAAACTGAAGGTGGCATTTATTGTTTTCTTTACTTCTTTTTATTTTCCTTTAGGCCTCCTAGAATTTCTTAAACAGCTCTATTTTACTAGTCTACAGAGATATTGGGGACATTCTTGCCTTTATTAGGAAGGAATGGACATCTTCCTTTTGCTGAAGTTAGCTTTTGGAAAATGTGTCAGGAATGAGCTGTCTTTTTGCTATAAAATCCTGGGTTTCATGAAAAAAATAAGTATTCTAATTCCCAAATATATATTAAATAGCAAAACTATAACATGTATCACTTAAAATAGCCATCATATGTGTCAACATTAACAGTAGAAAATAAACATAAGGAGGGGAAGTTCCAAGATGGCCAAATAGGAACAGCTACAGTTTACAGCTCCCAGCATGAGTGAGGCAGAAGACTGGTGATTTCTGCATTTCCAACTGAGGTACCAGGTTCATCTCAATGGGGCTTGTCGGACAGTGGGTGCAGGACAGTGGGTGCAGCCCACAGACCATAAGCAAAGCAGGGCGAGGCAACACCTCACCCAGGAAGTGCAAGGGGTCAGGGAATTCCCTTTCCTAGCCAAAGGAAGCCATGACAGATGACACCTGGAAAATTGGGTCACTCCCACCCTAATACAGCACTTTTCCAACAGTCTTAGCAAACAGCACACCAGGAGATTATATCCTGAGCCTGGCTCAGAGGGTCCCATGGCCACGGAGCCTTCCTCACTGCTAGCACAGCAGTCTGAGATCGAACTGCAAGGCTGCAGCGAGGCTGGGGGAGGGGCACCCAACATTGCTGAGGCTTGAATAGGTAAACAAAGCAGCCAAGAAGCTCGAACTGGGTGGAGCCCACCACTGCTCAAAGAGGCCTGCCTGCCTCTGTAGACTCCACCTCTGGGGGCAGGGCATAGCTGAACAAAAGGCAGCAGAAACTTCTGCAGACTTAAACGTCCCCGTCTGGCAGCTTTGAAGAAAGTAGTGGTTCTCCCAGCATGGAGTTTGAGATCTGAGAAAGGACAGACCGCCTCCTCAAGTGGGTCCCTGATCCCCGAGTAGCCTAACTGGGAGGCACCTCCCAGTGGGGCCAACTGACACCTCATACAGCCAGGTGTCCCTCTGAGACTAAGCTTCCAAAGGAAAGATAAGGGAGCAACATTTGCCGTTCTGCAATATTTGTAGTTCTACAGCCTCCACTGGGAATACCCAGGCAAACAGGGTCTGGAGTGAACCTCCAGCAAACTCCAAAAGACCTATAGCTGAGGGACCTGACAGTTAGAAGGAAAACTAACAAACAGAAAGGACATCCACACCAAAACCCCATCTGTACGTCACCATCATCAAAGACCAAAGGTAGATAAAACCACAAAGATTGGGAGAAACCAGAGCAGAAAAGCTGAAAATTCTAAAAATCAGAGCGCCTCTTCTCCTCCAAAGGAACACAGCTCCTTGCCAGCAACAGAGCAAAGCTGGACAGAGAATGACTCTGATGAGTTGAAAGAAGAAGTCTTCAGATGATCAGTAATAACAAATTTCTCCGAGCTAAAGGAGGATGTTTGAACCCATGGCAAAGAAGCTAAAAACCTTGAAAAAAAATTGGACAAATGGCTAACTAGAATAAGCAGCATAGAGAAGACCTTAAATGACCTGAAGGAGCTGAAAACTATGGCACAAGAACTATGTGATGCATGCACAACCTTCAGTAGCCAATTCTGGAAGAAAGGGTATCAGTGATTGAAGATCAAACCAATGAAATGAAGGGAGAAGTGAAGTTCAGAGAAGAAAGAGTAAAAAGAAATGAACAAAGCCTCCAAGAAATATGAGACTATGTGAAAAGACCAAATTTACGTCTGATTGGTGTACCTGAAAGTTACGGGGAGAATGTAACCAAGTTGGAAAACACTCTTCAGGATATTATCCAGGAGAACTTCCCCAATCTAGCAAGGCAGACCAACATTCAAATTCAGGAAATACAGAGAACGCCACAAAGATACTCCTCGAGAAGAGCAACTCTAAGACACATAATTGTCAGATTCACCGAAGTTGAAATGAAGGAAAAAATGTTAAGGGCAGCCAGAGATAAAGGTCAGGTTACCACAAAGGGAAATCCATCAGACTAACAGCTGATCTCTCAGCAGATACTCTACAAACCAGAAGAGAGTGGGGGCCAATATTCAACATTCTTAAAGAAAATAATTTTCAACCTAGAATTTCATATCCAGCCAAACTAAGCTTCATAAGTGAAGGAGAAATAAAATCCTTTACAGACAAGCACATGCTGAGAGATTTTGTCACCATCAGGCCTGCCTCAGTAGAGCTCCTGAAGGAAGCACTAAACATGGAAAGGAACAACCAGTACCAGCCACTGCAAAAACATGCCAAATTGTAAAGACCATCGAGGCTAGGAAGAAACTGCATCAACTAACAAGCAAAATAACCAGCTAACATCATAATGACAGGATCAAATTCATACATCACAATATTAACCTTAAATGTAAATGGGCTAAATGCTCCAATTAAAAGACACAGACTGGCAAATTGGATAAAGAGTCAAGACCCATCAGTGTGCTGTATTCAGGAGACCCATCTCACGTGCAGAGACACACATAGGCTCAAAATAAAGGGATGGAGGAAGATCTACCAAGCAAATGGAAAACAAAAAAAAGCAGGGGTTGCGATCTTAGTCTCTGATAAAACGGACTTTAAACCAACAAAGATCAAAAGAGACAAGACCATTACATAATGGTAAAGGGATCAATTCAACAAGAAGAGCTAAGTATCCTAAATATATATGCATCCAATACAGGAGCACCCAGATTCATAAAGCAAGTCCTTAGAGACCTACAAAGAGACTTAGACTCCCACACAATAATAATGGGAGACTTTAACACCCAACTGTCAACATAAGACAGATCAACGAGACAGAAAGTTAACAAGGATATCCAGGAATTGAACTCAGCTCTGCACCAAGCTGACCTAATAGACATCTACAGAACGCTCCACCCCAAATCAACAGAATATACATTCTTCTCAGCACCACATCACACTTATTCCAAAATTGACCATATAGTTGAAAGGAAAGTACTCTTCAGCAAATGTAAAAGAACAGAAATTATAAGAAACTCTCTCAGACCACAGTGCAATCAAACTAGAACTCAGGATTAAGAAACTCACTCAAAACTGCTCAACTACATGGAAACTGAACAACCTGCTCCTGAATGACTACTGGGTACATAAAGAAATGAAGTCAGAGATTCAGATGTTCTTTGAAACCAATGAGAACAAAAAAAGACACAACATACCAGAATCTCTGGGACGCATTTAAAGCAGTGTGTAGAGGGAAATTTATAGGACTAAATGCCCACAAGAGAAAGCAGGAAAAATCTAAAGTTGACACCCTAACATCACAATTAAAAGAACTAGAGAAGCAAGAGCAAACACAGTCAAAAGCTAGCAGAAGGCAAGAAATAACTAAGATCAGAGCAGAACTGAAGGAGATAGAAACACAAAAAACCCTTCAACAAATCAATGAAACTGGGAGCAGGTTTTTTGAAAAGATCAACAGAATTGATAGACCGCTAGGAAGACTAATAAAGATGAAGAGAGAGAGGAATCAAATAGACACAATAAAAAATGATAAAGGGGATATCACCACTGTTCCCATAGATATACAAACTACCATCAGAGAATACTATAAACACATCTATGCAAATAAACTAGAAAATCTAGAAGAAATGGATAAATTCCTGGACACATGCACCCTCCCAAGACTAAGCCAGGAAGAAATTGAATCCCTGAATAGACCAATAACAGGCTCTAAAATTGAGGCAATAATTAATAGCCTACCAACCAAAAAAAGTCCAGGACCAGATGGATTCACAGCCGAATTCTACCACAGGTACAAAGAGGAGCTGGTACCATTTCTTCTGTAACTATTCCAATTAATAGAAAAAGAGGGAATCCTCCCTAACTCATTTTATGAGGCCAGCATCATCCTGATACCAAAGCCTGGCAGAGACACAACAAAAAAAGAGAATTTTAGACCAATATCCCTGATGAATATTGATGCAAATATCCTCAATAAAATATTGGCAAACCAAATCCAGCAGCATATCAAAAAGCTTATCCACTATGATGAAGGGGGCTTCATCCCTGGGATGTAAGGCTGGTTCAACATATGCAAATCAATAAACTAATCCATCATATAAACAGAACAAAAGACAAAAACCACATGATTATCTCAATAGATGCAGAAAAGGCCTTCGACAAATTTCAACAGCCCTTCATGCTAAAAACTCTCAATAAATTAGGTATTGATGGGACGTATCTGAAAATAATAAGAGCTATTTATGACAAACCCACAGCCAATATCATACTGAATGGGCAAAAACTAGAAGCATTCCCTTTGAAAACTGGCACAAGACAGAGATGCCCTCTCTAACCACTCCTGTTGAACATAGTGTTAGGAGTTCTGGCCAAGGCAATCAGGCAGGAGAAAGAAATAAAGGGTATTCAATTAGGAAAAGAGGAAGTCAAACTGTCCCTGTTTGCAGATGACATGATTGTATATTTAGAAAACCCCATTGTCTCAGCCCAAAATCTCCTTAAGCTGATAAGCAGCTTCAGCAAAGTCTCAGAATACAAAATCAATGTGCAAAAATCACAAGCATTCCTATACACCAATAACAGACACACAGAGAGCCAAATCATGCATGAACTCCCATTCACAATTGCTTCAAAGAGAATAAAATACCTGGGAATACAACTTACAAGGGTTGTGAAGGACCTCTTCAATGAGAATTACAAACCACTGCTCAACGAAATAAAAGAGGACACAAAAAAATGGAAGAACATTCCATGCTCATGGATAGGAAGAATCAATATCATGAAAATGGCCACACTGCTCAAGGTAATTTGTAGATTCAATACCATCCCCATCAAGCTACCAATGACTTTCTCCACAGAATTGGAAAAAACTACTTTAAAGTTCATATGGAACCAAAAAAGAGCCCACACTGCCAAGTCAATCCTAATCCAAAAGAACAAAGCTGGAGGCATCACGCTACCTGACTTCAAACTATACTACAAGGCTACAGTAACCAAAACAGCATGGTACTGGTACCAAAACAGAGATATAGACCAATGGAACAGAACAGAGGCCTCAGAAATAATACCACACATCTACAACCATCTGATCTTTGACAAACTTGACAAAAACAAGCAATGGGGAAAGGATTCCCTATTTAATAAATGGTACTGGGAAAACTGGCTATCCATATGTAGAAAGCTGAAACTGGATCCCTTCCTTACACCTTATACAAAAATTAATTCAAGATGGATTAAAGTCTTAAGTGTCAGACCTAAAACCATAAAAACCCTAGAAGAAAACCTAGGTAATACCATTCAGGACATAGGCATGGGCAAGGACTTCATGTCTAAAACAGCAAAAGCAATGGCAACCAAAGCCAAAATTGAGAAATGGGATCTAATTGAAACTAAAGAGAGTCTGCACGGCAAAAGAAACTACTGTCAGAGTGAACAGGCAAGCTACAGAATGGGAGAAAATTTTTGCAATCTACCCATCTGACAAAGGGCTAATATCCAGAATCTATAAAGAACTTAAACAAATTTACAACAATAGTCAAACAACCCCATCAAAATGGGTGAAGGATATGAACAGACACTTCTCAAAAGAAGACATTTATGCAGCCAACACACACATGAAAAAATGCTCATCATCACTGGCCATCAGGGAAATGCAAATCAAAACCACAATGAGATACCATCTCACACCAGTTAGAATGGTGATCATTATAAAGTCAGGAAACAACAGGTGCTGGAAAGGATGTGGAGAAATAGGAACACTTTTACACTGTTGGTGGGACTGTAAACTAGTTCAACCATTGTGGAAGACAGTGTGGCGATTCCTCAAGGATCTAAAACTAGAAATACCATTTGACCCAGCCATCCCATTACTGGGTATATACCGAAAGGATTATAAATCATGCTGCTGTAGAGACACATGCACACGTATGTTTACTGCGGCACTATTCACAATAGCAAAGACTTGGAACCATCCCAAATGTCCGTCAATGATAGACTGGATTAAGAAAATATGGCACATATACACCATGGAATACTATGCAACCATAAAAAAGGATGAGTTCATGTCCTTTGCAGGGACATGGATGAAGCTGGAAACCATCATTCTCAGCAAATTATCACAAGGACAGAAAACCAAACACCGCATGTTCTCACTCATAGATGGGAGTTGAACAATGAGAACACATGGACACTGGGTGGGGAACATCACACACCGGGGCCTGTCATGGGTTGAGGGGACTGGGGAGGGATAGCATTAGGAGATATACCTAATGTAAATGATGAGTTAATGGGTGCAGCACACCAACATGGCACATGTATACATATATAACAAACCTGCATGTTGTGCACATGTAACCTAGACCTTAAGGTATAATAAAAAAAAAAAAAGGAAAATAAACATAAGGAAACCTGAATCAATATCCTTACTACTCCCAGAAGTTATAGTAGAAGCCGGGAGGGAAAAAGCGCCTAAAGTACTTATGAACATGAAATCAAGAAGAAGTGAGTAACACAATGTAATTTGCAATCACTTTCTGTAATGGATAATATGACGTGCCACCCAGACTCCTCCTGCAGGACTGAGAAACTCATTCCACCACCTTCTGAAAATGTGAGCAGCTAAGTCTCTCTTTAGAACTTTCTTTTAGCTGGAAACGTGTGCTCGTGTCAGGACCCTTCCCAACATTTAAACCTATTCATTGTCAGTATAAAAGTGTAAAGTCATGGCTCCTTTGTCTCAAGGCAAGATGACTCTGAAGGGTCTTTTTGGCTCAAGCGCTTCTCCTGAAACTATTTGAGGCCATCCTTGTAACTGCATTGAAGCTTAACTTCTTCCTTTGCCAAATTCTAGTGACTTTACATGTTTAAAATGTTGATTTCGAGGATACTGCCCAACACAGTTCCCACATGCAAAATCCATCTTCATTTCTTTTCAGGGAATCCTGACTTAAGACATTGGCATCATCAAGTCTAAGTAAACATATCTTAATATGAGATATTGAAGCCTGTTCCTCTATCAGCCAGCTGGTAAGGGCGGCATCATTATTGGGAGGAGATGGAGTACTGTAATTATAGCAGTGCAATTGTTAAAACTCTAACCTTTGATAAATTGGGATGGTATGCTGGTATAAGTTAATGCACTCAAAATTTCAGTGTCTCGGCTTTTGACTGGCTAAGGGGAGTGTTAGAAGGAAATTGAATTAGATGTTTTAGCTGAGTGACATTGATACATCAGAGAAGACCAATAAAATGTTGTGGGTGATTAATCACCCATGAAAGTCAACTGTAAAATTCAGAGGGCCTCCTTGGCAGGTTAAAAAGGGACTCTTATTTCCTAAAGATAGAGGGCAGGAAAAAACCTGAGAATCAGGTCCAAGAATCAATTATAGTATTATAATTATAATAGCAGCAGAGAGCCTTCCAGAGGAGGTCGAATTCATAGCCAACAAAGGCTATGTTAATGCCAATGATAGATTCCTGGTTGGAAAAGCTTGGGACCCTGAGCCTTGAGTTGGAAATATTTTTGTTGATGGATTAAAAATCACTAAACCCAAATCCCCTGAATACTCTGGGCTTGAAGAAGATGCACATTGCTTCCTAATAAAGACTAGAATGCCCCCATTGTCTGAAAATGATGCAGTAATTTCCACCTCACCCAGTGTCTTGAACACTCCTCAGCATCTAAACTCAACTCCATTTTTAGCTTACATGCTGGGAAAGTGCTAGGCATGTTAAGAAAGATAAGCGACTATATCCCAAAAAGACCTGAGGACATCTCTCAACAAACTTCTAATGGGTTCAGCAAGACCTAGTCAATATACAATTAGTCCTTTGTATTCACAGGTTCCCCACCCACAGATTCAACTAACTGCAGATTGAAAATATGACAAAAATACAATAAAAAATAATAATGTAGAAATTTTTTTAAAAAGTATAACAACTACACAGCTTTTACATTGTGTTAGGTATTGTAAGTAATATAGAAATGATATAAAGTATACAGGATTATGTCCATAGATTATATGCCAATGCTATGCCATTTTACATAAGGGACTTGAGCATCTACAGATTTGGGTATCCAGGGGAGGTCCTGGAACCAATCCCCTGTGGATACCAGGGATGACTGTATACTGGAAGGAGTTAGGAGAGTGTGATTTGGTCTGTATCCAGAGGCTCTTGTATCAAAGAAGGTAGAACATGAGAATGGATAATGGCTGGCCAGTTTATTGATAAAGGAAAACTATCCCAAAAGGATTTGACACTTTGATGAAAACCTCAGAAAACAGTGTTAACATACTGATTGAGTTATTAGAAGTTTTGAGAAAGTGGTAGTTTATAGTAGGTAAAGTATAAATGCCAAGACTGCCAGACGTGGCAAAGAAGAGTTTAAAATTTTACAAAAGTGGCCAACCTACTGAATATACTATGTAAGGCCAGAAAATTCGCCATTTAACCATATTCTGAAGAAGAGCCGCATTTGCCAAAGCAATATGTGATGTACTAGTGAGAGAAATATCATCCTGGAGAAACTCAATGTCACCTGCCCTCTACTGGGAGGACTTATGAGTAATAAATACTGTTACAGAACTGGGTTCCTCGATGACACAAAAGGTAATGGAATCTTGAAAAGGTGGAGGCCAAAAGCAGTATTTAATCATCAGAAACAGGATGGAACCAGTTGCCATAACTAGTGGAAAAATCACAATGGCCACCTGTAGGCCATGACTCTCAGAGAGCTATGGAGGTAGTTAATAGATAGCAGCATCCTCAGGTGGGGAGCTGATGAAAGTTTCTCCATATGCACAATCAAAAGAAATTAAGCATGGATGGTCAGTAGACTGAGGGCAGCATCTCCAATAAAATTCCATGGTTCTTGACAGTTTCTGAACTTGAGCCAGTTTTCATATATGGGGCCTATTGAGATAAGGAAAGAGAGAGGAGGGGGTGGTGGAAAAGAAAAAGAGAAGTAGCATCTCCCACACTTAAGAATATTGCCACAAGCTATTAACAAAGTGACATGCATACCTGCCATCTTTGAGTAGGTCCAGACCAGAAAAGTATTCTGCAATAGAGAAAAGCTAGAAAAAGTAAAAGCTGTACCAACCTGGCATATTCTTATACAGAGGTTTGGGTAATGGGTAATGATTCTTTGTTATTTATGGCATAGTGGAGAATTATGCAACATTAAAAAAAAAAACTCTGTTTCTAGCATGTTATTTGGCCCTGGTATAGAAGAAATACTTAACCATAAGAAATTAAGTGGCCATTTGCCCTGCAAATCATGAGCTGAGTTCTGTCAGACCCTTCATGTCATAAGCAAGGCAGGCCTAGTAGAAACACATTGTAACATAGAAATGATACATCTAAAATCAGGAATATGCAGTGGTCCAGACCCTTGTAACACCCACCATTGGTGTACCAGTCCCTCTATATCTGCCTACATTTATAACAATATAGGAATTTATCTTGTCCAACTAATGGAAGTTGAGCTTAATCAGCTGCTGTACTACAACCCTAATCAGTAGTGGTCCTGAAAGGTAATAATGATAGAAAATCTACATGGTAAAGCCTCAGTCTTAAGACCACTTGCAGAAGCAGGGATGATAATTTATCCCACTTCCCTTCTTTTTGTAAGTTTATCTTGAATTATAGACTAATAAGCGTCACATAAAATATGTGTGAAATTTATCATAGGGTGGAAGTGGACTAAGATAGCACAAGGGGTGAACCATAGTGGATGCTGTGGTGCACAATCCAGAGATCTCCTTCAGAACTGTCAACAGATAATGGTTCCCTGCTGAATCCCTCTCCATGAATTGCCTTAAGTCAAAGAGAGCTGCCTGCTCAGGGTAATATTTGTACCCTGAAGAAACCCAATCTATGACTGATCAATAAAATGATATCAAGACCTGATCCCTGTGCTTCGAGGCTGGATAACACTGAAAGGCTTTCTCAGATTCAGAGTTCCTTGTGGATATGCTAAGGCTTTTGTTAAGACTGAATCACAGTTTACATTTTCTCTGCCCAAACTTCCTTCCTTCACCCCAACACAGATATTAATATCAAAGGCACTGGTAAATCAACTTTCTTCATTCAAGTCTTCATCTCACAGTCTGTTTCCTGTACCAAATATAAGGCATAATCCTTACAGAAAATCAGAGTATCTTTATCAGCTAACATATTAATATAATGATTAATTTTAATTCATTCCAATGCCTAGGCCTTAATTGGTCAACAGGATGACTCAGACTTGTTTAAATCTAGAAAAACCTGAAGATTTTTAGTACAGTATTAGTAATACAGAATTGAAGCTGGAGTTCTGATCGAGCGAAAAGCCATTGTCCCTGGCAATCTCTCCTGGATATCTGGAGTACTTCATTTATGACAGAGCATGGTGATCATAATTAAGCATAAAGGGAGATTTCTGGCACACTAAAATATTTGTTGGACACTTATATTTCTCCAGGATAATGCCATTTCCCCTCACAATATAGGATATTGTGACCTATTTCTAGTCTTTCCCCAACCCCAGCCATGCATTCATAGTTCTCTAAGAAGATGAAAATAATTTCCAGCTATCTTGATCTGTTTGTATTGCTATAGCAAAAGAACATAGATCATAGGTTGGGTAGCTTAAACAACAAACATTTATTTCTCCAGTTCTGGAGGCTGAGGATTTCAATATCAAGGCACCAGTAGATTCCATGTCTGGTGAAGGTCTACTTTCTGGTTCATATACAGCTATCTTCTTGCTGTGTTCTAACATGATAGAAAGAACTAGTGAGCTCTACGGGTCTCTTTTATAAGGGTGCTAATACCACTCATGTGGGCTCCACCCTTATGATCTTCCAAAGGCCCCACTTCCTAATATCATCATATTGGGGAATTAGGATTTTAGCATATGAGTTTGCGGGATGCACATGTTCAAGTCATAACACCAGCTCAAAGAACTTGCCACTCTAGAATTCAGGAGGCTTTTTGTTTTGTATAAAGTACATTGTTCATGGTGCCTATAAATTTTATACTGTTGTATTGGACTAATCTTGGTACTATTTTTGCATTATTTCATGTTGTCTAAAAGACATTAAGATTGGACACTACTACAGCTGATGCTCTCTTGAAAGCCTACCTCCTGGCAAGAGGCCAACTAGCACAAAAAATAGTGCACTAAACAACCAAAACTAAAGACCTTCACAGAGTCCATTTCACCTGCCTGTTACTTCCACCAGAGCAAATGCTGATATTCATGGCTAAGATACCTGCAGATCATTCACATCACAAGACACTGTGCAGATATCCCCCAGGACCAGACTGGAAACGGGTAGACCTGCTGGGTGGCTAGATCCAGAAGAGAGATAACAATCACTACAGCTTAGCTCTCTGGAAGCCACATCCCTAGGACAGGGGGAGCATACTACATCAAGGGAACACCTTGTGGGACAAAAGAAACTGAACAGTAGCCTTCCTTCTGAAATAGCCTACCCAAATAAGAAGGAAACAGAAACACAATTCTGGTAATATGACAAAATAGGGTTATTTAACACCCCCAAAAATCACACTAGCTCACCAGCAATGGATCCAAACCAAGAAGAAATCCCTGATTTACCTGAAAAAGAATTCAGGTTAGTTATTAAGCTAATCAAGGAGGTACCAGAGAAAGATGAAGTTCAATGTAAGGAAATTGAAAAAAAAATGATAGAAGAAATGAGGGGAGAAATCTTCAGTGAAATAGATAGCATAAACAGAAAACAATCACAACTTCAGGAAATAAAGGACACACTTAGAGAAATGCAAAATGTTCTAGAAAGTCTCAGCATTAGAATTGAACAAGCAGGAGAAAGAACTTCAGAGCTTGAAGGCAAGGTTTTTGAAGTAACCCAATCCAAAGACAAAGAAAAAAGAATAAGAAAAAAATGAACAAAGCCTCCAGGAAGTTTGGGATTATGTTAAGTGACCAAACAAGAATAACTGGTGTTGCTGAGGAAGAAGAGAAATCCAAGTGTTTGGAAAACATATTTGGGGGAATAGCTGAGGAAAGCTTCCCCAGCCTTGCAAGAGACCTAGACATCCCAATACAAGAAGCTCAAAGAACACCTGGGAAATTTATCACAAAAAGATCATCAGCTAGGAACATTGTCATCAGGTTATCTAAAGTCAAGATGAAGGAAAGAATCTTAAGAGATGTGAGGCAAAAGCACCAGGTAATCTATAAAGGAAAACATATTAGATTAACAGTAGATTTATCAGCAGAAACCCTACGACCTAAAAGGGATTGGAGCTCCATCTGCAGTCTCCTCAAACAATTATCAGCCAAGAATTCTGTATCCAGCAAAACTAATCTTTATAAATGAAGGAAAGATACAGTCTCTTTTAGACAAACAAATGCTGAGAGAATATGCCACTACCAAGACAGCATTATAAGAACTGCTAAAAGCAGCTCTAAATCTTGAAACAAATCCTGAAAACATATCAAAACAGAATCTCTTTCAAGCCATAAATCTCACAGGACTTATAAAATAAAAATACAAAAAAAAACCCCACAAGGTATACAGGCAATAAATAGCACAATTAATGGAATAGTACCTCACATCTTAATAATAATGTTGAATGTAAATGGCCTAAATGCTCTGCTTAAAAAATACAGAATTGCAGAATGAAAATAATTCATAAATCAACTATCTGCTTCCTTCAAGAGACTCACCTAACACATAAGAACTCACATAAACTTAAGGTAAAGTGGTGGAAAAAGATATTCCATGCAAATGGACACCAAAAGCAAGCAGGACTACCTATTCTTATATCAAACAAAATAAACTTTAAAACAACAGCAGTTAAAAAAGACAAGAGGGACATTATATAATGATAAAAGGTCTTGTACAAAAGGAAGATTTAACAATCCTAAATATACATGCCTAACACTGGAGCTCTCAAATGTATGATACACTTACTACTAGACCTAAGAAATGAGATAGACAGCAACACAATAATAGTGGGGGGCTTCAATACTCCACCTACAGCACTAGACATGTCATCAAGACAGAAAGTCAACAAAGAAACAATGAACTTCAAGTATACTCTGGAACAAATAGACTTAACAGATATTTATAGAACATTCTACCTAACAACCACAGAAAATAGATTCTTTTCATCGGTGCATGAAATTTTCTCCAAGATAGACCATATGATAAGCCACAAAACAAGTTGAATAAGTTAAGAAAATTGAAGTTATATCAAGTACTCTCTCAGACCACAGTGAAATAAAACCGGAAATCAACTCCAAAAGAAACCTTCAAAACCATGAAAATACATGGACATTAAATAACCTGCTCCTGAATGATCATTGGGTCAACAATAAAATCAAGATGAAAATTAAAAAATTCTTCAAACTGAATGATAATAGTGACACAACCTATTAAAAACTCTGGGATACATCAAAAGCAGTGCTAAGAGAAAAGTTCATAGTCCTAAATGCCTATATCAGAAAGTCTGAAAGAGCACAAATAGACAATCTAAGGTCATGCCCCAAGGAAGTAGAGAAACAAGAACAAACCAAACCCAAACCCAGCAGAAGAAAGGAAATAACTAACATCAGAGCAGAACTAAATGAAATTGAAACAAAGAAAAAATACAAAAGATAAATGAAACAAAAAGCTGGTTCTTTGAAAAGATAAATAAAAATGATGGACTATTAGCAAGATTAACCAAGAAAAAAGAGAGAAAATCCAAATAAGATCAATTAGAAATGAAACAGGAGATATTAAAACTAACACCATAGAAATACAAAAGATAATTCAAGGCTACTGTGAACATATTTGCACACATAAACTAGAAAACCTACAAGAGATGAATAAATTCCTGGAAAGATACAACCCTCCTAACTTATATCAGGAAGAATTAGATACCCTGAACATACCAATAACAAGCAGTGAGATTGAAAAGGTAATAAAAAAATTACCAAAAAAAAAAATTTGGGGACCAGATGGATTCACAGCTGAATTCTACTGGGCATTCAAAGATGACTTGGTACCAATCCTATTGATACTATTCCACAAGATAGAGAAAGAAATAATCCTCCCTAAATCATTCTATGAAGCTAGTATCACCCTAAGACCAAAACCAAGAAATGACATAACCAAAAAACAAAACAAAACAAAACAAAAAAAACTACAGACCAGTATCCCTGATGAATATAGATGCAAAAGTTCTTAACAAAATACTAGCTAACCGACTCCAAAAACATATCAAAAAGATAATCCACTGAGATCAAGTGGGTTTCATACCAGGGATGGTTTAACATATGGAAGTCAATAAATGCGATACACCACATATACAGAATTAAAAATCACCTGATCATCTCAATAGATGCAGAAAAGCATTTGAAAAAATCAAGCATCCCTTTATGATTAAAATCCTCAGCAAAATTACCATAGAAGGGACATACCTCAATCTAATAAAAGCCATCTATGACAAACCCACAGCCAACACAATGCTGAATGGGAAAAATGTGAAAACATTCCCTCTGAGAACTGGAATAAGACAGGGATGCCCACTCTCACCACTTCTTTTCAACATAGTACTAGAAGTCCCAGCCAGAGCAATCAGACAAGAGAAAGAAATAAAGAGCATCCAAATGGGTAAAGAGGAAATCAAATTCTCACTATTGGCTAATGATATGATTTTATACCTAGAAAATCCTAAAGACTCATCCAAAAAGCTCCTAGAACTCATAAATTAATTCAGCAAAGTTTCAGGATACAAAATTAATGTACACAAATTTGTAGATCTTCTGTACACTGACAATGACCAAGCAGAGAATCAAATCAAAAATTCAATCTCTTTTACAATAGCTGCAAAAAAAAAAATACTTAGGAATATACTTATCCAAGAAGGTGAAAGATCCCTACAAGGAAAACTACAAAACACTGCTGAAAGAAATCATAGACAACATAAACATAGAAACACATCCTATGCTCCTGGATAGGTAGAAACCCTATTGTGCAAATGACCATACTGCCAAAAGCAATCTACAAATTTAATGCAATTCCCATCAAAATACCACCATCATTCTTCATAGAAATAGAAAAAAAAATCCTAAAATTCATATGAAACCAAAAAAGAGCCTGCATAGTCAAAGTAAGACTAAGCAAAAAGAACAAATCTGAAGGCATCACATTACCTGATTTCAAACTATACCATAAGGCCATAGTCACCAAAACAGCATGATACTGGTATAAAAATAGGCATAGACAAATAGAACAGAATAGAGAACCCAGAAATAAACCCAAATACTTACAGCCAGTTGATCTTTGACAAAGCAAACCATAAAGCAAAGCATAAAGTGAGAAAAGAACACCCTATTCAACAAATGGTGCTGGGATCATTGGCGAGCAACGTGTAGGAGAGTGAAACTGGATCCTCATCTTTCACCTTATACAAAAATCAACTCAAAGTGGATCAAACACTTAAATCTAAGACCTGGAACTGTAAAAATTCTAGAAGATAACATCAGAAAAACCCTTCTAGACATTGGCTTAGGCAAGGGTTTCATGACCAAGCACCCAAAAGCAAATGCAATAAAAACAAAGATAAGTAGCTAGGACTTTTAAACAGAAGAGCTTTTGCATGGCAAAAGGAATAGTCAGCAGAGTAAATGGACAACCCCCAGAGTGGGAAAAAATCTTCACAGTCTATCCATTTGACCTGGGACTTAATTAAGCAAAAGAATTTTGCATGGCAAAAGGAACAGTCAGCAGAGTACTTAGACAACCTCAGAGTGGGAGAAAATCTTCACAATATATCCATCTGACAAAAGACTAATTAATATTCAGAATCTACAATGAACTCAAACAAATTAGCAAGAAGAAGAAACAAACAATCTCATCAAAACATGGGCAAAGGACATGCATAGACAATTCTCAAAAGAAGATATACAAATGGCCAAAAAACATGAAAAAATGCTCAATATCACTAATGATTAGGGAAATGCAAATCAAAACCACAGTGCTATACCACCTTACTCCTGTAAGAATGGCCATGTTCAAAAAAACAAAAAATAATAGATGTTGGCATAGATGCAGTGAACAGGGGACACTTCTACACTGCTAGTGGGAATGTAAACTAGTAAAACCACTATGGAAAACAGTGTGGAGATTCCCTAAAGAACTAAAAGTAGAACTTCCATTTGATCCAGCAATCCCACTACTGGGTATCTATCCAGAGGAAAAGAAATCATTATGTAAAAGAGATACTTGCACACAGATGTTTATAGCAACACAATTCACAATTGTAAAAATGTGGAACCAACCCAAATGCCCATCAATCAACGAGTGGATAAAGAAACTGTGGACAAAGAAACTAATAAATAATTTTAGATTTATTATTGAATGCAAGGTTAATGCCTTTTAAAAAGTTATATTTCTATTTAATAGCAAGAAAGAATTGAAAAATAACAGCTTAAAATTACCATTCAAAGTAGTATTTAAAAAATGTTTAGAAATAAATTTAACATAAAATGTGGAAGACATCTCCATTAAAAAGTTTAAAACATAGCTGAGATAAATTAAAACCTAAATAAATGGAAAAATACGCCATGATTATGGATTAGAAAACTTGATGTTGTCAAGGTGTCTTTTCTCCACAAATGGATTTATATATTCATTGCAATCCCAATCAAAATAATAACAGGCTTTTGTTTGTTTTTTAAAGAAATTGATGAACTGATTCTAAAATGTGTATGGAAATGCAAAGAACCTAGGAAAACAAAATTTTTGGAGAATAAAATAAATGGAGGATACATTCTACTGATTTTAAGACTTACTATTAAGCTACATTAATCAAAATAGTATTATGCTTGTATAACAATTAACAGATATATCAATAAAATAAAATACAAATTCTGGAAATAGTTTTACTCATGGCCAAGTGGGTTTTAATGAAAATGTCAAAACAATTAAGGGAGAACAGAATGTATTTTGCATAAATAGTGCTGAAACAACTCAATGTTTATATGGACAAAATATATCTTAACCAATAATATATAACATACAAACATTAATTTGAAAAGGATAACAGGCCTTGATATTGAACCTAAAATTCTGAAGTAGAATATGTGTGCGTATATGTGTATATGTATATACACACACACACACACACACACACACACACAACTCTGTGGAGAGCAAAGGGGTTTTTAGACAGGACACAAAAAACGCAAGCCATAGAAGAAAAGCTGATAAATTGAACTTTACCAAATTTAAAACATCTGCTCATTCTTATGCCGCTCTAAGGAAATGAAAAGGGAAGCTTTAGATTAGGGAAAAATACTTAGAATAGGTATATGTGATGAAGTATTAAATTGGTGCAACTTACTGCAGTTTTTGCCATTAGAAGTAATGTCATTAAAATCACATTGCTTTTACAACCTTATATTTTGTCCGGATTGTATAAAGAGCTCCTATAACTCAATAATAAAAAGAAAACAGACACAATAAAAATAGGTGCATTTCTTTACAGAAATTTCAAAGATGAATATACACAAATGGCCAAGAACATAATGAGATAATACTTCACATTCAATAGAAGGTACAAAATTGGGAAAAAGACTGAAAATATCAAATGTCGGTGATAATGTGGAATAGCTAGAACTTTAATACAATGATGGGGGAGTGAAACACACACAAACACACACACACACACACACACACGTATTAAATGACCAAACATTATCACCCCTGAAAATAAAAATATTTTCCAAGAGAAATGAATATCTTTTTTCCACAAAAGACTTGCAAAGTTCTAAGTTTATCTATAAAAGCCTCAAACTGAAAATAACCCCAACTATCCATCAACAAGAAAATAAATGATCAAGCTGAGGTATATTTATTCAATAGAATACCAAACAATATTTTTTTGGCAAATGAACTGCTAAAAACCACAACATTGAGAACACTCAAAACATAGATCTCAAACAACAGATACTGCATACATCAATTTTTATGGAGCTCAAGAACAGGTAAATATTTATGGTGAGATAAATAATAGAGAATGATCGTTTATGATAGATGGGGTTTACTAGGGAGAGGGAAAAAGGGATATTCTGGGATGATGAAAATAGTCTATGCTTTGATCAAAGTGTTATTTATTGCTTACAGATTTTACCAAAATTATTACATTGAACACTTAAGAACGGTACACTTCACTGATTGCAAATTATTACCCAAAAGTAAAAATGATTCTGGCAATGGCAGAGACACAACAAAAAAAGATAATTTTAGACCAATATCCCTGATGATGTATCTCAAAATAATAAGAGCTATTTATGACAAACCCACAGCCGATATCATACTGAATGGGCAAAACTGGAAGCATTCCCTTTGAAAACTGGCACAAGACAGGGACGCCCTCTCTCACCACTCCTATTCAACATAATGTTGGAAGTTCTGGCCAGGGCAATCAGGCAGGAGAAAGAAATAAGGGGTATTCCATTAGGAAAAGAGGAAGCCAAATTGTCCCTGTTTGCAGATGACATGATTGTATATTTAGAAAACCCCATCGTCTCAGCCCAAAATCTCCTTAAGCTGATAAGCAACTTCAGCAAAGTCTCAGGACACAAAATCAATGTGCAAAAATCACAAGCATTCCTATACACCAATAACAGACAAACAGAGAGCCAAATCATGAGTGAACTCCCATTCACAATTGCTTCAAAGAGAATAAAATACCTAGGAATCCAACTTACAAGGGAGGTGAAGGACCTCTTCAAGGAGAACTACAAACCACTGCTCAATAAAATAAAAGAGGACAGAAGCAAATGGAAGAACATCCCATGCTCATGGATAGGAAGAATCAATATGGTGAAAATGGCCATACTGCCCAAGGTAATTTATAGATTCAATGCCATCCCTATCAAGCTACCAATGACTTTCTCCACAGAATTGGAAAAGATTACTTTAAAGTTCATATGAGATGAAAAAGATCCTGCATTGCCAAGACAATCCTAAGCCAAAAGAACAAAGCTGGAGGCATCACGCTACCTGACTTCAAACTATACTACAAGGCTACAGTAACCAAAACAGTATGGTACTGGTACCAACACAGAGATATAGACCAATGGAACAGAACAGAGGCCTCAGAAATAATACCACACATTTACAACCATCTGATCTTTGACAAACCTGGCAAAAAGAAGAATTGGGGAAAGGATTCCCTATTTAATAAATGGTGCTGGGAAAAAAATGGCTAGCCATATGTAGAAAGCTGAAACTGGATCCCTTCCTAACACCTTATACAGAAATTAATTCAAGATGGATTAAAGTCTTAAATGTCAGACCTAAAACCATAAAAACCCTAGAAGAAAACATAGGCAATACCATTCAGGACATAGGCATGGACAAGGACTTCATGTCTAAAACACCAAAAGCAATGGCAACAAAAGCCAAAATAGACAAATGGAATCTAATTAAACTAAAGAGCTTCTGCACAGCAAAATAATCTACCATCAGAAACAGTCAACCTACAGAATGGGAGAAAATTTTTGTAATCTACCCATCTGACAAAGGGCTAATATCCAGAATTGACAAAGAACTTAAACAAATTTACAAGAAAAAAATCAAACAACCCCATCAAAAAGTGGGTGAAGGATATGAACAGATGCTTTTCAAAAGAAGATATTTATGCAGCCAACCGACACACGAAAAAATGCTCATCATTACTGGCTATCATAGAAATGCAAATCAAAACCACAATGAGATACCATCTCACACCAGTTAGAATGGCAATCATTAAAAAGTCAGGAAACAACAGGTGCTGAAGAGGATGTGGAGAAATAGGAACACTTTTACACTGTTGGTGGGATTGTAAACTAGTTCAACCATTGTGGAAGACAGTGTTGCAATTCCTCAGGGATCTAGAACTAGAAATACCATTTGACCCAGCCATCCCATTACTGGGCATATACCCAAAGGATTATAAATCATGCTACTATAAAGACACATGCACATGTATGTTTAATGCACGTATGTTTAATGCAGCACTATTCACAATAGCAAAGACTTGGAACCAACCCAAATGTCCATCAGTGATAGACTGGATTAAGAAAATATGGCACATGTACACCATGGAATACTATGCAACCATAAAAAAGGATGCGTTCATGTCCTTTGCAGGGATGTGGATGAAGCTGTAAACCATCATTCTTAGCAAACTATCACAAGGACAGAAAACCAAACACCGCATGTTCTCACTCATAAGTGGGAGTTGAACATTGAGAACACTTGGACACAGGTTGGGGGACATCACACACCAGGGCCTGTTGTGGGGTGGGGGGAGCCGGGAGGGATAGCATTAGGAGATATACCTAATGCTAAATGATGAGTTAATGGGTGCAGCACACCAACATGGCACATGTATACATATGTAACAAACCTGCACGTTGTGCACATGTACCCTAGAACTTAAAGTATAATTTAAAAAAAAGAGAAAAAAATGATTCTGGCTAAAGTCTAGAGTGGACAATGAGAAAGGATAACCAAACTCATTATCATACCTTTGTGAACACCTTTATGCTCATAGCTCATTGCTCTCTAAGTCTTTCTGCCTTGATCATTGAGACATTTTGGATTATTAATGTGATATCCAAGATTTCTTGAAGTCTATCTCTCAAATATAAACATTATTAATTAATTGAGGTGTTATAACTAAGGGGAAGTTTTCTCTAAATTTAAGATTTGGGAATATGTAAATAAGATATCAGTTCTCTGGAAGGTGAACCCTCTAAATTTTAGGAAAGGAGTGGGAATATTGGTTGCTTTTTTTTTTTTTTTTTGATATGGAGTCTCACTCTGTCACCAGGCTGGAGTGCAGTGGCGCGATCTCAGCTCACTGCAGCCTCTGCCTCCCAGGTTCAAGTGATTCCCCTGCCTCAGCCTCCCAAGCAGCTGGGACTACAGGCATGTTCCACCACACCTGGCTAATTCTTGTTTTGTTTTGTTTTTTGTGTTTTTGTATTTTAGTAGAGATGGGGTTTTACCATATTGGTCAGGATGGCCTCGATCTTCTGACCTAGTGATCTGCCTGCCTCGGCCTCCCAAACTGCTGGGATTACAGGCTTGGGATTATAGGCATGAACCACACTGTGCCAGGCAATAGTGGTTGCTTTTGGGGGGAGAAATTTTAAAATTAAAGATCAGAGATACAATGTTATATGAGACAGGATAGCTTCATGCTGTGAACACATAAATGCAACCTGATTATATGGATTAAGAAAGCTAAACAATAAATGGGTCAATCAGAAAGTATTAAGATTAAACCAGTAATCCTATAGAAAAGAAACTTGAAGATACAGGTTTTGGCAGCTGCTAGTTCACCACTTTTTTATGGAAAGAGAGCTTTGGCCATCAGCCTTCAAATACACTTAGACATCTGGCAGAACTATCTCCATCCTGAGATGAATAAAACATGCTCTTTGCTTCATGGGTTTAATAATACCTGTCTGCCCTTTGATATATGGAACATTTGTGGAGTGATGATAGAATCATGTACCTTAGTCAGTAAATTTGGTGGCCAGACGTCGGATCACGGAAATTTTACCATAAAAGAATTGTCACTTATGAGAATTTTAGAGATATTAATTAACTACCTTCTTTTTACAACAGTATTATTCTCATTGTTTCATTTGTTTTTATTTTCTAGACTTTTTCAGAAAAAAAGTATTCCTGACATTTATTCTTTTCTTAAATCCTCTATCCTCTTGGACCCTGAAGACATCGTCAGCATTTGGATTTTATTCATGACAGATACATGTCTCTTTAAAAAGTGTGGATTTATCTCCTGAATATTAGTTTCTCAATGATTTATCCACCACATTTTCATAACTTGTGTGAGGGATCAGTACCACCTTCCAGCGGTAGATCTTATTTTTGCCGCTCAATTTTTGCTCTGTTCTCTTTCTAGTAAGGGCTTTATCCTGAATCATTTATTGACATGCGGCCTATAGAGACCTCCTTAAAGAGGTACTACATTATTGTCCCATTGATTTAGGGCCTGGCCACATTTCAAGCTTTAGCCAATGGAATGTGAGGGAATATAGCGTATAGAAACATCTGAGAAGAAAAAGAAAAACTTCAGAAGGCATCAAGTGTTTCTGACAGGTCTGTCTTGCTAGATGTCCCAAATAAGGACCACTTCTTGAAGAGGCTGGAATCTGGTGTGAGAAGACAAGGGGAACAGAGCCACAGAAGTTGATCCACAGCCATGGATATCTGTCTGGAACAATAAATCAATGTCAGTTGTAGCCACTGTCATTTGGGGGGTTGTTTGTTATTAATAAAGCCAACTAATAAAATTCATAACTAGATTAGAAAACAATCAAGATGAAACATTTTAACAAAAAATTTGAATTGCAAATTTGAATGCATCTTAAATGACGTCGAGTAAAAAAGTTTGCCGCTTGAACAGAAATAAAAATTTTAAATTTATTAAAATTCACATTAATAAAAAATAAGAATACTCTGCAATCTCGAGTTACTAAAAAGTATGATTTGTTTGCCTTTTGGTTTTAATAATGTATGATTAAATAAACTAGTAGTCTCATCACTTGATATCACTGCTGAGCATTTGAGGAGACATCTCTCCTACTTCAGCATGACCTTACAAAGTGAAGGCTGCTTTTCTTTGACATGTCATCTAAGTCATGGCCAGGAATAGGAAAGGTATCTTTTTGGGTTCTCCATTGCATACACAAAACATCTCTTCATGTCCTTTGGAGATTATACCACCGGTTGTATTTTTCTCTACTACTCCTCATGCTGTCATCTACAGATCACCTGTTATTCCCCAGAAAATAAAGTCACGCACAGCTCATGTAATCCATACTCATTATCGTTCTTAGTGAGTTAAATAATTGTATTGATGAGTTCTTCAAAACCTTAGTCTCTCTCTGTCTTTTACTCCCTCATATCTAGCAAAATCTGGTTTCACCTTGATTTAGTTTTCTGTTCCCATGGAAACACTCTTGTACATCAATGACTTATTTTCCCCCAGAAATCCAAGTTGTAACCATCTCACTTTCTCAGTATTACTAAATATCTCTCATCTTTTCAGCTCAACTTCTCAGGTAGTACCTCAAAATTGAGATTTCATCCCAAGGAGCTTTAGATTTTATCTTTATGCATGATTCCCTTTCTGTTTTCACTCTCCTTGTTACCCTCTTATATTTGGTGGTTCATATTTATTATCATGAGTTTTTAAGCACTTACAACTCTTGTTTTCTCTTCACTGCTTGAACTCAAGTACATACATTTTCTATGTCTAAACTCTGTACAACTGAACTCAACTGAAAATAGTCATATAACTGTATTGACAGGACTCTATTTAAATTCATCACTGCCTAAAAATAATATTACATGTCCTAAATCGGTTTGCTTTTTTAGAATTTGGTATAGTTATTTCAGAAATTTGCTTTCAATAAATCCATCCCTATATACTATTCTATCTTTCTTAATTTATTGTGCTCAGTATAATGGCTTCCATTGTATTCTTTATTTCCTGACGTTTCTGCCTACAATTTCCACTTCCTAATCTTTGCACTTTCTATTCTTTCATACTATAAGGCTCTTCCCCATTCTGTTCTTATTCTGCGGGTTTCAATTCAAATGTCACCTCCTCAGAAAGCCCTTGGATGGAAATCCTATTCAAAGAAAAGCTCCTTTATTACTCTCAGTTACATTGCCCTGTTGGTTCCTTCATAGCACTAATCACAATAATTACCTCCATTTTTTTCCTTTTATTATACCTTTCTACATCTAAAAATGATAGCCCTCAAGAGGAGGATGTTTTTCTGTTTTGTATTCTGCTATATCCTTAGTGTCTAGTTTAATGCCTGGCAAAGAGCATGTGCACAGGAAATATGTTTTGATTAATGAATGAATGAATACCACATGCAAATCACTTGCTAACACTAATTCAGTTTTTTCTATGTAAAGAGAGCAGGTAAACATACATCATTTCCAAAGTCTTCTTTGGGGTTTTAGTCTCATCTTTAACCCCTTGACTACATACAGATTGTGAATAACTATGCCAACTGATTAGGTGGGTAGTTGAATCAACTGTTAGTTTGAAGTGTCTATTTGGGTTGGTGCTACAGTTTGTCATAGAGATTTCCTGATATGAGGCTACTTTTGATGCTTCCTATAGGTGACTACATCCTCAAAGAGATCTCAGCATCCATAAACAAGAATCATCGGCTGGGCGTGGTGGCTCAAGCCTGTAATCTCAGCACTTTGGGAGGCCGAGGTGGGCAGATCACGAGGTCAGGAGATAGAGACCATCCTAGCTAATACGGCGAAACCCCGTCTCTATTAAAAATACAAAAAATTAGCCGGCCTTGGTGGCGGGTGCCTGTAGTCCTAGGTACTCGGGAGGCCGAGGCAGGAGAATGGCGTGAACCTGGGAGGTGGAGCTTTCAGTGAGCCAAGATCGCGCCACTGCACTCCAGCCTGGGCGACAGAGCAAGACTCCGTCTCAAAAATAAATAAATAAATAAATAAAATAAAAATAAACAAGAATCATCAATTGTCCAAACCTCTCTGCTCACCTTAGTAGAGATATAGTAGCTGTCTGTAATATTAGCTACACACTTTCAAAATCTCTATAGGTTCTAGGTTAGTGTTCACAAGAATTTTACACTTTAAAAAAAGTTACAATAATCAATTCATTCCTGAGAACTCACTTTAAATTTATTAATCTGCCAAAAACATGTGGAAAAATCCACTCTGCTACCTTCTTCATGTTCCCATGTAAGACATGTAGTCACAAAGCAAATAACTTTCTTTACATGTAGGTCATACAAAAGTTATTAAAAATCCTGATAGTTTGGATCTTTTGGTAGAGTTTAATATGTATTTGTTTGTTTTTTTCTATTGATGGGATTACAATCAGACAGCAACTAACATAAGCTGTCACAATTTGCATAAACTTTGATATTTGTAAGCATCATGTGCTTAACCACAATATCTATGCTATCCATAGGTATTGACATAAAGTTTTCTGGTGAAATGTAGGCAATTATAATTGTGGAAATACAGAGGAGAGATCAATTATTTATATTATGTTGGGTAGGCCCAGGTCAGATGTGAATAAGATTCATTATTTTTCTTGTATTCCCACAGGCTCCCTCCAATAAATATCTATTGATTCATTCTCCCAGAGCAACTTTCTCCTGCTGACTGATTAGGCATCTCTAGAGTTGGCATCAAACTTTAGTTCATACGAGTTTTATTTGGTTATTTCCTCAACTATTCACTTTACAAATGCTAAGATTATTGAAACTTTAATCTATTAAGCAGGTCAGTTATGAAATTTGTATGTCGTAATAGAATTATTCACTTTAAGGATTGCAAACTCAAATTCATGTAGGGTCCAAGTAAATTAAATCACTGAATAAAATTTTTGGAATAAACAAAAATTTAAGATAAAGTAAGATGACACAATTGTTACTCAACTCCATCTAATTGTTACTCTTAGAGTAGGTAAGTCTGGCATTAACAAATCGCATGATATTTCTGAAAAGCAATTTGAAGTACTGGCACTGTGTGTGTGTGTGGGGGGGTGTTCTATTTCAACCCAATTTACAAAGAAACAAAAGTCTTCTACAGGCTATGTCCATCACTTAGTCTGTCATTAATGATTTCAGTATTCTTATTTTTATAACATTCAAACAATAAATATTAAAAGAATATTTAAAATGTCATTTCCTTCACAAAATTCAATGTACATAGAACTGCTCCATGTAATAATATGTATTTTGATGCAATATTTTTCAGTGATACTCACTGTTTTTATTAGAACTCTAAAAGCAGTTATGTAGGTGTGTAGATCTCAAAAGACATGGACTTATACAAATAAATTTTTAGCCTTGCACAATATGTAACATTATTTCTCCTTTTGCTTTTAATATGAAGGGTTAAAAATAGAATAAAAGGAAGATGAGTTACTCAAATGAAGAAATTAAGTGGGTGATTGGATTGGACAGTATGAGAGACAAAAGATCCTATGACAGGTGAAATAAGTTGGCTAAACCACATACAAGTGAGAATATTTAAAAAGCCCACAAATATGAAGAAATTACAACTCCAAATAATAAACTTCCTAGAGATAGTGACATAGAAAATTGCCTAGTAAATGATGACTTTTCAATAGGAGAGCAGGTTGGAGGGATATTTTGTTTACTGATTACTCTGTTCCTACTAGACAGTTCCTCTTATCACATTTGATCAGAAAAACAGCAAAAAGAAAACAAAGAAAAGGAAATATATTGCTAGGTATTAAAACAGGACATCTGTGATTTCCCAAAACATGTGTGCGATAGTCTATTTGTTTGTTTACAACATTTTAGGGGTCTATACAGTAGAAAATAAAACAATACTAACCTGGACTATATAACTAAAGGAGATAAATGTAGATAAACAATTAAAATGTGGACTGTGAGCAATTGAAGAGCTTATTACAAATTGGATCTATTTGACCAAAAGTAGTTAAAAGATGTCTTTCAAAGGACATTCTAAATGGATATTACAAATTGAAGACTATTTGACTAATGTTACCTAAGAATTGCCTCTTGCAAGGACATTCATGTTTAAAGAGAGATCAGAGTACTAAATGCAAAGGATAATGCTATAAGTTACACAGGTCAAACATGAGGAGGAATTGATAAGGACAATGATGGAATTTTTCTGTTCTTTCAGAAATTATACTAGATTCATGATTGTGTCTTTTCCCTAATGTCAAGGTCATCTTTCTATCATAAGCTTATTATATCTGGTTATTATGGATGAAAAAATGTAACAGAAGAAGAAGGTATGTGAATACACATACAGAAAAATATTAATATTTCATAGGAATTCATGTGGGTAAAAATTAATTTAGAAAAAAATACTTAAACTAGATGTCTTGTCCAGAAAGAAATGAAAGAGAAATAATTGCCCAGTGGTTAACAGCAGTTTTCTCATTTATATGCTTTTCCTCATTCATAGGTAAAAAGCTAAGCATGAATACTCCTCACTATATTGTATAACCACAAAAAAAATTTCAACTTTTTAATTTTCTGTGTCAACTTAGCTAGGCCATGGTACTCAGATATGTGGTCAAACACAAGGCCGGATGTTGCTGTGAAAGTATTCTTTAAATAAAATTAACTTTTAAATCAGTTAAAACTATCAGTAAAGTAGATTTACCGCCATAATGTGGGTGGGCCTAAATCAATCAGTTGATGGTCTTAGTTAAAAACAGATGGATGTTCCCTAAGTAAGAGCGAATTCTGCCTCTAGACTGTCTTCAGACATGGAAGATAGCTCTTCCCTAGGTCTCCAGCCTGTCAGACTACTCTGCAGGTTTTGGAATTGCAAGCCCACGCATCATGAGGTCTACACCTTAAAATAAATCTCATTTTCACTATCCATACAAATGTTATTGGTTCTTTTTCTCTGAAGAAAAAACTCTGAAGTATATACTATTTAACATTTCCATTATTAAAAAAAAATGCCATGAGTTCCTGCAAAGGGCAATTGGAATTTGAAATGAAACACAGTGTCAGTTACATTAACTCCCCAAACAATAAAATATTCAGGTATAAAACTAATTAAATATGTATAAGATCCACATGAGGAAAGGTAAAAAAAAAGTAATGAAATAAATTAAAGAACAGCTAAATAAATGGAGAGATAGTCCATATTCATGGCTAGAAATATTCAAACTATCCAGATGACATTCCTTCCCAACGTGATACATAGATTCAGTGCAAGCTCAATCAAAATCCCAATAAGATTTTTTTGGATATCAAGAAACTCATTCAAAGCCATAAAAAATGATGAGTTCATGTCCTTTGTAGGGGCATGGATGAAGCTGGAAACCATCATTCTCAGCAAACTATCGCAAGGACAAAAAAACAAACACCGCATGTTCTCACTCACTCATAGGTGGGAATTGAGCAATGAGAACACATGGACACAGGAAGGGGAACATCACATACCGGGGCCTGTTGTGGGGTGGGGGGGAGGGGGGAGGGATAGCATTAGGAGATATACCTAATGTTAAATGAGGAGTTAATGGGTGCAGCACACCAACATGGCACATGTGTGCATATGTAACAAACCTGCACGTTGTGCACATGTACCCTAAAACTTAAAGTATAATAAATAAATAAATAAAAAAGAAAAAAGAAACTCATTCCAAAGATTACACAGAGAGGCAAAAGACCCAGAATAGCTAACACAATATTAAAGGAAAAGAATAAAGTTGGAAGACTGATGCTACCCTATTTCAGGACTTACTATAAAGCTTCAGCAGTCAAGAGAGTGTGGTATTGGTGAAAGAATAGACAAATAGATCAATGGAAGACAATAGAAAGCACAGGATAGCCCACCCAAATATATTTAACCTTTTGTTTCTTTGACAAAGAAGCAAAGTCAATACAATGGAGAGAAGACAGCTTTTTCAACAAATGGTGCTGAAACAATTAGACATTGACATGATAAAAAAATAATAATCCAGACACAAACTTTGCATGATTCACAAAACTTAACTCAAAATAGATTATAGACCTAAACAGAAAATGATAAAATGCCTAAAAGGTAACATATCTTAAAAATCTAGTTTATCTTAGGTTTAGATTTTAAATACAACATCAAAGGAATCATCAATAAAATAATTAATATGTTGGACTTCATTAAAATTAAAACCCTCTGTTCTGTGAAAGAAACTGTCAAGAGAATGAAAAGACAAGCCACAAACTGAGAGAAAATATTTTCAAAAAGAGATGTGATAAAGAACTGTTATCCACAATATAGAAAGAACTCTTAAAACTCAAGAGTAAGAAAATGAACCTGATTAAAAACCTGAGCAAAAGTTCTGAACAGACACCTTACCATAGAAGATAAACATGTGTAAATTGCTCAACATCATATAATATCAGGGAATTGCAAATTAAAACAACAGTAAGATACAACTACTACACATCTGATATAATGGTCAAAATCTAAACCAATACAACAGCAAATGTTGGCAAGGATATGAAACAACAAGGACTCTCATTCATTGCTGATGGGAATGCAAAATGGTACAGCCACCTTGGAAGTCACTTTGGCAGTGTCTTTCAAAACTAGACATATTCTTACCATATAATCCAACAATCTTATTTATTTCTACTTACCCAACTGGGTTGAAAGCTTTACATCTACACAGAAAACTGTACACAGATGTTTACAGCAGCCTTATTCATAATTGCCCAAACTTGAAAGCAATAAAGATGTCCTTCAGTAAGTGAGTGGATAAACTTTGATATATCCATATAATGAATTTTATTTAGTGCTAAAATAAAATGGACTTTCAAGCCATGAAAAAAAATTTGTTTTTCAAGCCATGAAAATAATGGAGCATATTATTAAGTTAAAGAATCCAATCAGAAAAAGCTACATACTCTATGATTCCAACTATATGACACTTGAAAAGGCAACACTGTGGAGACAGTAAAAACATTAGGGAAGTCAGAGCCTGGGGTGACCGGGAGTGAGAAAGAAGCATGAATAATCAGATTACAGAGGATGTTTAGGGCAGTGACACTAATTTGTATTATACTATAATGGTGAATATATGTTCAGTATATATTTGGCAAAACCCATAAAATGTGCAACACCAAGAATGAATCCTAATATGACCTATGTACTGTAGGTGATAATGATATGTACATGTAGTTTCATTGAATGTAAAAAAAGAAATGTACTGCTCTGATGAGGAATGTTGATAGGGAGACTGAGTATGGGGAGAAGGTAGAGTTATATGGGAACTCTCTATTTTCTGTTCAATTTTGCCATAAACCTAAATGTTTTCTAAAAAAAAAAAAGTCTATTAAAAATGTCATGGGTCATTAAAAACTCCACCATGAGACTGCAAGTATCTATTCATTTCTTGCCAGCTAGATTTGAGAGTACAGCCAGCAATGAAAACATGAATTTACATTAAGTCAAAGGATAAAGTATCATTTTAAAACCAGCTGCCATTACTCACATTATTTATTTATAGGCTATTGTATAATTGTAGAATTGTGCTGAATAAAGACAAATATATTCTCTTTATTGAAGAACTTACAATCCAAAGATCAAATGAAAATTTAGAAACAATCTTATTTGCTCAGGAGCATCAAACTAAGCATTCTAATAGAAGAAGTTAATTCCAAAAGACTTCTTTATAGTCTTTTGGTGCTCAGGAACATCAAACTAAGCATTCTAATAGAAGTTAATTCCAAAAGACTTTTTATCCAATATTTATAGTTCTTGCACCTATTTACATATTGAGAAAAAACCATGCTGTCCTCACTTTTGTCTAAGTATTGGCCTGTATGGCTTCTTTTTAATTGGCAAATTATAATGGCTATATATTTAACGAATCTAACAATATTAAACAAATGGCATTCAATTACACTCCAAACACTAAATTGCTTTAATTTGGGAAGAAGAATTCCTGGAGTCTCGCTGAACAGTTATCAGTCATTCAGAATTGCTCGCCTTAATATAAAAAGTTCTGTACTTAAAAAATTCAGAAACAGCAGCATTATACAATTGGAGAGTTCACTTATTTTTCTTCTGGACATTTAAATTTGTCTTATGTGTTCCTATAACTAGTTCTTGATTGCTTTCGTTTCGCTCTTTTTTTTTTTTTTTTTCTTTTCTTTTTTTGTTTGTTTGTTTGTTTTTTCCTGTTTGGGCTAGGTAAGTAGTTTCCCCTAATGTAATTTAAAGCTTAATATAGATTATACTCACTTTCCTCTTGAAGATTTTCTTGTGGCTTTCTCATTACAGAAGACTGTTCCACACTCTGGAGCCATAGAATATTATGAGTACACCGAAACTTTTGGACCAGCACTCTCCCTTACCACTTTCCCTTCTAACAGTACTGAGCCACTTCAAAGTTGCCCCAAAGCACCAGAGTTTTATTACTCTCTGGAGTTGCGCATACTCCTTTTTCCACCTGCAATGTTCTATCCTCCCTCTGCTTGGCTTACTTCCTTGTCAGCTTTGAAAACAGGAGTCTGTGTGTCCCCTTCACCCGGAAACTCATCTTCCGGGCTTCAAAAGGCTTAAACACCCCATCTGCTTCAACCCAGGAGCTTACTCAGATACCATATATATTTTAAATGATGTTTCTGATTCATGTTGCCATACTGTAAATTATTATTTTTAAAAGATGCCCCCTTTGAGTGAGTAGGATTTGTGTCTGACTAGATGCTAAGTTTTATTCATCTTTGTGTTCCCATCTCCGCACACATTGCCTGCCCCATAACCATTGCTTAAGAAATAATGAGTTTAATGAAACGATGCATATTACTCTATCCCTGACAGAGAGTGATGTTTTACCTATAATCTAAAATATAGTTGTCTACTGTTTAAAAATCAAAGTTTATCCTTGAGAATTTAGCATCCTAACCATGCATCCCTCTCCCACCCGACCCCTGCCCTCAGCCCCGGATCCCTTTTAACTTAAATAAGAAGCTGTTTTATTCTGGCAGTTTTTGCCAGAAGAAAAGTGAGTCTAACAGAAGTCAATCTAACAGAAATGCATTAATGCAGGCTGGATTTGCCTAGACATCAATAAACTCGAAAGGCTCCCTGTGGGCCACTTGTAGTGTCAATAAACGTTCGTAATTACTTGCTCCTTGGAGCATTTTTATACCCGACCCCGTTCGCTGTGCTGCAAAGAGGAAATTCAAGATCTCGGAAGTTCTTAACTTCTTAAACTCTAGAGGAAGTATGGTAAACACTGGCGGGAACCTTGGGTTTTTAAGCAAAGATGCTGGCTGTTTTCGTTGCTATTTTAAGCTGTCAGGCGACAAGCAACTCAGAATTCCCCTTCTTACTTCCGGCGGGAGGGAAGATTGGAATTGGGCCTCATCATTTCTGAGCGTGAAAAACCGCTGAAGCTACTGTTCAACCTGAAGGAACACGGAATTCAACTGGAGAGAAACCCTGGCGACCAGGGAGCTGGGGACCGGCGCATATAGATGAGGGAAATCCTGGCTTCCAGACACTGTCTCATGCTAGAGGTGCCTCCCGACCTACCAGCCAACAGTAAAGACCGGAACCAAGGCGTGGTACTAGCAGAGTAGCAAGCATCTCTCCCAATGAGGGCAACGACTGGAGGATGGTGGAGAGGTACTCAGAGTGAACAATCGAACACAGAACTCTTGAAAAGTGTCCCTGCCACCCAATACAAGTACGAAAAATGGTGGGACGGAGGAGAGGTGACAATCAGAGGCTATATATATAATTGAGACTTTTAGAGAGGACTTTGCTCTTCCTTCCTCCCCTCCCTTTTCTTTCCTTTCTTTCTTTCCTTCCTTCCTTGGTATCCGAATGTGTGTGGGTGTACTTGCGTTTAAAAGAGAGGTCCATGGTAGCTGCTTTTTTTTCAGAACTCTGTTTCTCCGCAATGAAGTTTAAGTGGGATTGGAGTTTCCTTGACTTCTGCGTGAGGAGTTTCCAAATGGCAATGAAAGGGAGGCGCATAAATATCCATAAAGTTCCTAATGACACCTCTATCATCACTTGTTTCCTGCAGAATCCTGAGCCAGGGTCGTCGTCCACCACCCATGCAGAGTGGGCCCATCGGCTAACAGGTTCATGTGTGTATTTGCACTTTCCAGATTGAGTAATAAAAGTCTTCTTCCTTCCACCGCCGTCCCCACCCCCGCACCCCGTTTCACTCCACCTTGGAGGGCGTGTTTTTGCGTGTGAGGGTGTGTGTTTAGCAAAAGCGATTGAAAGAAGGTACTCTTCTTGCAATCCACCCCTAGCTCTACCTGAAGCATTCCTCTGGCGGGACGCTTTTGTAATCTGTCCCCAGGCGAGGTGCCCTCTCACCTAGATGCGGATAGACTATCTTGGAGCTCCCAGGTCCAGAGAGCTGATGCTTTGATGTCCCAGGAGAGTGTGTGTGATTCTGCGTGTACGTGTGTGTGCATATGTATGTATGTGTGTATGTATGTATATGTGTATGTGCGCGAGCTCGCAGGCGCGTAGCACTGTGAGCTTCCTCTCCCGGCACAGAGCAGGCAGAGCCGGGGACGTTACTCTCCAAGCAGCCTCCGCCCCCTCAGCCTGGTGATTGGCTTTGCGCAGCGTTTATCTCCTAGCAAGAGGGAAGGGCCAGTGACGCCCCCGAACCCAGCTGCAGAAGCTGCCGCCACCTCCAATGCACAAGGTGTCTCATCTGAAAAGAAACCTGAGCCCCAGGGAGGCGGCGCGGAGCGACCCTGGCAGAGCTGGCGCAAACAGGGCGAGAGGTCGCTGGGCAGCGTTCGAGGACCAGAGGGAGCTCGGCCACAGAAGACCCCAGTGATCTGATCCCGGGATCCCGGCTCCAAGCTCTCCTCGCATTTTACAGATTTCACCCCCGCGACTATCTCCCCAAAACGGAGCCTTTATATCAAGAGAAGGTGCGGGAGCTGGGGCAACCAGGACTTTCTCGGGCACCCAAGATGCGCTCCATTAGGAAGAGGTGGACGATCTGCACAATAAGTCTGCTCCTGATCTTTTATAAGACAAAAGAAATAGCAAGAACTGAGGAGCACCAGGAGACGCAACTCATCGGGTAAATGCAAAGCTTCATTTCAGGATATGACAAAAAGTCAAGCCATAAATGAAATGTGAATATAGAGGGTAGAGTGATGGTTAGGATAGCATGTGTGTTTGTTTGAGCTTGCGCGTGGTTAGTGTCATGAATTAAATAACAAAGGCTGTTGTTGAGATGTGCGTGCTTCTCTAAGCTGTTCCCAGTATGAGTTCAACTTGCTCTGTGTGGTTGTGGTGACAGTTGTGTTGGCCCTGGGTGCTCTCTCGCCAAAGGAGAAGTCACTGCAGAAGTGTCAACAAAGAACGTGTGTCCTTGTCCTTTTAATCTGTGGGCAGAACTCAAGAGAAATGTCTTTATTCACCAAACGGTTGCCTGTTTTCAATGTCCTATCACCTAAGGAGATACTGGAGATAGATGGTTTCTCGAAGGGCTGAAGTTAAAGCTTAGAAAGCAGGAAATAGGTATACTCTGTTTCTCTACTTTTTTTTTTTCTATTTGACGTTGGATAGATTAATGTGTTATAATTTGAATTAGAAACTCCAGTACCACTAAGGATACTTCCTTATTTGTTCTTCTACGGCTAAAACGCATGGGCGTCATGGTTACAGTTTTAGAAAGAAACTGGGTACTGTAGCTTCACACAGACTATATTTCTGCTATTTTTTTTAGTTTGTCTAGATGAGTTCAGACTCTCCCCCGCCCCACTAAGTTCTCTAAATATCACACTTCCTTCCACCCGCTGGCCTCTGTGTCTTTGAAGTTTACCCAGGAGGTGGTGCAACTTTGTGTTGCTGACATAGCTTGGAAGGCTTTTTCTGAGGATGTGAACCTGATTGTCAACTCTATTCAAAGTCCTGTTTCGGAAATCCTCCCTGTTCCGGTTTGGAGGCGTCCTCTATCAGAAACTACACACCAGCAGAGATGCCTGCCCAGTTTATATTTTTCTCTGACATTGATTAAAACAAAGAAAACAGCCCTTGCGTGTGTGTGTATGTGTGTGTGAGAGAGAGAGAGATGGGACTGCTAACACACACACATGCTCTTAAACTTCCTGCACTCCATTTCTTAATATTCCTGCTCCCTAGGTAATAAGCATTTATTTAAGCGAGCAAGATGCAGGTTGATCCTTACAGAAGGACTTGCTATTCTGTAGAAAACCAGGAAAACAGTAGCACAGTCAAAGCGGACTGGAAGAGAATGAAAAAGCTAGCAAGGAATGGGCTGGAATGGTCGTCATGCATCAACGAATCTATACATGGTCTATTCTGAGGGGGTAAAAAAGACCGGTATGAGGTCGTTTACACAAGACTGGGTGGCTTGAAAATCCAATCTAGCTCAGTTGTTAGAAAAGCAGGACTTTGGGCAGGGGCGTGGGCATCCCTTGCAGACCTGTGCTTGCCAGGCAGACAAAGGGGTCTTTAGAAAGGTGATGAATGGGCGCATGGGGCTCCGATGAGAGGCAGAGGCTAGAGCTTGAGGGTCGAGGCTCTTTGTTCCCTCCCGGGCCGTGGGCTAGGAGGATAAGCCTGATCCCAGACAAAGCGGCCAAGGCTCACTAGGACTCCGAGGGTTCGGGCCCTTGGCTGGGACCCTGGAGAGCAGGAGTGGGCGGAGCGAGTGAGAAGAGGGTCGCCAGATACTGCCGAGGTGTCCATCTCCGAGCCTCCCTAAACCGTGGCCAGGAAAAGGAGCGCACCTCGAGTCCCTGCGGGGAAGCGGAGCCGGGACACTCCGCATTGCACGGGTGTCATTTCTCCTGTGGCCCTTTCCTGGACGTTGCCGGCTGGTGGGCGCAGCCCTAGGCGTTAAGGAAGAGGAGGCGGGCACTGGCGCGGCGGTTGAGCTAGTCGGGCTGGGCTTTTGCCCGCATCCTTTTCAAGCTGAAGCAGTTTCCTCCCAGCTTGACTGAGAAGGCGTTGGGGCAGGCGCTTGAGTAAACCAAACAGGAAGAGAGGCGCGCACCGGGGTTATCCCCTGCTGCCAGAGCGCCGGCGGCGAGGGGGAAAGAATGAGTGAGAAGATAGGGGGAAACCTTTATTGCAGGACTCAGGCTCTTTTGGTCCCTCCCCTCCTTCCACCCCCACCCCACCCCCACCCCCCACCCAAAGTCACTTTCAAAGCTCAGTCGGCAACTGGCTCCTCCTTCTTAATCAAAACCCGCAATTACAGTGGGGCAAGGCAGAGGGCTGGCCGCGAACGTCGCGCTTACACCCGTGCCCTGTAGCGTCCTGACTGCCTTGGTCTCCTGAGAGACCAAGACTGTGCAAGGAGTTGGAGCTGCCAGGAACAATGCGAGGGCAGCTAGGCTCCCTGAGCACTTTCCTTTTTCTCCAGGATGAAAGGTTCGTGGAAAAGCTTGTGACCCGAGCTCATTATTTCGTTTCAACTCCCAAACAGCGCTTCTGGTGGAGGAGTTGACTCATAAAACCATCAAATCATCTCATTGACTGTCTTTCTACCCAAGCCACGTGGAGAGGCCAGTTTTGAGTTTTGAGTAAACTGGAATGGAGGTTCGGCTCCAGATCCCGGTCCAGTATTCAAGTGAGGTAACCAAGGCAGTCTCTGGCCTTTGGGGGGCACTGCGAGCCTTGTGGCTTGGCAGCAGTTTCAAAGAAGGGCCTTCCATAGTCCTTGAATCTTGCATCACTACCCCAGATTCATATTTAGCTTTTCTGCTACCAATTTTGCAATACAAGGCAGTTCCTTTATCCCTTCGACCCTTCCCCCCCGCAAATGGGGGTCCCATCTATAGTTACTCTTACAGTATGCCACAATACTGAGCAGTCATACCACGCAGATGGAAAAATAGAAAACCAGCACAACCTTCTCACCAACCATCCACATTCTCATATCTCCAAAGGAATACCTGCGACATGTTTTTTTAAATACATAAGGAATTGTTCCAGCATAGGTCAAGTAATGATTATTGAACATCTAAAATTCATATTTCCTTCCATAAAAGCCTATTAGTTAATAAAGTTTAAGTTGAAGAGCAGTGAAGGCATTAAGTGGTGTGTTCTTGACTAACTTTACTTTCTTAGTAGACCTCACAGTTGGCTTATGACTTAATTAGCTCTTTGTGCACTTTTGGGTATAACTGGAAATGTGTTAATGTAAGGCTCCCACAAGTAAAATATGTAAGCATCCTCATTTAATGAGATAATATATTTGAAAGTGTAACATAAACTTTAATGTCATATAAATATTTGTTTTGTTAGTCCTTAAATCTTGCTACACACTATTTTTCTGGTTGACTACAAATGAGACTAACTTACTTTTCTTATTATCCAAAGATCTCTCTTATAATTTGACTATGTACTTTAGGTTGTATTACTAAATAATCAACAATATTAGTTCTAAAACCTATGATAAAATTGAAAGTGGAAATAAATATTTTTACTTAGAGTATTACCATTGACAGCAAAGTTAGTCCCAGTTTGTTCTAGGATGAAACACAACCTCGTGAGTGCAGAAATCTAGAATTTGCACTTTACTTCACATTTCACATTTCACAATTCTACTAAAACTCATAAATTAAGGTAGAAACTATCATCTTTATTTTTAGTTGTTTGACACTTAGGTAATGAAAATACAAAATGGCCTGCTGTGTGTATTCAGGCTTAGTTTCATGCAAGTTCTTTATTTAAATTTTTATATTAAAGAGGAAGTTTAACCTAGTTAAAAGGGAACAAATACATTCAAAAGCCAAGTCATGAAGAGTTTCAGTAGGGTGGAATACGGGGCTTTTGAGACCTAATACCATGAAGTGAAATTAATCATATGTCTTACGTACTGCAAAACTAATGAAGTAAATTGTGGTGAAGCCTGGAAATATTTGTAGACACTAGGTTACCTAAAAAATGATTAATTCCTGCCACTGGTATCACATAGATGACCATCTTAGTGAATTTTTCTTTGATCCAAATAAGCAGGGATCCTTTGTATTATATTGATTTATGTGGAGTGATTTCGTTGATGTGTTTCGCTATTTTCCTTTTAAAAGTACATATTGAATCTTCTTGTAGATGATCCTATGCAATAAATGTTTTCAGTGCAGCTGTTCAAAAGTCATGTCTGATCTGGAATGAGAGACAAGTAGGGGGGTGGCAACATCCTTCAAGCTTCGCATTCATGGGAAGGAAGAGCCTTTTCTGAGACAGAATGCTACCAAGGTCATGAGTGAAACATCCCATGGGACCCATTTAACTTTATACAGAGAAATTTACTCTAGAGCTTCAGATTGTACTAAGTTTGACCTTCTCCCACACTGACTATAAAAAGTGTGACTAGTTGTAGATATTTTCATTCAAAATTCTTTCCAGTGATGAAAGTCTGAAATTTGGCTTATCACCAGCTCAATGAAAGCAATTCAAACAGCGGAGTAAAATGGTAGCATTTTATTCATAGAACACTGATTTAAACTTTTTAAATCTTGGATATTCTGAAAAGGCTTGGCACAACTGAAAACATCATATCAAACATTCTGCCATGTAAAAATGTATCTGTATTTCTAGGTCAATGAAGCAATCATCTATAGATTATTTATGTAGTTAATTATTTAGTTTTTAGAGACAGGGACTTGTGATGTTACCCAGGCTGGTCTCTAACTCCTAGGATCAAGTAATCCCCCCACCTCAGCCTCCTGAGTAGGCACTGCCAACCATACCCAGCTCTTCCACACATCTTAAAGAGTGCAAGCCCATGCATATTTTTATTTCTCCTATGAAAGTTTATTGGTGGTGAAAATAATTATTATAATGATATCAATCTGTGGTTAGAAAAAGATGACACTGATACATCAATTAATAAGGTGATGATTAGAAATATACCTTATCCACAGAAATAGTGATAGTTTGCACCTGAAATCATGTAGTCATATCTCCCAAAGTGTGAACGTTAGCTTCTGTGTATAACCACATTTTTATTCATAAGTAGCTATTATCATTATGAATATAATATAAAAATTGACTTCTGGGCCGATGGTCAGTAAAGCACACCCCGTGTTTTCTGGCATCCTAAATGCTCCCTGTAAGGCAATCATTATTTGCCATGCATAGGCATGCAAACGTATCATTTTCATCAGTAGGATAGTTTAAGATATTAATTTTTATAGAATTATGAATTTCACAGGGAGTAGCAGCCTATGATGATGCTTTGAGCTGCTTCAGATTTAAGCTAACATGTTTAAAAAAGAATGCAAACCAAAATACCAAACTATAAGGCTTCAATTACAGAATTCATCGAATAGCTGTTACACAGGCAATGTTTCCATTGATACTAGGAGAGGATTGCCTGCATTAAAAAAACACAGTTTTAGACTTTGTTATGGAGCAAATAGTCATGTTATTTTTTAACTATATTTTTGACTTTCTAAGAAGTAAAAGGCGATGTAAAGAAATAAATACAAATATTCAAAGGGCTATGGTTACTATTCGTATACCATAAGAAGTAGCTTTTTGATTTTCTGAGTCTGGGTTTACATTTATAAAGTACAAGAAAATGGTCTATTGAATAATGAATTTATTCAGATATAAATGTTTTAATGGCATGCATGCTATTACAGGTATCTGCCAGCATCATCACTCCCACCAGCACCTCAGCTAGTACCATGCCACATGATATACTAGCTTGACACTATTGGTTGCAGGGAGGTAGTTTTTTTAATGTAAGAGAAAATACTACTAATAATGACTACTTAATGAGTTTTCTCTCTACTATAATCTCTGTCTCTCCACCAACTGTCAGGGAAGTGACTCGTTGAGATGTTTTGAAATCAATGCAATTTTTGAAAAATTACTTTTACATGCAGAGCCTTACTTGATCCTCACAAAGCCATTGTATATTACATAAAGTTATTGTAATTTTCAAGGTAAGGTAAGACTACTGTGGCTTAGAAAGAGAATAGAGTCTAGGAACTCAAGCAAGTCATAGAATCACAAACATGCCCAGATCACCTGATATTCCAAGTTATTCTTGCTTCAAAACAGAATCCCCTTCTATTATGCATATATGCCTTCTGTAAAAATGAAATTACAATCTTAGGAATCACAATTATACAGATGGAGGAGCACTTACAAAACATTCTGTCTCTGTTGTCTAAACAGAGCTAGTGAGGAAACAGAGCTTATTTGTTTTATCTTATTTTAGTTGCCAAACAATAATTGTATATATTTACGGGATACAATGTGAAGTTTCTACACAAGTATACACTTTGTAATGATAAGATCAGGCTAATTAGCATATCCATCACCTCAAAAGCATGTCACTTCTTTGTAGTGTGAACATTTAAAATCTCTTGGAGCTACTTAAAAATATACAATATTATTAACTATAGTCACTGTGTTGTGCAACAGAACTTATTCCTCCCGTCTAAGTGTGAAATTTTGTACCTATTGACCAATTTCTCCCCATTCCCCATTCACTCTTTCTTCCCAATATTCTGTTCTCTACTTCTATGATTTCCACTGTTTTAGAATCAATATATAAGTGCGATTATAAGGTATTTATCTCTATGTTTTACACTTATTCACTTACCTTAAGGTCCTCTAGGTTCATTCATGTTAGCACAAATGGCAGGATTTTGCTCTTTTTAAGGGCTGAATAGTACTCCATTGGTATATATACCACATTTTCGTTATCTATTCCTCTGTTAATGGACAGTTATATTATTTCTATATCTTAGCTATTGTGAATAATGGTACAATGAACTTGGGACTGCAAGCATCTCTTTGACATCCTGATTTCAATTCCTTTGTGTATATGCCCAGAGGAGAGATTGCTGAATTATGTAATTCTGTCTTTATATTTGGTGATTTTTTTTCTTTAAGTACCATAGAGATCTTTTTTTATTCAGAAATTGTTTAATTTCAAAAATATTACGTGTAGATTCTTGTCCTGATAGTCATATTCACTTAATCCTCATAACACCTTTCATCATGCTTGCGTATTTCCTTCTAACTTGTAGGGGAAAAAGTATCTAAAATTCATCACCAGTAATTAATTCAAATTATGTACTGTGCTGTATACACAAAATGTTTCTTACTTTCACAAAGCTGGCAATTTTGTTTTGTTTCAGAGATGGTGAATTGTCTTTGAGTCGGTCACTTGTCAATAGCTCTGATAAAATCATTCGAAAGGCTGGCTCTTCAATCTTCCAGCACAATGTAGAAGGTTGGAAAATCAATTCCTCTTTGGTCCTAGAGATAAGGTGAGTTTCTTTACTAAGGCATAATAAATTTCACATCATGTTCTCAAATACGTTGGGCTTGGCAAACTTGTATTCAACACTGGATTTATGGTTTAAGTATGAATACTTAAATAAAAGAATGAACCAGCTCTATTTAATGTTGCTCACTGAAGAATATGAAACCATAAAACTGAAATCATTATATAGTCAGAGATTTAAGGATGAATATGTGAGTTTTGAATATATTGTCTTTATACTAATGGAATAAAATATTCAGCAGAGTACTGATATTTAACATACTTCACTCAATTACTCAGGATGGACATATATTTTAAGAATTATCTTTAACTTCCCTATTGAGTCTTCATTCTGCTTTTGGGTTTTCTCAACTAGCTGAAAATTAGAGCCTATTACACTCTATTGTGCTGACGATTATAAATAAATTAGTCTTATCCTGTGAATGAGTATTTCTGTGTGGGCTCATGTTTTAAAAATTGGATAAAAATCAGAAAATAAGCTTTCTAGATTACTGACTTCTTCTTTGTAAGACTAGTCATTTTAGCTGAAACCCACTCTTGAACTCATACTCCATGCCTACGTTTATCCAGTATGTAATTTTCTTCTGATATAAACCTGTTACTAATAAGAAAGCTAGAGTCATACCTTCTTAATTATGGAGGAAACAGGAAGATTGTTTTTTCTTTATAGTTACATTGCATTACTGTATTGGTTGGTATATTTGAATCACAGCATTTCAGTAAACAAGAACTCACTAAAAGTGTGAAAGAATACATTCGTTATATAATAAAATAATCCAAAAGTCAATTAATAGTTAGCATTAACACACAGATTTTATAGGTGTAGCTTAGTGACTAAGATATAAGGGGCTAATTAATTTTCCTGGGTTTCTACCTACTCACTTCTTGTATTATACCTACCTTTAATGTAGATTATAAGAAATTTGAAGGAAGAGTCTATTAGTCTATTACACTCATCTTTAGAGTATGCACAGAAATTTCACACAATGTTTTGGAGCAAAGATAATTACAGCATGTTGAAATTTACTTGAACGAATGTCTGGAAATTTTAAAAATATGGGCATCAGGGCGATGTAGGAATAGTATTACTACTTTGGTTTAAAGGTTTGAAATTGACTGGGAAGGGAAACAGGAATCAAATCATGGCAATGTCAAGTGGTGTGTGTTTGTTTGCTTTTAGTTTGGTGGGAGCTTTCTATATTCATGTGCCTCCTACAAGAATGAATAGATGAGTAGAGTCTGATGACAGAGCTCATAAATCAATGACTTCTGGGTAGAATATGGCCAGCAAGAAAAATTTATTTCCACTGGATAAATAAAAAAGAAACCTTAAAGCCAATATTAAAAACCAGGAGGCTTTAAAATAAAAGTACAGATTTCCATAAACTCTTGAGAAATTGAATGATTTGACAACTCTGAATCTGTACTCTTCCTAAGGTTTAGCTGGTTAAAGCTGACACTAGTCATGGTCTCTCAAGTTTGACATTTTCATACCTGGAGCTCACATCTTTCATGATACCTGTCAAGTGCATTCTTCTCTGTCGCATATCCCCATCCTTATATTTGAATTTAGAAACCCTGTGAGAGATGAGATAATTATGAGGAAAAAGTCACAAGATGTGAGTTGATGTGGGGTTATAAACACAGATATACTTTGGTTTAGAATGGAGTAAAGATTCATATTTCTTGAAGGTATATTGGAAAGAGAGAGAGATAGGTGATTAAATAGCAAAAATTTGATCTGTAAGCAGAAAAATAACTTTCAAATTGGATGGCTTAGCAAGAAAGGAGCCAATTAAGGCTATAGAGATCTGGTAAAGAAACCTGATGGAAGAAAGTAAAATAAAATGTTGTAATAGTTTAACTAGTATATCTAGCCATGCTAAATAATGTGTCAGATAGCAAAAAATCTAATAAGTAAATTAAATAAGTAATTGACACTAGTTCAAGTATTATATCTGGTCATGCCTTTCCTAATAGCTATATAAAAATCAAATACTATAAATAGGCTATATACATTTTGCTATTAATAACATATTCAAGTGAAGGGTAGTAAACCTAACTTGACCCAAAAGATTCGTATTACAATTTTACAAATCAATGAGCATTACATTCATGTATTTGAGGGTGATCTATTTTCAATTATAATAGCTGATAGTATGAATGAAATGTTAGTACTATTTTTGTATGGTTCTCCTTAACAGATTAAAGAAATAAACAATAAAACAATGAACAAATGTTGAATAATACATACAAAGTTGTCACTTCCTTGAAAGGAAAGGATAATTTGTAAAACCATTATTGTACAATGTGCAAAGAGTTCATAAAAATTAGAATTGGCTATAGCAGAAATGACTAGTGAGTATTAATCAGTTTGATACCTGTAATAAAAAAATTTAGAATATGAAAATATCTGACTGTTGGCTTAGCTTTTGCAAATATTTTTGAAAAGATATTAGAAACTAATTATGGATCATTTATTATTATTGTTATTATTTTCTTTCTTCCTCACTTTTCTGGCATTTAAGAATTTCCATATCACTTTGGGTCAGTGATTGGGTGTGGGTAAATTTTAAAAGTGTTTTCAAAATTCTACTTTTAAGTTTTTGTTTATTTTTATTTTTATTTATTTTTTATTTTACTTTAAGTTCCAGGATGTGTGCAGAGCATGCAGGTTTGTTACACAGGTACATATGTGCCATGGTGGTTTGCTGCACCTATCAACCCCTCATCTAGGTTTTAAGCCCTGCATGCATAAAGTATTTGTCCTAATGCTCTCCTCCCCTTGTCCATCACCTCCCGACAGGCCCGGGTGTGTGATGGTCCCCTCCCTGTGTCCATGTGTTCTCATTGTTCAACTCTCACTTGTGATTGAGAACATTAAGACATTATTTCCAACCATTTTTTTATCTTACTGATTCAACTATCATTATAAATCTTTGAAATTTAAAAATCTTATTAAACTTATAATGTTCTTATTATATTCCTAATAATTGTCCGCATAATAAAATGTGAAAACAGTTCCTGAGATAATTTTTTTTTACATTTGTGGATATGATTTTCAACCCTATTACTAATCCCTTTGTTCCCATATGCCTTATTTTATTTTCATAAGCACACCAAGAATCGGTTCATATGTATTCATCAAACAACTGTACTTCTATGCAATTGTCTATGAGAGATGGTTCTGTTACTTCACTGTACTTTGAGGATTCACGATATATGGAGTTTATGCATTCTACAGCTAACTTTGCACTCAAAATAATTATCTTAGTTTTAAGCCTTAATATTGTTGATAAAAGTTTGTTCTTTATTATTATAAGCTAAGAAATAACACATTTAAGATGCATTAAATGTTGTGAATAAATCTGTGAACATCGTACGGGAGATTATGTAGTTATGTCCAATACTTGCAACTTGACTTTTTTTCCATATTTGGATTATTTATTTTCTTTTTTTGTTATTGTTTTTTACATGTTGACTAGAAACCCCGAAAAGTGCAAACATCAATTATAGATGTATAGAAATGTACAAATGTACACATCAGGATAGCTTTATCACATCATAATTAGAAAAAATATTTCAGCTCTTAGTGTCATGATATATCAATAATCTGAAATACATAAAACCTGCAGGTTAACTAAACATAATTGCAAATTTATATATGCTTAACTGACAAGAAAAATTTCCTATTGCATACATAGATTTACTTTACAAAAACTTCTACATACAATGTTTATACTATCTTCTACTTGCTTTGATCAATAAGTTACCGATAGAGCTAATCTTGGGTCACAAAGCTTATTAGTGGCAGTGTCAAGATTCAAACCCAGACCTCCTGACTGAGGAACCAGGACCTTATAAAATAATTTTGTTAAGAATATATTTTAGTACCCAAATGTATATTATTAAAATTTATCATTATGGAATAAATGATTCTCTTTGCTCTAAAATAACAAAAGTCATTTTTCATTCAACATTACCAAATTCTGGACCAAATATCAAATGGCACTCTAGGGTGTAAATTAAACTAAAAATGCTCTTCATCAAATATTGTGGGACAATTTTGCCTTTTCATTTGTTGTGTTTAAGATTTTTTTTGACACTAAGATGTCTTTCCCATAACTGCTAGGACTTAGAAATCCTAAATAAGGTACAGTTAAACGTTTTATTCTTCCAGAGCTTTAAGACAAGTTGCCTTGCAAAAATAATCTTTCAAAACAAACAAATAAAAAATGTGTGTTCTCTCTGTTTTTTTGTAGGCATAATGAAACACTGGGCATTTTTTAGTTTTACTTTTTATTTTCTTTTAGTGAACTGGGTCAGTACTAACTTAATTTACAGTGATTTTTTTTTGTAGTCAGTGTCTAAAGTTTGCAAAAACTGATTCCTAACATATGTATCATAGCCTAATTTGCTTCTCAACTTGTGATACATTCCACCTATAAGATTCGTCACACAGTATTTTCTGATGGAGTTAACAATGTCATTTAGATTAAATTTTAGTTGCAACTGTGTGCTTATTATTGCCAAGAAACCCACAGAGAAGAGTGGCACTTGGTGATAACTTAGTTATATTTAACATTTCACGAGTGAAAACTTGTTACTAAACAATGTTTAGTAAATTAATTTTCTGGGATTCTGCAGTTGCTATTTCAAGTGATAGGTGACGTTGAAAGGGAAGTTCTAGTTGAAAATTCAGTTAAAAGTTTCTGGGTAGAACTCTACTTGTTGTCAGTTCAACAGTCCAAACCAACCTTTCAGTTTAAGGCTGATATTGCCTAACAAAAAAAATAGTTTTTATGACTAAGATATTTAGTTTCACTGAAAATGAAACAGATTTTCAGATTCCTTCAGTTATCTTTAATGTTAAAATAGTTGCTCAATTTAGGTGTTTGCTTATCTAATGAGGATTCAAAAGTTGAATTAGGATCACAAAATGACAGTTAAAGACCTGTGAAGGGTCTTTTTTTGTTTGTTCTTTTGAGTCATGCACAGAAAACACAACCCCTTGCTTTGAATATTGGGTAATAACTTGACCACGTACTAGGAAAACTTGTACTGGTAAAGCATGCATATTAAGCATTAGCTTTTGTTGATTCATGTGTCTCTAGATAGAGCGCAGATATTAAAGCCAGTTTTCTTTCTACCTCTCTCATTTCTGAAATAATTTTGTTTGACCTGCTGTTAAACAAAAATTTCTATCAATTGTCTTCTTAGCAAAAGCATATATGTTCTCCTTGGTGACATGTTGTTGTTTCAGTTCAGTTTAAGTACAGGAGTTTTCTATGCTTCCAATGACATTTAGCTAATTATACTTGAATTTTTTTTCATATTTATAGTCTGAACAACAACTAGACTTAGCAAATTCACAAAGCTTTTAATTCGCCATTACATCTACAATCTAAAAACTGTTTGCACTAGGAGATAAAAAACTAACCTTTTCTTACTGTTTCCAAAAATTATGAAGCACTTAAGTCATAATATTATTCACTCATAGTAATTACTTTCAGTCTTTCTTGGATCCTATAAATGGAATCTTAACTCAGATAATTTTCCATACGTAGAAGACCTAAAACAGAAACTGAAAGTTTGGTTCAGGAATAAGAAAAAACAAACAAACAAACAAACCCAGAGTCACTCAAGTTTACCTCTTTTTCTTTTTACTTTGTAAAATATCGAATTCCAAGTTTTGCCTAAGTTTTTTGTGTTTTTATATTTTGATTAGTCTATGTGAGTTGGTAGTCTTTTCTGTTTTGAAATCACTTTTACTATTTTCACTGCTTCAGTTGAAAAAATACTGCTGAGCCTATAACAACATTGGAAAAACACATAATTACAATCTGCATTTAGTAATTATTTATCTTATTAAGCATTAGTTTCTCCTAAGAGTTAGACAATATGATGTCTTTTAAAACTGTGCTTAACTCTTATAGTTCCCTTTTTAAATCATTTTTCCCTAAGAGTAAATAAAATAAAGAGGTTTACTTATAATCAGGAACTTAAAAGACATGTTTTACATTATTTTTGCAACTAACTGTCTATAACACAGCAAAGGTGCTGTTATTGGAAAGTCCATTTTGACGTTAGTTGACTAGCATGTGTTAACTTTTTTGACCAAATAAAATAGATTTTCCCTTTTGGATTTCCAAGCTACAGAGTCTTTTTTCAAATCAGGACCACTAGTTTACTCACTGCAGCTTGCAAACATGCCACTTCTTGGGAGTGTACATCTTCAAATAGATCTACAGCAACCCATTTAAATTATATTCAAAGAAAAACGATAACACCATCTAGCCTGATGATTTAACCACATCCGTGTAGTCTCTATTTTAGAGCCAGCCTTGTCGTTTTCACAGGAAATGAGAAATTTCTGTTGAAGTACAGGTGTCAGATATTAATTATTCACCAGACAAATAAGTGGTACTCAATAAATATATACAAAAAATTCTGTATATTGCCACTTTTGATGCTAGTTGTTAACTTTTGTGAAAAATCATTAAGTGCTTGACATAAACACTTTTCCAGTTTCTATAATGCATAAGCCCTAGGGTTGCTTATTTAAAATATAATTATCTTCTTATATAACCTGGACTTTGTTAAGATAAACTGTTATGGTGTGTCAGTGGTATTTCTATCAATTTTTGTGATTTCATTTGTAGAGCATTTGTATAGGATTTTCTGTACAAATTCTACTGGTTTTGAACCTGATATTCAGAATATTTGGGGAAAAAGATCATAACATTATTTTTTCAACTAGCTGGTGGACATATTTCTTGTTTATAAAATTAGAGCAGAGTTTTTCAATCACTTGGTTTTCTAATTAGAACAAATATTAAACTGGAAAATATTTAGAGCAAATCAAAATAAAGACAACAAAAGAAAAGATATGAGTTACTTTCCTCCCTTCTTTGCTAATCATGCTTATGCCTTCTGAGTTAGAGAATTACTCTTTTGATGGAGTCAAGGGATGAGGTTATATTCTGCTCTCACTAATAAAATTTACCAATTGTGATGAGCTTAAAAAATAAGAGCACTAGAGGAAAAATGTTTCCATCATATCTTAAATGTTATAATAATGACATTGTTTTTATTACTTTGAAAATACAAGCTTGCACTAAGAGCACTTTAGTAAATAATATCCAATTTCCAAACTAGGTGTAGCGTTTTCTCAAATTGCTTTTTGCTGGTATTATGTTGTATATCCCCTATTATGTTGGATACCCCTAGAATCAAACAATTCCAGACTTTTGTAGGCCAGGTTCATAGTTTGAGTCAAACACAACCCCCTGCTTTGAATATCAGGTAATAACTTGACCACATACTAGGAAAACTTGTACTGGTAAAGCATGCATATTAAGCATTAGATTTTGTTGATTCGTGTTTCTCCAGAGCTCAGATATTAAAGCCATATATATATATGTTTTTTTTTTTTTCCTTAAAATCTACTAGGGTCCCGGACTCTTCCCTTCTTGTTAGTTCCAGGTGTAAATAACCTCATCCAGTGATTTCTTCTGCTCACTGTTCTTAACCCTTGGAACTCTCCTCTAATTACTCTGACCTATCCTTTCCTCCTCTCAATTTAATGGCAGCTACCCTTAAGTCATTTTAATCTATGGACTTATATGGGAAGGCAATATCCCTTTTGCTGCCTGGATGGCTCCAATTTATAGTGGTATCTCTTGCTGATTGGGGTTACAGGAACATTTAAAAGGTCCCAATCAATAGACTCTCACACAGTTTAGATTACAGGCACTGCCAGATATGTATTCCCTTTCATCTCAGCATGCAAGTTAGTTGGCTATTTTATGCCTGACTTCACCTCTTCTAGTGCCTTACTAAAAGGAGAAACTAACATAAACGAACATACAGACACATTTTAAACAATTATTCAAGAACAACATATTTATTAGATGCATGGCACAACTTCCAAATTATTGAAGACAGCAACTGTATCAGGTGCTTCTCTATATCATGCCAAGGATCATCAGTTTTCCAGCCAGCTATATATATATATTATAATCATTTTCCATCATCTACCTACTTAGCATATGCATATATTTACGTTCATGTAGCCTCTCAATCTGTTATCAATTTATATATTAGGTATGGGCTAGGCTAAGTATTGACCAAAAAAGTAACCTTAAAATTTAGTGGCCAAACAAGTAGGAAATTTCTTTATTTCTCACTTAAACTCACATGATCCACTCATATACTATTTAATTAAGAAAACTAACTTGCATGACCCAACTGAGCTCTACTTGGGTTTTGAGACTTGCAAATATTCTAGCTGAGCATCCATGTGCCCAAGTAAAACTTAGAAGGTTCAAATATTAGAAGGAAGAAGAGAAAAAAGGAAACTAAGGAACAATTAGCTACCTCTGCCACACAGAGTCCAATGTTCTATCTATTCATTTTGTCTTTGATGTATCCATCTTACTTCCAGGACTCTTGATCTTAGAGAAAAAGTTGCATATACATCTATTGCTATAGTTTTAATTCTTCTTTAGATAATTATAATATACATATCATATGTATAAATGTATATAAGTTTGAGAAGTTCATTCCTTTTAATAGCATTAACTATGATACAATCAAAAACAATCTCAAATTATTTCTCTCCACCTTAACTAGATGATATTAAACAACACTTATGACTATCAAAATACGCTGAAGCTAGCAGAATAACTATTCAAAGTCAAGTCATGGCCACTGTGTTTTACTTAATAAACCAATTTTTCTATATATTTTGATAATTGGAGTGCTTTTTATAACTCCACAAATAGATGTTTATACTATATCTATGTATACAGTCATTAAGAATCTGTGCAAATGATTTTTAAAATTTTGTTTCTTATAGAATCGACTTAATTCATTGGTTTAATCACCACCTAAGATTCATAGCTTACCAATTTGGTAATCTAAGATTAATAGTTTGCCAATTTGTATTTTGTCTTAAGTTACTTTGTAAATGACACCATCAGTTCTTGGATATGCTGATGGTAATGTAAAACTTTGCTTGTATTTCAAATACAGGAAGAACATACTTCGTTTCTTAGATGCAGAACGAGATGTGTCAGTGGTCAAGAGCAGTTTTAAGCCTGGTGATGTCATACACTATGTGCTTGACAGGCGCCGGACACTAAACATTTCTCATGATCTACATAGCCTCCTACCTGAAGTTTCACCAATGAAGAATCGCAGGTTTAAGACCTGTGCAGTTGTTGGAAATTCTGGCATTCTGTTAGACAGTGAATGTGGAAAGGAGATTGACAGTCACAATTTTGTAATAAGGTGAGCTTTCTTCTGCTTTTTGAGATTGTAAGTTTTTCAAAGATATTTTACTTGGGGGTGGAAAACTGTTAGAAAATTTTAAAGTATTACTAAAACCTCAAACAAATATTTGTCTATGATATCCTTTTCTGTGCAACATTTAAATTACATTTACCCTGGAATAGAATATTATAATTATTGCGTAGTTGAAAGAAAAAGTGATCCTGTCATAGCAACAAGATTCACACAGCTTTTTTTGGTGAGGTGAGGGGGGAGGCAAATGGCAATTTTATTAAATTTAATATTCCACACAAACTTTTTTCTTAGTATCTCTTCTTCATACTCATTAGTTTTGTGTGATTTTATTTGTTGTATAAAGATTATGAATATTACTATGGAATGATGTAATAGATTTATGTTAATGTTACTTTTTATTAATAATTATCTAGGAGATAGTAAGAACATAGTTTAGCAAGTTTATATTTGATATCCTGAGCCATATTTCTTTAATTTCTCTTTATATGTGGTATTTGTGTATGTTAGTATATTTGAATTTTATGTTTTTTTAACATAATTAAGCGTGCATGTTTGTTTTTCATTAACGGTTAAAAGATATTTGATGAATTGTGTGTTTGATTAACCTATTAACTGAAAAAAACTCAACAGTAGAAATGGAATTATAATCACATCATAAATATAAGCAGTTTTTAATGATCAATTTTTATATCTGTACAGTTTTTTTGGATTGTTTTAGTTCCTTAGAAAAATTAGCTAAATGACAGAAACATGGATATTGAAATATGAAATAGTACAATATAAAGATAGATAGAAAAGTATGCTGAGTTGACATGTTGAAAAACACAGTCTCTTGAAGATATACTGGAATACATTATTTTTGAATATTTTGAATATTTTTTGAATATTTTTAAATAAAGTCTTAAAAGCATAAATAGGTAACTACTTTTAAAAAAAAAGTCATGAGAAATCACACTCAAGCATTATCAAGTGAAGAAAATTCATAATAGCAAATAAAACTGCAAACATTTTACCTTATTATCTTTCCTTTTCTCTCTTGGGTGAAGGGTCAGAGATTAATGTGAAATCAATTTAGCTTTTTAAAACTTGAACTGTTAAACTAATTAGACTATAAGAGAAACCTTGTGAACAAGTAGATACAAACAAAGACAATTGTATAGAAAGAAGATGTAAAAAATTTGATGAGGGAATGGCAATGGAAGTGGAAATCAGGAGCTTCAAATGTCGAAGTCTATGCGAAGTATAGCTGTGAAAAAATGTAAGGCCTCTAGAATTTCTGATGTGACTAAATCATAAGTCAGGTAAAACAAAGAAGTAACGATGTCAAGGCATAATCAAAATTGTTGCAATGTAAGGATTTCAACAATCGCAATAGGGAATTTTAAAAGGTGATAATACTGGAGGAAAATAGAGTCTAAATGACTTCTTATTTCTGTGTCCCTCTAAACTTTGACACTGGGGGCCAAGTTGTTAGATTTAGCCCCACCTGTGACTCTGAAATGAAGACTGCTTTTACATGTGGGTAATGAGAGAGGCCTGATGGCAGTAGTCCTCAAAGTTTGTATCATTTCCTTATTGCTTCCTGATCTGGCTTTGTTACTCCAGTTTCTATTGACTGGGATTTTGCATTATTTCAATTCCTAAACTACTGAGTTCTTATCTCACATGGAATTGTGTGTCCAATAAGTAGGTTCCTACACTCTTTCTCTGTCTTAAGAGTGGCTGGTGGCCAACCTTGCTTCATATTACCACCTCTCACTTTCACTTTTCCTGCCTTCAATTTCTAGAAGTTATATAGCCTGCATATATCTCACTTCCCTGCAATTGGCTATGGCAAGCCTATAGGTTTCCAGATTTCTGGGATGTAGTCAACCTGTGAATAAAATTCTGATCCCAAAAAATCTTTCTGTCCACCTCTCTTATTCTAAAATTGAAGCCTATTTTCTCTTTCACTGGCCAAGCAGCAACTGGCCACTTGATGGTATTGCCTTCACAGCTCTACTATGGACTACTGGGCATTTAGACCACTACTAAGCTACTCTGGTGCTACTCCAGCAAAATGCCTAGAAGTTGATATTGTACATATATTTTCTCTTCCTTTTATGTTTTAGGCACCTAATTTCATGCCTACTTTTTAGATTTAAAACCCTATAATCTGCCGTATATTAATGCACTCCAATTTCAATTTGGAATATTGATCATTCCTGTAGTAACCCAACTCCAGTGATGTTCAGTAAACTGGTTTAACTGTTTTTACTCCATATTTTGTGGCTCCTAGATTCTTTATCTACCTTATTGCTAACTATCAGATGGATTTGAATGTCTATTCTTAGTTTCTTGTCCACTATTGTCAATCAACAGATCTAATTTTTTAGCAGAATAGCCTTAGCACTTCCTTAAGTGGTGTATTAGTCCATTTTCATGCTGCTGATAAGGGCGTACCTGAGACTGGAAAGAAAAAGAGGTTTAATTGGACTTACAGTTCCACATGGCTGGAAGGTTTCAGAATTATGGCGGGAGGTGAAAAGCCCTTCTTACATGGCAGCAGCTAGAGAAAATGAGGGAGATGCAAAAGCAGAAACCCCTGATAAAACCATCAGATCTCGTAAGACTTATTCACTACCACGAGAACAGTATAGGGGAAACTGCTCCCATGATTCAAATTATCTCCCACTGGTCCCTCCCACAACACATGGGAATTATAAGAGTACAATTTGAGACGAGATTTAGGTGAGGACACAGCCAAACCATATCATTCCACCCTGGCCCCTCCAAATATCATGTCCTCACATTTCAAAACCAGTCATGCCTTCCCAACAGTCCCCCAAAGTCTTGACTCATTTCAGAATTAACCCAAAAGTCCACAGTTCAAAGTTCCGTCTGAGACAAGGCAAGTCCCTTCCGCCTATGAGCCTGTAAAATCAAAAGCAAGCTAGTTACTGCTTAGATACAATGGGAGTACAGTTATTGGGTAAATACAGCCGTTCCAAATGGGAGAAATTGGCCAAAACAAAAAGGTTACAGGGCCTGTGCTAGTCTAAAATCCAGTGAGGCAGTCAAATTTTAAAGCTCCAAAATGATCTCCTTTGATGCCAGGTCTCACGTGTAGGTCACGCTGATGCAAGAGGTGGGTTCCCATGGTCTTGGGCAGCTCCGCCTCTGTGGCTTTGCAGGATACAGTCTTCCATCCAGTTTCTTTCACGCACTAGCATTGAGTGCGGCTTTTCCAGGCAAACGGTGCAAGCTGTCTGTGCATCTACCATTCTGGGGTCTGAAGGATGGTGGCCCTCTTCTCACAGCTCCGCTAGGCGGTGCCCTAGTAGGGATTGTGGGAGGGGTGGGGGGCTCCAACCTCACATTTCCCTTCCACACTGCCCTTGCAGAGGTTATCCGTGAGCACCCCGCCCCTGCAGCGAACTTCTGCCTAGGCATCCAGGCATTTCCATACATCTTCAGAAGTCTAGGCAGAGGTTCCCAAACCCCATTTCTTGAGTTCTGTGCACTCACAGGCTCAACACCTTATGGGAGCTGCAAAGGCTTCGGGCTTACACCCTCTGAAGCCACAGCCTGAGTTCTACATTGGCCCCTTTCAGCCATGGCTGGAGCAGCTGGGATGCAGTGCACCAAGTCCCTAGGCTGCACACAGGGATCCTGGGCCCAGCCCGTGAAACCATTTTCTCCTAGGTCTCCAGGTCTGTGATGGGAGAGGCTGCCATAAAGACCTCTGACATGCCTTGGAGACATTTTCCCCATTGTCTTAGGGATTAACATTCTGCTCCTTGTTACTTATGAAAAATTCTGCAGCCAGCTTGAATTTCTCCCCAGAAAATAGGTTTTTATTTTCTATCACATTGTCAGGCTGCAAATTTTCCAAACTTTTATTTTATTCAGTTTCTCTTCTAAAACTGAGTGCCTTTAACAGCACCCAAGTCACCTCTTGAATGCTTTACTGCTTAGAAATTTCTTCTGCCAGATGCCCTAAATCATCTCTCTCAAGTTCAAAGTTCCACCAATCTCTAGGGCAGGGGCAAAATGCCACTAGTCTTTTTGCTAAAACATAAAAAGAGTCACCTTTGCTCCAGTTCCCAACAAGTTCCTCATCTCCATCTGAGACCACCTCAGCCTGAACCTTATTATCCATATTGCGATCAGGCTTTTGGTCAATGCCATTCAACAAGTCTCTAGGAAGTTCCAAACTTTCCCACATTTTCCTGTCTTGTTCTGAGCCCTCCAAACTGTTGCAACCTCTGCCTGTTACACGGTTCCAAAGTCGCTTTCACATTTTTGAGTATCTTTTCAGCAACACCCCACTCTACGGGTACTAATTTACTGTATTAGTTTGTATTCAGCTGCTGATAAAGACATGCCTGAGACTGGGAAGAAAAAGAGGTTTAATTGGACTTACAATTCCACATGGCTGGAGAGGCCTCAGAATTATGGTGGGAGGCGAAAGGCCCTTCTTACATGGCGGTGGCAAGAGAAACTGGGGAAGATGCAAAAGCGGAAACCCTAGATAAAACCATCAGATCTCATGAGACTTATTCACTACCCTGAGAACACTATGGGTGAAACCACCCCCATGATTCAAATTCTCTACCACCAGGGCCCTCCAACAATATGTGGGAATTATGGGAATACAATGCAAGATGAGATTTGGGTGGGGACCCAGCTAAACTATATCAAGTGAGAACCTCATTGAGTCAACAGTTGTATTTTGACCTTATACTTTTTCTGTGTGCAATGTGTGCTTTACTTTCTTTTAGATTTCATGAGTATTCTATAATATATATATATTTACATCCAAACTTTAAAAGATAAAATTCCTTGCCTAGATAACTAGTAATATTAAGTAGTGTGAAAAAAATACTTTTAAAACTTTGAGAATAATGTTGACATAGTTAACAAACTAGAATTTTCTCTCATTGGTATTTCCCAGGCGCTTTCTCTTCTCAGAGAACGGATGACCTCAGATGAACTAAAATGAGAGTTATTATATAAGAATATATGCCACACAAAATACTAACTTTCTCAATTCAAAATAGACTTATCTCTATACTTTGTAATACAAGAGTTCTTTGACAATTCAAACAGAGTTTATAAACTTAAAAACAAGATAGGCTTGCTGGAGTTTTAATTTATATTTTTGACTTTGGAACATCACCGTGGATTTTTCAAACACATTTCTGTAAATCTACAACCTACTTCAGTCTACCTCCCACTGTTGGTGAATTTCCTACATGAGTCTTACCTGCATACAAAATCAGAAATTTTAGAGTGGAGAAAGAATCTGCATCTTTGAAAAGCACATATATGGGGAGTTGACACTTAATTCACTATAATGTAGAAATTTAGTGAATGTAGATATATGTGTTTTATGTATATCTAACTCAGATAACTATGTCTTAGAGTGTCAGATTCATATACACACCCACAGGCACATACAAATATCTTATTTAATTATTTTATGGTAAATATGAATGAGAAAAATTGAAATTGCCATAAAAGTGCCTTGACCCCTTTTTCTTCTTAGCATTATATCACCAATTAATCAGCAAATTCTATAGATATTACCTTCAAAAAATATCAGGAGTCAAATGATTTCTCATGACATCCACTGCTGTCACCCTGGTAAAAGCCAACATCATCTCTTGATTAGAACTCTACAATAGTTCCTTAACTGATGTGACGGGTTGCATTCTTGCTCCCTGTTCCCAAAGCCAAAGTCTCTCTTCATCATAAAGCAGCTTCTTACCACACTCTATAAAATACTAATATCTTGCCAGTAACAATAAATGAGGTAATCTGAAGCTTCAGGGACAGACGATGTGCCTGCCAGTCATTTTCCCTGAAACCCTCTTACCCACATACCTATGGGTGGTTTTACCCCTTATTTGGGGGAAAGGATGAGGGTCTATGCTTGTACAGAATATCCTCTGCAAGTCTTCTCTGACTGTAATATCAGAAACACCCCCTACCACTGTCACCATCTGTCACTATCTCTTTACCCTTCCATTTATGTATTTATTTTTGCATTGTATGTTTATTTATTTATTGTTTATCTTTACAACTAGAATATGCAAGGCAAGCTTTGCCTGCATTTATCCCTTTTTTAATCTCAGACCCTAGTAAAGAGTCTGACATATTTATATATTCTATAAATATTTGCTAGAGGTAAGCAAGAAGGCATGTAGTAAGAAAGAAAAGAAGAAAGGGAGGGAAAGAGGAAGGAAGTAAAGGAGAGAGGGAGGGAGAGGAGGGAGAAAAGTGTTCTATCATGGTCTTCCGTCATCCATCCCACCTTGCATGAATGATAATCCCTTATACAAACTTCAATATTACCATAATAATGTACTTGGTTGTCTGGGATGAGTGGCTGTCACATCATCTCCTCCAAAACTACAGCTCATCTAGTCATCATCTCCTCTAAAACCTTAGGTGACCAAGTTTCAGAGCAGGATGCAAATTCTTCCTACAGTAAATGCAGAAGCTGTCTTACTCTGTCTTTCATGGAGAAACATATATTTGGCATCTGTTGTTTGCCTTTTAGCCCACCATCTCACCAAGCAAAACATGAGGATCTCTGCTTTGCGTGCCTCTTTGTTTTCTCGTATTAACATATTTTTAAACTTACAGTATATAGTCTATAATTCCAAATTTATAGAATGTATCTTATGAAACAATTTGCATGAAGTTGAATTTACATAAACTCAGTGTCTTACAACCTAGAGAAATGTTGTAAGGTAGAGGCTACTTTACATGTGCACATCTGAAATCTTTTGATAACTAGATTTTTTTTCTAAACTATCGTCATCTCTATTATATTATTCCTTTAAAGACACAACATCTCTATTATTTCTTTAGAGGTAAAACATTCCTTTATATTATATTTAAAGATGATAAAATTAAAAGCAAATATATTGGGCTCTACAAATTCAAATTTTTATGAGCTTAACTTTCAAGAACAATTTCTAAACCTTTCTCTATAAATTTGCAATGTAGAAATGAGTTGAATAGCCACAGAATTTACTGATTTGTGCTTGAAAATTTGTAAATGGCAGAGTACACTTAGGACTAGGAGTTTAGGAGTCTCTTGATATTTTAGCAGCTGTGATTGTTTAAAAAGATTACTTAATAAGAACTAAATAGTGACCAATTGAAGTTCATAATGTATTCTGGACTTACCAAGAAGTATAGAAAGGTAAAGATAAGCATCTTAGTGAAGGCACAAAAATTATCACCATGATCATTTTTGATTTGTTCTATATTTTTACTACTTTCCAAAAATAGAAGTTAGAATGTTGTAGATTAAATTATTTGCTAGGGCTCTACTGTCTTTCATGCGGTACGGGATTATAGATTTGGCATCTGTTGTTTGCATTTTGTCTCACCCTCTCACCAAGCGAAACATGTGGTACTGCCTACCACATAATATAATCTACAACATTCTACAACAAAATTTCTGATTTACCACAAAAAATCAGATTTTCTAATGAACACTTTAGAAAGTATCTACATTTTAGAAACAATATCTACAGAAAAACCATCTTTTGTTACTTAATAGCTAGTTGAGAAATTCATTCCTTTGAGTTTAATTTTATCATTTTATTATGAAATTGTACGTGATCACTTACTGTATTCTACAGTGTTTAATTGTGGAGATACTTGAAAACTTTTCTCAGTACCTATGAGCTGAAAAATATACTCTTTTATTGTAGGAAGCAATAAGCAAAACACTGATAGTTGGTTATTATTAAGTAGTTGATGGTTGTATCAAGGTTCAATTAGCACTTAAGAGTCATCATTACAAACAAAAAAATGAGCAAAAGTAATGCCTGGGAATAAAAACTTTGCAGCCCAGCACAGTGGCTCATGCTTGTAATCCCAGCACTTTGATAGGCTGAGGCAGTTGGATCACCTGAGGTCGGGAGTTCGAGACCAGCCTGACCAACATGGAGAAACCCCATCTCTACTGAAAATACAAAATTAGCCAGGCCTGGTGGTGCATGCCTGTAATCCTAGCTACTCAGGAAGCTGAGGCAGGAGAATCTCTTGAACCTGGGAGGCCGAGGTTGCAGTGATCAGAGATCGCTCCATTGCACTCCAGCCTAGGCAACAAGAACGAAACTCCATTAAAAAAAAAAATCTTTGTCACTTCTGAATAAAGACTGTCACTTCTTGTGAAGAGGCATGTGACCTCATTCTTCTCATTTGATTAATTAGGCCACTCCTAAGAATATATCCTTCAAACCATCAAGCCGAAAAATGAGGTGCTATGTCTGGCAATATTAATGATGAACCAAACTCTCCCAGTGCCTAAACTCCCTATAAGTTAGATCCTTTTCAAAGGTTAATTAATAGCCATTTGAATTTCTGAAATCAAATCATTATTTGAGGGGTAGTAAAGACGGAGGAGTAAAACAGAATCCAATGCCAACCCATTTTCCCAAAGACAAAAGTTAATTTCAGCTCACAAATACCAATTTGTAATTGATAGGTGGAGAGTGTGACCATAATTTAAATATAGAGTATATGAAACAAAAATCAAAGACAATTTTGATAATAATTTTAATAATAGAAGCTCTCCATAATCACGTGTAAGTGTTCAACCAATAGACTTTGGATTATTTCTTCTGGTACTACGTTTTCCCTTAGGATGATATCTATTTTCTGTTTTGAGGGTCATATTGTGCTACCTCTTAACATTCTTAGATTTGTAACAACCCTTGAAAATACAAAATTCTAATCTGAATTATGAACATAAACCAGTCACTTCATTGTGGACACGAGATCTTCAATGACCTATTGTCATACCAGACTTTCTTTCTTCCTTACAACTCTTGTTCTTCTTGTTGCCTTCTGACTCATTATTTGTGTAACAAACACATTTCCTTCCTCAAGTGTATGCGTAGCCCTTTGTTATTGCCAATGTGTCTCCTCTACTTTAGAAGGTCCAGAGAATTTTTGCTTCAAATTTAATCAATCCTCATTATTCTTTCTTGAAATAGTTTCCTAGCCACATTGAACTGGTTAAAATTATTACAAAATTTCAGTAATAATTTTTAGAATCCCTAGAATTTTTTATTATCCTGGAGATGTGTATATATCTGCATAGCTGTAGATATGATTGATTTGTTGGATGGTTGGTTTTACAGTCTGTGTTTCCACTTTTTTGTTTCTCACTTTTCATTTAACACAGTAAATTTGTTGAGAGAGAGAGGGAGAGATAAATTATACCTGGTTTACTTGCAGTGGGCACTAATTAGTACAGTAACTCCTTAAGGATAAGATTTACCCAAGTATTATACTCAAGTTGACCTCTAACTTTATAAACCAAGGTACTCTCTTAGTGGCTGTTTGTATCATTCATTAATCAATTACGTTAAATAATGCTTTTAATGGGGTATTTCAAAAAATGAGAGTCCTGGTCAATATCATTACATGATGCTTAAAGTTAAAAAAAGAAACAGAAAAAAATAGGAAAATAAATTAAAGCTCAATTTTCATTTCCTACCGAGTGACTCAATATCAAACTGATTTCTAAAATTTAGGTCTCATGTACATATATCCCTAAATAACAGAAAAATAATCATAAGAGTAAAATTCTTATTTCTTAACAAAAATGTCTAAAACTCTAATTTAAGTAAGAATTTTAAATACACTGTGATCAATGTTTTTATATGTGGAACTCTAAAAATGCCTAGTATTTTTACGAGATTCCTTAAATAGCAAATACCATGTTTCAAAGAAAGAAGATTGGCTAAGATAGAAAAACAAAGGAAGCCAGTCATTGGCTAGGTTAAAGATATCTTACTTCTTGTCCGGCAGTACCCTCTGATAAGAAAGGTTTATAAAAAAAGATAATGTCCTTGTAATACTAAGATTTTGTCATATGATTACAGACAAGCAAAATTTTGACAAATTTGGTTAGGCATTGATGTGCCATTTATGTACCATTTCTCACCTGCTTGAGGAAAAAAAGCAAATGGGAGCATAAAAGAAAATATTGTTTTGGTATTATTCCTTAGACGTATCTCTTCAAAGATTGATAGGAATTCTGAATACTCTTGATGAACTACCTTAAAACTGCAGAAAATGATGATTTTCCCCTATGAGATTCTGTATGAAAGAATGTTCAGTTACATATATAATTCGATCTCTCATATTCTCTTTTTCATCTCTGGGATAATTTCTTTTATCCTTCAGATAACATCTGTATTTCTGGTATTATTAAATACAGAGGAGTATAGTTTTAGGCTTTATGTCTTTGTTTTATTAACTAATAAAAGAGAAATTCCAAATATTCAGTTGACTAATGCTACACTTCTAACATCAATAGTAATATTGTGTGCAGAAGAAGGTATAATATATGTGATTTTAAAATTGTAAAACACTAAAACACTACTTGATACCACTACTTTTAACATTAGTAAATTTGGGAACCTCTAGAACTAGTTCCCTAAAATTTGTCTCAACAAGAGTCCACATTAATGAAAATTCTATCAACTGAAATACATTGGTTTTATATTTTTCTTGTAAACATTTAAAGAGAAAATTAGCTGTTAAAAGATAAACGTCAAGTTTATTTTATCAAAAACACTAACACTTGTTACATTATTTTATTTATACAATAAACTTTCAAGAGGACCAACCAAGAGCCAGTCATGAACAGTGCCCAATTACAGAAATGAACATCTACATTCATTCTTAAAGGACAACCTGTGCTGTGTGGGGTGAGGAATAATCACTACAATTCAGAGTCTCCAAAGACACATACCACATTTAAAATATTTGTCTACGGCCAGGTTTATTATTTCCAATAATGCAGAGGGACTAATAGAATGTTTGAAAGAGAAATTAAGGTATGCTTCCAATGCTGAATGAGGTGTTCCCACTCAGAACTTTATCTGAAGTCTTTGAGATATGTCAGGATAACTAATTAGGTTACTAATCTTTAGATATCACACATAATAAATTTTAAGAAGATATCATTGGTCACGTTAAAGTTTTATTTAAGTGCCATAAGCTATCAGCATTCTACTCTACACCAACCAGAACACTGCCAACATCTACACACCTTATATAATTAACTATTAACAGATTCAGTCACCATCATAAGGGGCTGAAAAATATTCAACTGACTAAAACCCTGGTGGTCTCTACCTACCTGTACTGTAGAATACTTTGACCCACTTTTAGACTTTACATACAGTTCAGGGGATTGTCTAGTACATATCTGAGCTGAATTTAACTTACATAACACTTCTTTAATGCCACATAAAATGGAATAATGATAGAATCTTTATTAAGTTAAATAAAAGCTAGTAAGCATTAGAAAAATTGTCCAATTGATATTATTTTTTAAATTTTGCACTTGGATTGTTTGATGTGCTAAATATCATGTAAACATAGAGATAGATAGATGATAAACAGAGATGACAGATAGAAGCTGAGCACAGTGGCTCATACCTGTTATCCCAGCACTTTGTCAGGCCTAGGTGGGAAGATTGCTTGATTCCAGGAGTTTGAGACCAGCCTGGGCAACATGATAAAACTCCTTCTCTAAAAAAATTAAAAAATTAGACAGGTTTAGTGATGTGTGCCTGTAGTCCCAGCTACTCAGGAGACTGAGGTGAGAGGATCACTTGACCCCGGGAGGTTGAGGCTGCAGTGAGCCATGATGGTATCACTAGACTCGAGCCTGCATAAAAGAGCAAGAACAAGAGCAAGACCCTGTCTCAAAAAAAGGAAGAAAAAAGAGATGACAGGCAGAGAAATATAGAGAGGGGAGAGGGGAAAAGGAGAGGGAGAGAGAGGAAAAGGCACAGAGAGAGGACATAAAAATATGAATCAAATTGATGCTGTGCTGCACTGAAAAGCATCACTTCAGATATAGTCCAAGAGTCCAATCAGAGTTTATTGTAGGTGATATTGGATGAAGTTTTTAGCTTTTCTATATTTAGTTTTCTAATTTACAAACTGAGATTAATATATGTACTCTTTCTGTCTACCTGGAGTTTTACAACTTACCTATTATAGAGACCACAGAGTGATAGAATTGCTCCTACAAAATCCTTGCCTCAAGTGTACCCCCACCATGTATGCTTATTTGTCAAAAAGTGTGTTGTAAAATTTCAAGAATTGAGAGTTTGAAAGATTGCATATATCATTTATATATCACCATAGGTAAAGGAAAACAGGTTTAGAAAGATTCCCTCATACAATCTGTATAAAGTGTCTTTCAAAACCTTTCTTAGGTTCTTTCTCTTTGAGTACTTTTGAAATTAATGTAATAGTGTATATATTACATTAAGGAATTTAATTTGTTGGTTGTGAAAATTGTTTTGAATTTTGCAAAGCAATGCTTAAAGTGCTTTTACATTTTTTCTGTAGTTATCTTTCAAGTTTTTACATAATCTACTCTCATAAGTATCTACATAAAAGCATATTCTAATATTTGTACTAGCTATACTCAATAATTTCACAACAGTGGTTTTCAATAAAAAATATTCATATATTTCCTAATAGTGATTTTGAGTGATGGCAGAGAGCAAAGTCTCATTCCATCGCTCCTAGTCTCCTCTTCCCCACCTTTGTTGGAAAAGTGGTGGTAAATTCTTTCCTTTCTCTGGGATGGCTGGAGATTGTAGAAACTCTCAAGCAGCACTTAAGTACTGGTTCCTCATAGAAAAGAAACCTTGTTTCCCCTTGGTAACAAGAAAATCTGGCCCTGCACTGTCTTTGGTGTTATATGGTGGACTCTGAGGGAGGCAATGATTAACAATTACAATTGGCACCTAATATTCTTTAACCATCAAATACCACTCCTTACTTTGTTTAAACAAAGCTACTAGAGATAGTGAGTCTTCTAGAGATAGTGAGTCAGAAATCAACTAAGAGCTACATAACATTTTTTTTTGTCACTTTTGGCTAATTAGTTGGAATTTCTAACTTAAGTTTGTTTATTTACTTATTTCTTTCTACTTACCTTTCCTCCATTCTATCTTCTCCTCATCTTCCCTCTAGCTTAAATCACTATCTTCTATTTACTCCTTTTTAATTTCTTAACCAACATCTTCATTCCCTGCCCTGCAGCTTTTTCTCTCCTTGACTACTTTCCTCCTAATTTCCTCTTGGTGCATATGTTTTTCCTTATAAATCAAAAACAGCAATAAGATATCAATTAAGAGGGCCACTTAAATGTGTACTTATTTATGTAAGTAAATCCTTGCTACTCAAAGTGTGGTCTTGGATGACCAGCATTATCACCTGGAAGCTTGTTAGAACTACAGAATGTCAGAACTTGCACCTGGTCTGCTGAGTCAGAATGTTCATTTGATTACAGTGTCCAGGTGATTCTTATGTGCATTAAGGCTTGAGATGTGCTGGCCTAGACAATATGCCCTAGGCACGCTGGAGCTCCCACTATGTTTGATTTTTTTTTTTTTTTTTTTTAGCCCATATCTTTAGGACCTAGCACCAAGATTGGTACACTGAGGTTGGTCAATAGGTACAAAATTACAGTTAGACAGTTTAGTCAATTCTCACATTGCTAATAAATAAATATCCAAGACTGGGTAATTTATAAAGAAAAGAGGCTTGACTCACAATTCCATATGGCTGGGTAGGCCTCAGGAAACTTACAATAATGGTGGAAAGCACCTCTTCACAGGGTGGCAGGAAAGAGAATGAGTGCCCAGCAAAGGGGAAGCCCCTTATGAAACCATCAGCTCTCTTGAGAAGTCACTCACTATCACAAGAACAGGACGGAGGAAACTCCCTCCATGAATCAATTATCTCTATCTGGTCCCTCTCATGATACTTGAGGGTTATGAGAACTACAATTCAAGATGAGATTTGGGTTGGGACACAGCTAAATCCTATCAGACAAAAAGGATAAATTCTGGTGTCTATGACACAATAGGCTGACTATAGAAAGTTACAATGTATTGTATATTTCAAGATACATACAAGAAAAAAATTTTCAATGTTATCACCAGAAAGAAATGAAAAAAATGTTAAAGTGATGAATATGGTAATTACCTTGATTTGATCATTATATAATCTATACGTGCTGTACCCCATAAATATATAGGATTATTATGTGTCAATTATAAACACAAAATAATAAAGAGTGAATAAGATTTTTTAAAAAGAATATAACTTCCAAGAAAAACCTGATACATTGAGGTATATATAATTTATTTATTGAATGGATAAATTAATGAGAAAATTAATGTAGGAGTTGAGAAAATTTTGGTTTGTATTCACGTATCTGCTGTCAGAATTTTTAAAACACTGAATTTCAAAATTAGTACATAAGAGGAGTCATATATAAAGAGAATTTAAACCTTTACAAGAAAATACAGAACTAAGAAGAGTGATACAGTGAAATGTTCTAAAGATTAGGGATCAGAAAATCTGGGTTCCTATTAATTACTATAAATGTAATATTAGACAACCATCACTATTTTCACTGTTCAGTGAGGTCAATAATAATAGGCCTATTAACAGCAGAGTGATTTTCTCATTTATCAGATGAGAACATAGTAAAGAAAAGCACAAACTGTAAAACAAAACTCATAATGAGTGATGCTAAAGGACATCTTGTTTGAGTTCATCGTCATAGGTAAAACTTAAAATTGGCACTGCATTTTCTAACAGCCATGGCTAAAAGGAAAGCCTGTTGACTAGAGACACAAATTATTATTGTCTGATATGAATAAGAAGATGAACTTTCCCCAAATTTATCAAACATATGTAAAGTTGACACTAAATAACTGGATAAAACTGACACTGAATAATATGTTACACAATGTGATATAAAAAACAAAGCAATATCACTCAGATAGGAGTGTCTACAAAATCTGAGTATGTAAAATTAGATATAAATGTAGTGAAGATATATATGTCTTCAGAAAACTAAGGTAATATGGTAAAGATATATTATTTAATGATAATCTATATTCCTAAAAGTAGGGATGATATTTTTCCCAAAGAAAAAGGATGGAGGAATTGACTGGCTGGTACAATGCATTTTATAATTCAATCGATTTTTTATTCTCCACTGGTAGATAATTTACAGAAAGCTTTAAATCACCTTCTTGACCTCCTTGAATGCTAACTCTTTTATGACAAAATAGACTTTTCTGGAACAGAAAAAAAATATCTTATTTTTCTACATGTTCACAATGAATGGCCTTAAGACTTTATCCTTCTACTCTCACAGAGGATATGTATTCCCTTAACTCAAACAGCAAATAGCAAACAGCTAAGTTCATGATAGACAGCCAAGTCTAGGGCACTAGAATGATGTTTTTAAAATTACTACTAAAACGAATAACCACTTATAGTTTAGGAATAGTAACATTGCTTATCTAATATTTGCTACACACATTTTCTCCAGTAATTTTGCTTAATACCTTATTCATGATTTTGATCTATGAAATTTTATAATTTGTATAAAACTAATTAAATTGTGATTTTTGTTTATTGATTTTAAATGCAAAATTTATGTTATATGTAGAAATATGATTTATATGTTGTTCTAATTATGATGTTTAAAATTTAACTTAAAACTACACATGAAATATGAAATATAAGTTGTGATGAGAGGTACAGCTCTTTATTTCTAATTATGTCACTCCTCACACAGAAATTATTTTATCTACAAGTAAAAATTTTAAAAAATGGAAATGATGACAATATCTAAAATTTTAAATGTTTTAAATGTTTTCACCCATTTTCTGAAACAAAGATTGTAAACGATTTTTCATATATCAGTCTAACAAAGATTTTTAAAATGTTTACTAGTCAGTAAAAAGTTACATTGATGTTGGCACTCTCGTAAAATGCATTTGGAAATGTAAACTGATAACAGCTTTTCCAAAAATCAAGTTAATGATGTCTTCCAAAGCCTTACAAATTAAATTAAATCACTGTACATCTGAATGATTATTCAACATGTGACGAAGAGGAATCTGAAGCAATGGGACCAGTAAGCACACAGACAAATACTTTCCATGATCTTAAGATAAGACTATTCACAATAGCAAAGACTTGGAACCAACCCAAATGTTCATCAATGATAGACTGGATTAAGAAAATGTGGCATATATACACCACGCAATACTATGCAGCCATAAAAAAGGATGAGTTCCTGTCCTTTGTAGGGACATGGATGAAGCTGGAAACCATCATTCTGAGTAAACTATCGCAAGGACAGAAAACCAAACTCCGCATGTTCTCACTCATACGTGGGAATTGAACAATGAGATCACTTGGACACAGGGTGGGGAACATCACACACCAGGGCCTGTCGTGGGGTGGGGGAGGTGGGAGAGATAGCATTAGGAGATATACCTAATGTAAATGATGAGTTAATGGGTGCAGCACACCAACATGGCACATGTATACATATGTAACAAACCTGCACGTTGTGCACATGTACCCTAGAACTTAAAGTATAATAATAACAAAAAAGATAAGACAGAATTTGAGACCACCCTATTGTTAGGTTCGTAATAAAGAACATTCAAGGGGAAAAGCCAAGATATGCTGAATTTAAATGATGAAGGATCATGACATCATGTTAAGAATTTGCATGGAATCTTATAGTCCAAGAAGGACCCTTGGAGTTTGTTAGCATGTTGGTCTGCTTTTTGTTTGTTTGTTTGAGTTTTGTTGTTATTGTTATAAACAGAAGAGAAACATACTGAGAAGTACAGAAACATGAGCATATTCACACTTGGAAAGACCATAATAATAAACAGATAAATAAAATATATGAAAGAGAAGGCACCCTAAGTGAGGAAGATATTAGAGGAGGAAAAAAGTGATGACATTCAGATCATAGCAGAAAGTAAGATGATAACACCTAGTGTCGATGGTATGATTCATATTAATGTGAAATGTTATCATTGTTATCTGTCTTTGACATGAAATGGACATTAGCAAATGGTCGGTAGATCTATCCTTCTATAGATTTCCAAAATATGGCTAGAGTTTTTGATTTAAAGTACTTGTTATTTTTCAACTATCATACTTATCTGTAAATAAGACATAGGTTAAAAATGTACTCCAAAGCCAAACACAAATACACTTGTCAGTGCCTATTGTTTCAAGTTATATGTAATTATAACTTTCATCTTTCTTATAATTGTTCTTCACTTCTTCATTCAGTGCTTTATCAGAAAGTTCAGATACAAATATAAAGAGCAAGTTTCGACTTTTGAGGTGATCACACTCTAATGAAGGAAATAAATTGATACACTAACGGTGTCCAAATTGCTTTATTAAAGGTACTCACAGAACTAGGCACTGATAATGAGGCAAAAGGAGGACATAAGCTCTCATTATTATTATGTGTAGCTTTACTAACTTATTAAAGATGTCAATCCCTATACAAGTAACAAAATATGCCAGAGTTTAATATATAGTAGAATACAGATAAGAGTAAGTACTTTTACACCAGAGCAGTGGAAACAATTTTGCCTGGGAAATTATGTAAAGCATTGAAATGGATATTAATCATTGATTTTTAAGAACAAATATGACTTTTTCAGGTTTAGGGCTAGGGTGTCTGAGGAAAAGAGGCAGTTTCAGGTAGAGACATCAGCATAAATAAAGGAATACAGATAAACAAAGACATAGGTAGTCTGATAATATTTGAATCTAAGATATGCAATAGGATGTATAAAACAAAAATTCTGGGTAGGGGAGGGAATAGTTATGAAAGACCCAATTAGGAATCTTGACTGAAACTACTGAAGATGTTTGGTTAGGTTCATAACATGATTAAACGTACATTTTAAACAACAAAACACCATCTCTGAAACAGAGAATTGATAAAGTTGACAGTCCCTGTGGCAAGCAACTGGTTAGAGCAGTGTCTTTTAATATCTTTTCACAAAGATGATTAGTAATAGAATAGATTTTATATCATGGTTTACTCCTTGTATTATTTCCCTGGCTACTACACATGCACACAAATATGGAAGTCTTCAACAAATTTTCTTAAAATTATGTTCAAGGAACACTGTCATTTTCTGTTATAATCCGCTCTATCCTTTTTTATTCTTTCAAAATTGGTTATCAATGAGCACACAATTAATTCATGATCTACCAATGAGTCTAGTTAATTGTTTGAAAAATAATAAGGACATTATTACAATACTAGTTCAAAGAAACATGGTGGTACCTCAGCTGAGAATGTATCAATAAGAACATACAAGAGGAAATATATTCAGGGGAAATTCTGAGAGGAATTTTTAGGGCTTTGTAATGAATCAGATACAGAGGATAAGAACATTATGGGGATCAGGCATTACAGCTAGGTCAAAGTATGAATCTGTTAAAATAGAGCTTGAGAATGATCCCCTTAGAATAAGTATGGTGTAATAAATGTGAAATTGCCTTGGCCTACCTTATGATATCAGAAATTGAAACTCATTTTTGTACACTCATGATATTTTTCCCAATGCTTGATTGGTATTAGAATGCCTACATCTTTTGAGCATCAAACCAACTGTCTTTCTGGGACTCAGTATTGAATAAATAATATATACTAAGTTAAAAATCATTTTCAACCTTGGGTTATACTTTCAAAAAGGTATTTCTAAGAATGACAAGTGAATATGGTATTAAGTTTTTTTGTTTATTTAAGCAAGAAAGTTAAATGTCAAAGCGACATTTCTGTGGCAATTTGATGGTATAATCACTAAGAGTTAGATATTTTTCCTACAACCCCTCTAATGTACCCATTGTACATACCTTATTAACAGCATAAATTGCAAAGGGAACAATTATAGTTTTTCTACCTTAGTTTTCTATCATGGGTGATTACAGTATCAGCCATAATAAATGTTGTTTCGTTCTTTTTAGTGCACAACATAATTTTTAAGGACTTAAGTACTATGCTGAATCAGTTCTTTCTTCTGTTAAACAGTAGTAACTGCTCAGCAACCACAGACCAATGGAGTAGTCAGTTTCCCTGATGATTTTGGCAAGAATGTGTCAGGATACATACATCTTGAGAATTCTCACTTGGTTCTCCAATCTCTAATTTTAAATATCCCAATTACAAACTTGTACTCAAAGTTTTATTTCGCAATACACAGGGCATTTTTCAACAACTCATATTTTTTCCCTGCATTCCTCAGGCAAATAAAAATTACACTTCTTTTTAATTACAAAGGCAGAATTTTGAGGGTATACCTAGTATCGATTCTATGTGCAATTTTAAGAAACATATTTATGATTCAAATATCTATTAGTTGACTACCATAAATATATCCACATTCACTTTTGTGAAAAAAGGAAAACAATCACATGCTAATTCTTAATGGTCTGTGATAAATGGTGAAATTAATATGTCATATTTAAATTATCTTGACAATTCATGTAGTGTAACAGCAAGTTCCTAACAATGCTCATGAAGTTTAATGACGTATTTTTCACATCTATGTGTATGTTTATTTAGCCCAGGTATTAAAAAAAAGTTTGAGTGTAGAATCAGATGTAGACTGCTTGGTTTTGAACCCCAGCTCTAGCACTTACAAATCAATGACCTTGGGCTGGTCACCCATCCTCTGTGTTTGTGCTTCAGTTTACTCATCTGTAAAGTACATATGATTGTAGTACTACTTCATTGTGTTGTTATGAGGCTTAAATGTTAAGTTTATGTATATGTGTGTGTAAACATATATATAATATGTATTTGTGTGTGTGTGTGTGTGTGTGTGTGTGTGTGTGAAATTTAGAAGAGGTCCTGGCATTCTTGAAGTCCTTTACAAGTGTTAAAATAAACAAAGATGTCTTTGTAACATTTCATTGAAGTAAATTTTTCACATAGTCATTATTTTTACTTATACAAACATCTTTTAGTTTACTCTTTGAAAGAAAATATGTGTGTTATATGTGAAGGAAAAATGTGATCATTAAATTAAACAATTAATCAAGATATAGCACTTTTAACTTCAAATATTTCCATTCATTTTGGCAAATATTTTACATATCTTATTTCTCCTATATTTTGGGCTTTGACTGATAGGCCCTGGAAACATAAAGAGAAAATAGATATGTTTAAGGAATCCATAGTCTGGTAGAAGAAACTAACATAACTATGTAATTAATCCACAGTGTGATAAATTCATTGAGAGACAGACACTATGTTAACATTGTGTCAATGAATACAAGACAGCACTTAGTAAAACCAGTGTTAAAATGACATAATCTAAGGTTTGGTTCTTAATTCTGAAGGCACTGAGAATTACTATTGGCCAGGCCCATGTGTCCTCAAGCTTAAGGGGCAAGCTTATGCTTTCTAAAGCAGACTGACATTCCAGAACACTACATTTTAAATTTCATTCACAGGAAGTCTCATCAAACAGAATTCTCATAATTAGTAAATGTGCATGGATGATTGGAGGAGTATGAGACTAAAGATTGTAAGACCATTTAAATTATAAAAAAAATCTAAGCAAGGCGTAACTAAAATTGGACAGTGGCAAGAAGAGTAAATAGGAAGGGTCACATTTTGGTGGTAAAAGGAGTATATATGAGGCAGAATTTGATGACCAAGAAGATATGGGGAATACAATAGGGAGTGTGAGAAGTCTCTGAGATGCTTGTATTTTGGTGACACTAGAAGTAATAGTGACATAGTATTAGAAAATAAAGAAAAAAACAAGAAGTTTATGGAAGAGAAAAGAGAACACTACAGGTAATGGTTTTCAATTTGAACATGCTGATTTGAAATATCATTGGGATAGTCACTGAGGAGTTCAGTAACTGATTGAAACTCAGGTAGGAGTTAGAGTTGAAGATAAAGATTTCCTTAACCATGCTAACTGAAGAGTTAGAGTAGTTGATCTCCTGCAAGAAGTGAGGTGTGAATTGAGAGAGAATATGTCTAGTAACAAAAATCTAGAAAATGCCAACAAGGAAAAATTAATAATACGGAGTGATCAATTGGACTATTTTTTTGCCTTTTTAAAAAACTATTCAGTATCTGACAATTTCTTGTTATTTAAGGCTAATCTTTAAAAATGTAGAAAGGGGCCCTGTTGTCCACTACAGAAGCAAAAATTGATCAATATTTTCATTTCTCTCTGCCTAGCAGCAAAGGGACAGAAATGTGGTCAAAACTAGTTTAACCACATTTTCCTAATTATGACTTTGGCTAGTGAAATATGGGGTAAGAAAACTGGGTAAACTGGAAGTTCAGAGTTCCCTGATAGTGAGAAATGCTGAGGTATCCCTGACAGGGACATAACCATTGTTCGGGGACTATGATTTTTTTAGTGATTTCTGTGGTCCAGCCAGCTTTCCAATAAATCACTTTTTCTAAGTTAAGCCAGAGTCGGTTTCTGGGAGTTAGGTATGGACAAGATAAGAACAGAAACAAAGGAAATAGACTTCACTGAAATTTAAGAAACACTATGCAAATGTCACAAGTAGTCAAATTAAATAATAAACATTATAATAATTGGTTGTTTTGTGGGATACAATTTTGAAAATATAGTATTCAGTTATGTGTATGTTATGTCTCACTGATATTGCTATGTGCTTTGTACTGAATTTAATAAATGAGAGAACTTTACAAAATGATTACCGGACACCTACTATGAGATACTTTGGCAGTGGGAATAAGTAATGAACGAGACAAGATACCTCCCCGCATTAGTAGAACCTGAAGTTTGTTGCCATTTCAGAATTTGCTGTTGGCTTTTTTTTTTTTTTTTTTTTTTTTTTTTTGAGCCGGAGTCTTGCTCTGTCACCCAGGCTGGAGTCCAGTGGCGTAATCTCGGCTCACTGCAAGCTCCAACTCCCAGGTTCACGCCATTCTCCTGCCTCAGCCTCCCAAGTGGCTGGGACTGCAGGCGCCCGCCACCATGCCCAGCTAATTTTTTTGTGTTTTTAGTAGAGGCGGGGTTTCACCATGTTAGCCAGGATAGTCTCGATCTCCTGACCTCGTGATCCAGCCACCTCGGCCTCCCAAAGTGCTGGGATTACAGGCGTGAGCCACCGCACCCGGCCCGCTTTTATAAATATATTGTGAAGTCCCAGATAAAGAACAGCAGTTAACGCTTTACCCTCCGTATTACTTATTACAAGCAACTATACATTGACAACCAGATGCTGTTAGAATTTCTTTTTAATTGATAAAAGTATTTACAAATTGTTGTCTTTATGATGTCTTATCATTTTAATTTATTCATTTTTTGGTTCCTTTTACAATATGCTCTATTTTTTATCCTTTCTTGAAAAAACAAGTGCTAACTTGTAATTAGTCATACCATTCAAGTCTCCAAGGAGAAAGCTGATAAATGTGAAGTTTTAGTTTGATTTAAAATGTGGATTCACAAGTAAGCACTCTGACTAAAAGCACCTTTCCTGATTTTACAGATTCTTTTCTGTTGATATGCTGAAGTGAATAAAGACAGTGTAAGACAGAGCCGTCCTTACCACTTGTCCGTAGCTGAAGTCCTGGGATAACTCTCTAATTTTATGTCTTATTTTAATCCATTGCTTTATATCAGAAAAGATAATTGTATTTTAGATTACATTTAAATAAATTAAAGATATTAATAGCATTTTAGCGACCTCATAATATTTTGAGATAATGCTTTCAGTATCCTCTTATTATTTATTTCAAGACTTGAGTTCCAATGCTAAAGAAGATTTTTTTATTTCAGCAATAACATTTGTTTATGTGTAGTTGTTCATACTGGGTACATTTCTTATATGATATAAATCTTTTGAAGAGAAAGAAGATAAAAATTTACACATTTCAATATATTTATTTTAAAATTAAACTCCATGAGTGGATTTTACTTCTCATTTTCACCTAGAACAACTTTTTATTTTAGGGAAGAGAATATGGGCCACTGGTTTTATTGTAAAGAGTCTTGATTTGAATTCATGTGTTCTGAATTTTAGTACTGTACTTTTAAATGGCATCTCAGAAGTGGGTCATTTTTCTTCTTTCTTCCTTGCTTCCTTCTTCCCTCCCTCCTTTAGTGTGTGTGCATCTACTATTAATTACCTAACTTTTTCCCACACTTCCATCATAGGAAATCTCAGAATCAACCTTTTATTTTCCTTCACATTCTTTCCTATGTCTGTTTTCTTTGGTGGCTTTTCAGAGGAGCACAACCTTCTGTATATTCCTACCTGGGAGTGACTTTCTGCATGCTGGGATTATCCACCCAAGACCCTACCTTTGGGGAGGAGGATTTACAGAAGACTGAGAAAAGATGAAACCTTCACTTTAGCCAATCAGACTTTCAGACCAAACATGAGGTTCAACAAGGTGATAGAAGTCACAGCCATATCACTTGCACATATGCAACTGAACTTTTGACCAAGTTCTTTGTATTTATTTTTTGCTTCCTTTCCATTCTTAGGGATTAAGTGGTACATAATATTTAAGAGCATGAGCTTAAAATCTGCCTCTATTACTTAAAACTATGTACTCTTGGACAAATTTCTTGCAACTCAGTTTCCTTATCATTGGAAAACAGCAATAGTGACTGTCTCATTGGCTTATTGTGAGAATCACATATATTACATGCAAAGCACAGAGAATGCTCCCTGGCACATAACAAATGTTCAATAAAAGGTATTCGGCCAGGTGCGGTGGCTCATGCCTGTAATCCCAGCTACTTGGGAGGCAGAGGCGGGTGGATCACCTGAAGACAGGAGTTTAAGACGAGCATGACAAACATAGTGAAACCCCGTCTCTACTAAAAATACAAAAAAAAAATGGCTGGGGTGGTGGGGGGCGCCTGTAATCCCAGCTACTTAGGAGGCTGAGGCAGGAGAATCAGTTGAACCCAGGAGGCGGAGATAGGAGGGAGCCGATATCCCGCCACTGCACTCCAGCCAGGGCGACAGTGTGAGACTCCATCTCAAAATAAATAAAGAAATAAAGAAATAAATATTTTAAAAATTTAAGTATTCTTCTTAGAGCAACAATAAAATATTTTTCTTATCTTCTATGTGAATTATGTTATTATGAAATTGTAACTGGGAGGCCTTATTCTCCTGAACAGTTGAGTCATATTCCTCTTTTTAAGTACAATTGACCATGTCTATGAGTTTTAAAGTTTCCACACTGCCTATGGAGTCAAATTTGTTTCATCTAATATTTAAAATATTTGCAATCTGGCCCCATCAGTCATTCAAGTCTCAATTCCTAGGGGATCAAAAGTAAATTTCAGCCACAATGGCTTACTAAATGTGTTATAAATAAAGTTTGGGCTTCCTTACGCTGTTGCTCAGAGATCTTATTTGACATGCCTTTAACTTACCTGCATGCATTTCAAAAGATTTATTATCATAATAGATTGTAAAAGGAAAGAGCATGTAAAAGGAATTAGCATAATCTAATATGTTTTATCCACCCAGGGCAAGGAATTTTGAGAGGCATTCCAAATATTTTGTTTCATTTAATTTTCCCAGTACAGTTCCCATCAGTGTTAGCCTGATTTATAGAAAAATTTGAATCTCTGAAATATTTTTATTTGTCACTTATACTTCAATAAAGGAAGAAGTAAAAAAAGAGTTATAAGCTTGGACAAGTTAAGTAACTTGATTGATGTGAACTCCATTGCCCACATGGTTACTGATGATCAAATAGCTAAGAATAGAAATGAAGCTAAATATCTTTTATTTCTTAAAGTTTAAGCCAAATTTGGATAAATATGAGGTATATATTTAACATTTTTATTTAAATTAAACAATATATTTTTCCTTGGCACGCTTCCCCTTTTTCTCCCCTCCCAAATCTAAGCTATTCTCTAGAATTTGTGCAGTTATAGCAAATTTGACCGATGATTCCATTTTTCTTTTCACAGAAGTATCGGAATGACACAGTCTAACATATTTCTTGGTATGCAGATCTTTGTTTGCTAGAAGGAGTTTGATTATATTTTCATTCTGTGAATTTCTCTAGAAATTATGACACTGTTCTTCCCACCCTTGCCAGTAATGTTAACGAACCTGGGTTTGTGAAAAATTTCCTCTTCTGTTTAGTCATTTCATTATTTTCATGATGTGTGTTGTTTGTATTTCTATCAAGTTGAGAATTTCAACAATTGGTATTGTTAAAAGCATAAAATGTGGTGTGTGTGTGTGTGTATGTGTGTATTTTGTGTGCCTATTCATCATACTGAACATGCAAATGTTTAATGTGATATTTCAACTTTATTTCTTATATTTTGTTTACTACATTATGGTATACCACATGAAAGTCCATTTTAATCCTATGGTTAATATTTCAAAAGTCTTATCAATTAGTTATTTAATACTTTCTAGTATCATTTTGAAATCCTGTCTATCAAGAGATCTGAGGTATAGATATTATATTTATGTTTTAGATGTTTAAAACCTTTTGTTTAATAACTGCTCAAAATTTGGGAAAGGTCATGGCTGAATGGCCTTGAATAACATACCTGAGTCTTAGGAATCTGAGATGAAAAGCTAGGGATAAATGATAGAACACTCTTTGTTCTATAGGAAGGTTTGTGTGCAGGATGAATTTATAGACATTTATCACATTTCTGAATGAACTCATATGTATAATAGTGTCAGTTAAAACTCCTGTCCTGGAATGATTCCAAACTAGATGGTGCTTTTCATTTATAACCTATATGCCCTTGGACATGTTTCTCAACCACTTTAACCTTAGTTTCTCATCTAAAAGTGAAGTTGATACTACTTTTTACCTCAAAGCAAAATGAATGGTTTCAGGTCTATGTGGAGCCCACAACCTTCATGACAGGAAAGTCAAAGAGACTGGCAGGTCGCATGTGCCAACTTTCCACAGAAATTTTGAGAAAGTAATCAGAAAGTCTAAGAAAAGACAGCTAACAGATTTTTTTTGTTCTATTTGCTCCTCAAGCTGAGAAACAAGATGGGAGCAAACGGGATCAATAAGCTTCCTTTAGGGGCAGAAAAGAGAAGACATTGGTTCCTATTTCACAGTGGATTGACAAAGGTGTTTCCGTAGGTAATAATGTTTTGGCTGAGAGATGTCAGTTAGCACAGGAAGCAACACAGTGGGATTGGCCAAAAAAGAAAAAGGATGATAATTATGTATTTGGAATTTGTCTGAATATTAACAAAGGTGGGGAAAATTTGGTCTATAATACACCTAGAATTGTTTTCTTCTTATTTAATCTGTTGGGTGTGTGAAAGGATGTAAGTGACAACCTCCAATTATTACAGAACACCATGTTTTACACCGTATTTACTCCAGTTTTGGATGATGAGTTCTATACCTAGCACAGATACATACAATACGTTGTAGAATTAAAAAATGTAGAATTAAAAAATTGGATAGATTATGTCATTGTTAAATAACATAAATAACTAAATAGCTAGAAAAAAAGTCTGAGCTTCTAGAGTAGTGTTTGCAAAACAAACTCTCAATAAATGCCTGTTAATAAATGCAAGTGGGATCTCCTAGTTGCATACATTGTTGAAGTATCATTTAACTGCAGAGAATAATGGCCAATCCAAGAGAGATTTTTTGCTAGGGAATTCTGTAATCTTGAGGTGCTCACACATGAAATAAACATTTATTCCCTATGAATTCTAAAATAAATATTTTATATAACTTTTAAATTAACATGAAAGTACCTTCAATTTTGCATGTAGGGATGAGAAGCCATCATATGCAGTGTGAAATCATGGAAGAAAATTCAGAGGCTTAGAATACAGTGGAGTTAGCTGCATTCCTGTAGGTGTTTAATCAATATTGGAGAATAAACACAAATAAATTGAGAACTGGGAAGTTTAGAGTAAATAAAGAGTATTGTTAATACAGCTAATTCTGTGTATATGTTTTCAACATGTCAAATATAAAATGGGCACAAATATTTAAATTGGCTAAAGATAATGTTGTTTGACTCTATTAAATGTTTATATGCACTCAACAATTTTGACTCACCAAAGTCCATCATTTTAAAACTGGCTACTCCTCTATTTTATGAGATTAAGAGTAATATGAGTATCATGTATTACTCATAAATGCTTGAGACACATTCTGGCTAATTTTGAATATTATAACCTCTAAGGAATTTTTTATAAAGAAAAATGAAAATTGTGATGGCAAATATATTCATAATCCTGCTCAATCAGCAGTTTTGCTGCTAGTAATGTTTGGATGCTCACAACAAGTCTACTGAATTGCTGGAGTGCAACACAGCTCGTTGGTTATTTTTGATTTTTTAATGCTTTCTTTTAAATAAGTGGCATTCAGCTAATTATATGACTAAAAATCTGACTCAACCACAGAGTTGTTAATTTACCAGCAACATGTGGACATTGTATTACTCTATTTTCCAGGGAAAATGTATATATATTCTTCCCCAGGAAAATGAACAAGCTGGACTCCTAAAACCACAAAGCGTTGTATTTTATGAAGTGTCTTCTGTCTTGTTATTTCCTGTACCTCAGTTACTATCCTTGACAAAGTCTGATTGTGCTCTGCTCAGATCCTCAAGACTCTGCATGTGGATTTGTTACTCTTTGATCTCCAATTGCTCCTTTAGTTAGCACCATACTCATTTAGCATTCATTAATTAAATCAAATATGTTGGTTTGTTTCCTAAATTAATCTGTTCTCCATAAATATTCTTATTCCATTAGCTTCTTTTTGCTTTCAAAGTGGAAAGCATTTATCTTTCAGCCTTCAGCTTTAATTGATGAGCATCTTACCACCTTTTGAGAAATTCATGACCAGAAAATCAAGAGTGGGTATTGGCAAATACGGATAGGGGGTGGGATGTTTAAAGATGTGGCAAGAAAAAGTATACAGTAATTGAGTGATTTTTTTCCTGAAGGGATAATTCAGCAGAATATATCATTTTTATTCTATTTAATTGGGTTGGTTTTTACTAGTTTTACTATTATAGTGAAAATAAAGTACAAATATTGTTTTCTCTACAATTGGAATCCTCTAAAAAGAAATTACTGAGGGTTTGTTTTAGTGGAAAAATATGTCCAAAGCCACTTCCCCAACAGGAACATGTTAACTGTAATGTTACATGTATTCTCCCTATTTTACCTAAAGAAGTGTCAGTAATAATGATGTCCAGAATATACTTTTCCCCATAGTATCCAAATTCATGTGATAACTAGCTTCATTAGGAGTTTAGATTACTTTTAATATTTGTGTAGAGCACATCTTAGGACTTTAAAATGATCAAGTCCTTGATCTTCCTTGAGTTCCACAAGAAGGTGTTCACTTTGACAAGTATTCGCATGCAGCAAATCTTTTTCTGGGTAGTCCTGTTTGTAATATTCTTACCATAATGAGAATGAATAATATCTAATAATAATTAGTGGTATGAATCATGAGTAGAAACAAATACATACTCTGTCATATAATATAGTGGATGTAATTAAAGATACCCAAATTGAAAAGATAATAATCTTTATACTTTCTAAATAATATTATTGTGTTAATATTTTTCCCTCAGTAGCTAACCCTAAATAACAGAGAATTTGAGATGAAATATATTTGTTGTTGTAGCTAAATATTGTCGGAGATCTAGGAAGTAACAAGATATATTAATTAAGAGAGATAAGGAACGATATATAAGACAGTATTTTTAGTATCAGAACACATACTTTACTTTTTAATTAAAATGTTTAATAATTCAATTAATGTGACAAAATACACAAGGAAGAGAAATGTAAGGAACTTTCATAATGTAGCCAAACATGCAAAAATGCAGAAAAAGAAAATCCCTTCCCTTGAAAGGCTGATAAAAGTATTAAAAATAGTTTCATATTTTCATGAAGGGTTTGATTGAATCGATTCAAACAACTTTTTCCCAATACAGTAAACTCTTGTTTATCAAAATCTAACTTTTCTTTTATCAACTAAAACCTACCTTTTTAAAAGCAAGTTAAAAATAGTTTTTTTAAAAAAAAAAATGAAGCTATTTTTAAAATCAGGTATAAAAAGGTCTATGTGACCGATCAAAGAAGCATCAGAAATTGGTTAAAGGCCAAATTCAAGGTGCTTTTCAAAGCTTTCTTCTAATATAAGAATGTTATATTAGATTATATAAATATAAATAACAGGTTATATAAACAACATCAGGCCCAAGCTCTTTTCAAAACCTTATGGCTCTAGTGGAGAAAACAGTACGGCATATTCTGTTCTTTCCCTACATATGCATTCCCCAGGGATGCATACGTCCGAAAAGGGAAAACAGATATTTTGAGGATGTCCTAAAATAACAGGAAGGCTGATATTTGATCTTATAGTAAGAGCTTTTCTATATTACTTAAAACCCCAGAAAGTCATATTAAATATGACATCTCCACTTTTCTTATTTTTCTTCCCCATTTAGACCTATAGAAAGCAATTGTAAATATGTTTGTGTAAAACACTATAAGGAATTGCACTTTTCCCCTAACCTCAGTGTGTAAGTAAAGCCAACTTTATTTCCTTACACTTACAAAGTTGTTGAAATGACTTAAGCTTTACAAGTGGTGCAGATTAGAATGTCAAGTCCAATGTGTTTTATTCACTTGTAGAGCAGCATGTGGTTTAAATTGACTACTGAATGGCCAAAGAACCCTTGTGAATTTACCATCATAAATTCTCTGATTACAAATTCAAATTGTGTGGTTTTATGAGATAATAGCAAAGGATATTCTTAGACAACAGGTTGAATTCATACAAGAGGCATTTTGAGCCCTGTACTGGGACTGTATATTTTTATTGCAGGCAGTATTCCTGCACGTGCGGAGACTTATTGAAAATGTAATCTTACCAAGTAGATGATCTTTTGGTTTTCTTTTCACATGGTTAAAAAAATGCTTATTTCCCATTCTTCTTTTCATGAACACCATTTTACCAGTGAATATTTCTTTTTTTTTCATTTGTCCCATTAATTTTTTCCTCTTCAGGTGTAATCTAGCTCCTGTGGTGGAGTTTGCTGCAGATGTGGGAACTAAATCAGATTTTATTACCATGAATCCATCAGTTGTACAAAGAGCATTTGGAGGCTTTCGAAATGAGAGTGACAGAGAAAAATTTGTGCATAGACTTTCCATGCTGAATGACAGTGTCCTTTGGATTCCTGCTTTCATGGTCAAAGGAGGAGAGAAGCACGTGGAGTGGGTTAATGCATTAATCCTTAAGAATAAACTGAAAGTGCGAACTGCCTATCCGTCATTGAGACTTATTCATGCTGTCAGAGGGTAAGTGACTGGAAAGGACCAGTTTGTCCTTGGCACAGTGGAACACATATAACTAAACATTTTCACTAGACAAGAATAAGCTTCAGTAAAATCTCCAAATGGATATATGTTTCCGTTATTTTATAATGGTTACTCTATTTACAAACTTGAAGTTTGTTTATGTACGATATGATTTTAACTCACCCTCTTTTTTGAAAAAGCAAATTGTTGAACCTGGCACTTATTTATGTGTGTTCATGAACAAACTACTAATTTTTATATTTTTGCACTAAAAAGTAATAAGAATTCATAGTAAAATTAATGAGCTTTGGGTAGGGAAACTACAACAGAAGTGCTGAATGGCTAGTGGGCAATATTGTGTAAGCATAAATGTTAGATATATTTAAGGAGCAATTAAGTCCCATCTGTAGCCAAGAGGCCTAGTAGTGAGAAAGGAGGCTGGCTGCGATAAAATGCCTTAATGCTTCCCCCCAAAGTCACAGATGCTGTTTTAATGAATTAAGCCAACATTTCCCTTTTATTAACACAAGTTCAGAAAAAAGCATTAAAATATAAACTCTTGCTTAAAAGTGGCAAATGACCAAAAGGCCAAATTCACTCATGCACACATATAAGTATGTAAAGTAGATAAACCACAGATGAGAAATTATGTATTTTTACTGGAAGTGTACTGAGTGTCAGATACTGTAGCTTCAAAAATGAAGAGCTGATCACTACCTTTAAAAAATGCATAGGCTTTATGGTACAGACAGAGGCATATACAATTCACTAGTGGCCTAATAGGGGAATATGTTGTCAGAGGTGTATAATTTGTCCCTCAGGTTCACAAAGACACTTGGAAAGTGGACCAAACATTTGAACTGGACTTTAAAAACAGAATAGCAATTGCCAGAGGGATAAAATAAAGAGAATAAGAAAACCAAACAGAAGGAAATGCTGTTGCATTATTAGAGGGTACCAGGTCAAGCAAATGATGAAGTGCACAGTAAACGTATGGAATAATGGAGTCTGTTGTGGAACATGGGAATACAAAGTTGGAAAAGTAACTTGGGATGTGGTTGAGAAGGGAATTGAGTTTATGCTCTATGAAGCACAGTTAGATGTCTGAATTTAAGAAGAAATCTTGTAACTGCAGACATTTATTTGACAGGGACAAGAAAAATGCCAGAGGCACAAAAACCAATTAGGCTTTTGATTAATTTACTCATAAGATAATAAGGATGTAAGACAGAAGCAGTGGACTTGGAAAGGAAGGGCAAGTTCAGGGGGCCAATTAAATACAATGGATACAAGTCCTGAAAAAAACAGGTTTCCAAGCCCAGACTTAAAAATAGTTTCTTATACTGTAATAGGAACTGGGCTAAGGTATTTTTGTTTTGTTCCTGAGATAATTTCCTGCAAGGATTTACCATTTCCTGTTTAAATCTCTAGATAGTTTCTTGTATTGTATTATTTTGCACACAATTAAATTACATTCTTTTTTTGTTTTTTGTGTTTTGTTTTGTTTTGTTTTGTTTTTTGAGACAGAGTCTCACTCTGTTGCCCAGGCCGGAGTGCAGTGGTGCGATCTCGGCTCACTACAAGCTCTGCCTCCTGGGTTCACGCCGTTCTCCTGCCTCAGCCTCCCAAGTAGCTGGGACTACAGGTGCCCGCCACCACACCTGGCTAATTTTTTGTATTTTTAGTAGAGATGGGGTTTCACCGTCTTAGCCAGGATGGTCTCGATCTCCTGACTTCGTGATCCACCCACCTCGGCCTCCCAAAGTGCTGGAATTACATGCATGAGCCACCGTGCCTGGCCTAAATTGCATTCTTATAATTAGATCATGTTTACTCAACACACATTCTCTTGGTGGTTGACAGGAAGTTTCAACAAAATAAGATAAAAATACTGCATTTGGAGAGTAAGTCACCGCCTTTTTTTTTTAAGTTACAAATATCCCTGGTAATTACAATTTGACTCTTAAAAAAATGTGCATCTTAAGAAACTGTAACATTACAGTGCATTGTGTTAAGAACATGTCTGTTTTTGTTTGGGTATCATGTTACTCTGAAAAACACCTTAAAAAGATAATGTTTCCATCTTAAACATACACACACACACACACACACACACATACACACACACAAACACATTCCAGTGATAGCAGATTAAGTTTTAGAAAGAAATAATCTGAAGTAAGTCCTCCCTGACTATGGAAAACTAATGAGAAAACTTAAGATTACTCTGAATTAGTACCTTTGTTTCCTAGATTTTGGTTTATATTTCTCAATCCAATACCAAAACCAAAGCATGAAATAAGAGGAGTGACTGCAGTAGTGCATTTTCAGTAAGTTAGAATCCAGATAGTGTTATATATGATTAACAGTGAATACACATGGGTTTTTACAGATATTTTAAACATAAACTTTGCAGATTCTTTTAGTAATTTAACAAGACTCCTATCTTTTGTCCTATTCACTTTTATAACCATTATAAATATAAACTACTTCACTAATTCCTAACCATTTTATTCCAAAGAGCAACAAGGCCAAACTTCTGACCACTGGTGAAAGGAATGGTATGCTTTTTTTGGTTACTATGAATTAGGCATATTTTCTAAACTGATTTTGAATTCTGTAGAAATAACTTCTCTCTCCACCTTCCTGTTCACAAATCTACATATACCCTCTTAAAGTGTCAAGGTATTGAGTTCTAAACTGTGGCCAAGAATAATGAAAGTAGCTCTAGAGAGGCTTGTGACTTTTCAAATAGAATGGAAATTTGTACACATGGTGTACGTGTGAAAGGCAACTTCATTTATGGATTTTATTGAAACTAATACATTGATGTATGTAAGATAGCGTTTTGACCTAATGTGTGTACTTGCTGCTGGAACTGTAAATGAAAATAAGGAAGTGTGAGCGCTGATGAAACAAAAATGATTTTTGTGATATGAAAGCAAAGGCAAACTCCCCAAAGAACTATTCTTTAAGTAACTGTTTTACATCTCCTTTGACTTACCTCTCTGAAACCCTGTGGTTAATACAGTTCAGCAAAATAAGAAGTTTCATATCCTCTGTTGATTACTGGAGTTGGTTGCCTCTCATGAGCAATTAAAGCACCCAAGACACAGAATTTAGGGTGTGTATAATCATAATGTTAAAATGTGAAGGCTCTTCCAAGTACTGCAATTAAAATAAAAAGTTTCAGTGATTTGTAAAACAAGATTCCTGAACACAGTGAGGATCATTTAGATAGTTTTCATATGGTCAGACATCATTACTTAAACATTTTGCCCTCCAAAAACTGTGATTCCTTACTAACTTTAAAAACCTATTTAATTTTAGATTTTTCTAAAAGCTCTAAAGATGAAACCATCAGTCACAAAATTCAGATACTCTTAGGTATTGTTGTAATATATTGTCATTCTTTTGAAACCATATTCAGTAAAACAGAAGGAAAAGATATATAGGTAGATTCATAATTTAAAAAGAATCTTGAAAAATAGTAAGAGAGTAATCTAATGGGGACAAATCAGATATATAAATTGCAAGTTTAAGAGAATGTATGAAAGCATAAAATTGGTGTGGGATTGCCACTTTTTTACTGGTATTTCTTCAGAAGCCCCACACATGGGCTGCATTTTTCAAATTAACATTTTGTATTTTTTTTTTTTAATAAAGAATGGAGCAATTTTGGGCCCAGTGCAGTGGCTCATGCCTGTGATCCCAACACTTTGGGAGGCCAAGGTGCGTGGATTACCTGAGGTCAGGAGTTTGAGACGAGCCTGGCCAACATGGCGAAACCCCGCCTCTACTAAAAATACGAAAAAGAGCCAGATGTGGTGGCACACACCTGTAGTCCCCGCTACTTGGCAGGCTGAGGCAGGAGAATCACTTGAACCCAGGGAGGGAGAGGTTGCAGTGAGCCGAGCTCATGCTACTGCACTCCAGCCTGGATGACACAGTGATACTCCGTCTCAAAAAAAAAAAAAAAAAAAAAAAAGAAGAGTGGAGCAAATAAGATAGTAAGCATGAAGAGGGGATTTGGGGACTTCAAAGTCATTTAAAAATTTGGCTACAAAATGTAAAATAAAAGCTTCTTATTTATACAGTTCTAAGAAAATTATTAATATACAACTTAATATCTTAATAACCTGTTTAAATTAATGACAGTTTTATATAATATTTTAAATTATTATCTAAGACATAGCTCAAATACATTTTTATAAAATACTTAGAGTTAGGTAAAAATTCTTATTTTACAGTTACTTTAATTTGACTAGTAATAACCAAGTGTTGTTTTTACTTTGGTGGGATGATTATACTTAATTTTCTTACTTTTAATATGGGAAAAAAACAAACATTACAGAAAGTGTATCCTCAGTTTCAATATCAAACTATGACGAGAATTTCTTAAGAATCCTTCCAAAAAACCTATAGATAGACAGATAGATAGAGAAGCATATTTTAAAATTATGTTTTATATGCACAAACCTAAATATGTTTTTATTGTAGTAGCTCTACAACTCGAATCATATGTACTCTTTTGCACTTTATTTTTTAAATTAACATGACATTTTCTCAACAACACATAAATACAGCTTGTTTTTTTTAATAGGAAAGTATATTCCATTATATACTTTTCTATAATGTATTTAACCAATCTTGTTTGATGGACATTTGTAGTACTTCTCATTTGTTCTTGTTGTATATAATTTTATTTTGTTATTAAAAATATTTTAAATTATAGGAAAAATGAGAGGTAGGGAAAGGAAAGTAAATATACAATTCTGGTTAGCTGATTTTATAAACTAATAGTATATTTTAAAATATAAAATTAATGTAAAGCTTACAATAGGCCGGGCATGGTGGCTTATGCCTGTAATCCCATCACTTTGGGAGGCCGAGGCGGGTGGATCACTTGAGATCAGGAGTTTGAGACCAGCCTGGCCAACATGGGGAAACCCCGTCTCTAATAAAAAATACAAAAATTAGCCAGGCATGGTGGCGCATGCCTGTAATCCCAGCTACTAGGGAAGCTGAGGCAGAAGAATCGCTTAAGCCCAGGGGGCAGAGGTTGCAATGAGTTGAGATCATGCCACTGCACTCCACCCTGGGCAACAGCATGAGATTCCATCTCAAAAAAAAAAAAAAAAAAAAAAAGTATGGTTACAATAATAATTCTGAACAAATAATTATATATAAACTAGTCTTATATTACCTTTTCAAATACAATATCCTGAAGTAACAACAGTTAATATTTACTCTTATTCATCTATCCTTTTTGTCTGTTTATACATATATATACACACACATGTTATATATATATATATACACATCTACACAATATGGATTCATTTAGAATGTGTTTTTTTCCCACAGAAAAGGGAATTTTAATAAACACAGAGGTATGGATGGGTTTAAACCTACTGAATACTGTATAATATGTTCCCTTCTGAAAATATTATCTGTATTCAGATATTTTAATTTTAAACATTAAGCTTTTGATCTGTTGATATTTGAGTCTGGGAAAAAATGTTAAAATATTTACGTTTTAATTCTTTGGCCCCTGCTAATTATTATGAACTATTATTAAAAGATTTAAACCCAAAATGAGATATTTAACTCAATTATCGTATAAATTTTTATGGCCCCTTAGTTTTTTTTTTAATTTTTACTTTTTTAAATTCTACTATAACAAAAGTAATATATATGTACCATTTTGTCACTACATTATAAGTAGTAATTTGTTTTAATATAATGGAGGTTATGCTCTCATTAAATTAATAAGCTTCTACTTTGTATTAATCAAGATAAACACTTGGAATGAGTACTCACAGATGACATTGATAAATGTATATAATATTCTGTGATGTCACCATCATAGTAAATAATTCTAAAGTTATTTACCATTTTTAAACTTACATCTTTCTCAAAAAATTTTTAAAGATATTTCATATAGATTTTTAAAATTTTGATTCCATGTGTAGTAATATGGTGCAAAAGTAGTTGTGGGTTTTGCCATTGAAAGTAATGGCAAAAACTATGATTCCTTTTGCACCAGCCTAATAGTTTTTGTTTTTGTTATTTATCTTTCAGTGGAGAATACATAAGATACCTGTATACTTAAAAAAATATAGTCTTTTGTAGTGATTGCAAAGGACGAATATGTGTAAGATAAATGGGCTACATAAACTGCCTTAGATTTGCCTGGAATTAAGAATTTTTGTTTTTATTAGAAATACTTGGTAAACATCTCATGCCCTACAACAGTGTTTTTTTGTTTGTTTTTTGTTTATTTTTGTTTTTTGGGTTTCTTTTTTGAGACAGAGTCTCGCTCTGACGCACAGGCTGGAGTGCGGTGGTGCAATATCGGCTCACTGCAACCTCCGCCTTCTGAGTTCGAGCGATTGATTCTTCTGCCTCAGCCTCCCCAGTAGCTGCGACTACAGGAATGAGGCGCCACGCCCGGCTAATTTTTTTTTTTTTCTCTATTTTTGGAAGGGATGGGGTTTCACCATGTTGGCCAGGCTGCTCTCGAACTGCAACCTCAGGTGATCCATCCGCCTTAGCCTCCCAAAGTGCGGGGATTACAGGCGTGAGCCACCGCGCTCAGCCAGCAGTGTTTCTTAAATTCAAGCTCACATATGTATTTTGCAGGTTCTGCGAAAATTTTCTTGATTTTAAAGAGGATTTGAACAATTCTAACTAAGAACACTGACGTAGAGAATTTTGAAGAATTACGCAGAAATTTGATTTCCAAGGAAGACGAAAACAAACCTTTCCTATTCTGACTTTAGACAAGACTGTTTAAATCCTTGAGTGTCAGATTTATAACCATTAAAATATACGTACCAATGTATATAATCGTATAGATTCCTTTGGGCTCTAAGAATCACTGGTTCTGAACTTTGTCCTTACACATGGGAATATTCAAACTGTCACAAAAAAACTCTTGTCCTTAATTAAACATCCTCAGGAATGTATTCTCTGTAACTTCCTAAACAGGTTCATTAAATTTTTGGTAATTATGATAATAAAGATAGCTTTCTAAAGTATTTCTTCTTTAAAGTCATTTTCTCTTGATATTTATTCTTTACATGTTTCAACACCACAGTTAAGTTAACCCAACATCATCTAAATGTTTACTTGACAGCAGAAGAAATATATATAAGAAATATATATATTTGAAATATATAAGAAATATATATACACACATAGACACACATAGTTACACATTCATATATATAAGCATGTATATATACCTAGGTAAATATTATATAAAAAGAATAGACAGACATGTTTGTTGCTGAATTTGCCCTTTCTTTGATTTCTGCAATTATTAATTTTTTTAAAAATGCGTAACTTTTTTGATAAATGTCAATTGTGGAAAACCTATATCTGAAGTAGTATTTATTTGTTATATATATGAAAAATAAAATTAGTATACATACATATTTACTGTTATATATACACACACACTGTACAGACTTTATATAGTCTATACTCGCGATATACTTTCTTTGTAAACACACACAAAACATATATATTAATATATTATATACAATTCTATGTATTCTCTTGCTGTTTCTCTGTCTCTATATATACTATACAGAGTATATATACTCTGTGTGTATATATGTGTATATTCTTTGTATATATACACACACTGCACATATATAGATATACTGTAAATAATTTACACATACTAACAAAGTATAAAATATACAAATATGTATTTTATATAATTATATAATATGTAATAGTATACTCATAGTATATATGTTTATTATTCTATACAAGTTACTTTGTTAGACGTTTTGTATGTCAAACATAGTGCCAATATATATTGATTTTCTTGTAATAATGGTACATTACTGAATCTTATTCAACTGTGGTCACTTAGGATTTTCAGAAATCAGTTTTTCCATGCTTAATGTATAGTAAATATCCCCCCTTTTATATTTCTGTTGTTGGTGTTTGACATGCCATCTTGAATTTATTTGTAGTAATTTCATCTTTTGTTTTCAAGTAGATATTGTTTTACATTATTACTTTAAGTGACTAAATAACTTTTGAAAAATTTCCTCATTCAGAATATAAGATAATAGTCTAATTGATTTACATACTTTATATGCAGTATCTTTTTTGCTTCATTATTTTTATTAAATAAAATTACAGTGAACAAGAGGATATCACTTAATGTACCCGCCCAGGATTCCCAGAGTTTTGCTAGAACATTGATATTTTATTTTGGCATACCTTTCTAAACTACCTGTGCCCGTACTTTACACCACAATGATCAATTCCATAATTCCTAGCTAAATGTAAGAGGGAAAAATTACGTCTTACGGATATCAAGTGACATATCTAGCTAACTTCTCATCTGGGTAGTATTCACTCTGTTGAAAAATATTTAATGGTTATTAAAAGAATGAAAGCACACATTAGTTGCTTTGGTAGAATATTTTTTATGGTTTCTAACAAATAAACAGATTATATTTTCACACATCATCCATCAACTTTTTTTCAGCATTAAGACTAACAAAAATATCATTTCTCAAATGTTAGTTGCTGCACTCATCTTTCAGATGTAAAAATTCATTTTAAATGAAAGTAAAGGTTAAAGTCTATATAAAATGAAGATGACCTTCTGCAGGATAACTTCATGTGAATGTCATGGGTTTGCAGAAGGATTTGAATCAGACCAGGCTCCCAATAGTCTTTAGCAAAACTATAGGCTAAAATACATCATCAATAGACCTCAGGAAATCAAGTTTATTAGTCACTCTAATGGATTGTTTTGGAGTATTCAATCAACTCAAGTCACATAAGGAAAAGCAATTTTAAAAAAACAACTTTGAAAAGAGAATATTCACTCCAAGTGCTTTCTGAAAATGGCTTACTTGTTTTAAAATTAGTCTTATGCTAAAAATATTTCCATATGGTTTCTATTTTGACCTATGAGCAACACAGCTGTAATATTTCTTTATAAAACATGTGTCCTAGTTTAATGTTTTTGAGTAGCTAGATGCCGCGTATTAGGTATTTTAAACCAAAGGAGATTTCCATGAAAGGATATTTCTTTCCTTACTGGCAGACTCTGATATGCACACTTCCGGAACTTCAGTGTTTCCTGATATTTTAATCTGGTTACCCTTCAGTCACAATGTTATTTCCTAGCAGATCCCGTTATTCATATTGCATTGTGTAATGTGGAAGTATAAATAGTTTATGTCTGAGAAGATATTCCCAAGTGTGTGGCTCAAACTGGAACCTATGGAAAACAGCTTTCATTCTGCCCCTGACCAATATGCTTCCCAGTTCTGGTTATCTCTCACTGAGACTAAAAGGCTTTGCGAAATATCTAGAATTTCTTTGGAAGAGTAGTTAAGCTTTCATAGCACCCCTGTAACATTGGCAAATTTGGGCTTTCCTTCTTGGTATGGATTTTTCTCTCTTCTTCACATAGATCATTTTTTATTCCTTCAAGTCTCAATTTAAAGGTTAAGTTTCAATTGGGCATCATTTCTCACTCTTTTTCCTTTTGGTGAGATTGACCTGGGTTTCTGCTCTCTGTATTCTCTTCTCAAGGGATGTATTTCCCTTTTGGAACATTCTTCATAATGTATGACTATTGTTTATTTTCAACTCTGTAGGTTTATTTTAAATTTTTTCATAGCAAAGATTGACTTATTCATCTCTATAACTAATAAGAAGCATAAATTCCCAGTATATGTTACGGTGGAGGTTGAGGCACATGTGCAAAGGGGTGGGGAATAAAAATGGGCAAAGTTGTGCTGAAGTTAGACATTGCAATTTGGTTCAGTTAGTTCTCTAGAGCAATTCAAACAAGCAGGGAACCAAGCAGAATTGAGGAAGAGGTTTTTTTCATCGATCTGGGTAGCACTAGAAATTATTTTCACTAGGCAGTATTGTGAAGAAGAGGGAAACTTTCAAGAAGGAAGGCTTGAATTCTAAATAGTGAGGATGTAATCTGGATAGTTTGTTTTCCTGCAATTTATTATTAATCAAACTATGTATCAACTTGTGCCCTGAATCTACTAAATTATGAAATTAATGCTTACTAAATTTTACCTGCCTGTGGTGTTGCTAGGGTAAAAATAAAAGAGCAAGTTCTGATAAGAAAAGTAGATGAATCATAATAATGAGGCATGACGCATGGGAGCATCCAGTTTGACCATCTATAAATTCATCCTGGCCACCTGAGAAAAGTACCCTAGATCTATAATTTAGTAACAGTTTTCTCTTGGGTGTTATCTTTCAAAATCTGCATAAAGAAATCAATCCATTATTTTTTAATATTAATTTATCATGGTGTTCAATAGAGGAAAAATCGTTACTAAAAATATTTTAGCTGGGGAAATAAATTAATTGTCATTATTTTATAAATTCTAAGACTAAAATTTCATAATCAGAACAAAGCGCTATACTGCTATATTAACGAACTACAGGGAAAGCTCAATAATTTGTTCTATTACCTTTTACTTTCAAGGCTCAATCTTTTAATGAGTGATAGAAGGTGCACAGGTAACCTCGGAAATTCCCTTGTTTATTTGACTTTTCAGGAGAAAAGAACATTGATCAATATGCAAAATATATACTGAGTTAATTTGCATTAAGTTATTCTAATTTAAGTCAAGATGACTGGTCGATTACGCATTCAGAGATTTCTTATATATAGTAAAATAATTAATATATTTTAACTAATTATTAAATATTAAATAGTTGGGAGTTTAAAGTTAAATGCAAATATAAATTTTTAGACAGTGAACATGACTAGCTACTTCCTGAGTTTGTGGAGAAAAGTTATTTAATCAATATTCCCATAAATCTTTGAAAACATTACAGGTCCTTATCTTCTTCAAATGATACAAGTGTACTTTAGCTTGAGTGTAATAGTTTAGATTAGGTCTTTTGTTTCTATGTGATTGATCATGGTCAGTTAACTAACTCTAGTGTCTCATGTGGTTGATCATATAATCACAGCCTCAGGCCACAACTTCCAAATTATGGCTATCGCCATTTGTCAAGCCAGCTCAACATACAAGAAGTAAGTTAGAGAATAAGGCAAAAGACTTGGGGCTTGACCACTAGAATTGCCATGTAGGAAACAAGATACTGATACATTCTGCCAACTTTTTCAGAGACTAGTGTGCCATATCAGATTCCTATTGGTAAGAGATCAAAGAAAGAGTCATTTCTGTTTCTTTTTCTCTTTGCTCTAAAACCTTACCCCCCAAATCATTTAAAAACCTGGATGAGTAAATACATTGTAGCAGAATAAGTTTAAAGCCTTTAGCTATAAACTTATTTTTAAAGTGGCTTTAACAATCTTTTTCAGTTATTTGATTACATAAAGGCAAGTATTGGAGCCACATTCACCAGAGGCAAGCTGGAAGTTTTGTTTCTTACAGTTTCCAGTTTGAGCCTAACACCTATGACTGACTTCTTAGAAATAAGCCATTTACTTTTTCACATTCCATGGATAAAATAAATCAAAAAGAATATTCAGACCTACAAGAGAAGAATCACAAAATAGAGCCCTGGTGAAGACCAGTATCCAGTGCAGGAAGTAAAATCAAAATGCAGTGCCCTGATTCTGATACCTCTGGCAGCCTCCCCTCATCAATGTGTGTCCCAAATAGCCAGGGTTATTCTATGTTCCCCACTATTCTGCTGGATGAGATTTCTTGTTTATGTGTTAGTAGGTGCTTGTACTCTCCCTTCAAGATAGTACATTTATGATTGAGTATGGTTTTCTGAAGATCATATTTAAACATAATACATGGTGGTTGATATATGTGGGAAATATTGTTCAATAGTTTCTTTTGAGATCAATCAAATCACATTATATACGATGCAAATTCTTACACAACTGTTTCATCCAGATGATCTTATGCTGGGGCTGTCACCTGTGGAGCATAAGTGAAAGCAAAATTATAAAGTATTTGCTCAGTTCTTAAGGAAGGATACTTGCCATCATATCTTAGGAACTCTGGCCCTCTAGTATAACATTGTGCCTATTTGTTGGCAAATTAGGGAGCCATCCAGATGGTACCATTTTTGTACATTCCGTGAAGAATTTCTGTCCCTCTTAAGACCTTGCTTCAATATAACTGGAAAGGCTTTACGTCTCAATGAGCACCACCTAAACTTCAAATATTGGAGAGAGATAATAAAATGCGTAAATACCAAGTAAGGTGTAAATAACTGATAGCTAATTCATTCTTAGGGGCAAATAAGTTGTTGAGATTAAAAGAAGGGATTTATAAGGGCCCTATGAACATGTTTTGGGAATTTGCAGAGCAAGAAGTGGAAAATATGTTGGAGCAACAGTATGGCTGACTTCCATTCCTCATGATAACGCATACATTGCATCTTCATTCAGATGGATCATGGTTAGGCATCATAGTTAAGCTCAGTAACAAAAAATTGTAAGTGACAAATCATTGCTCTGTATTGTGTAAATGCCTGCTGCTTTTTTTATTTTTACATGAGTTTTCAACACCAGACTTCATTTCTTCAGCAATGATATTGTTTAGCTATATCCTCTGGTTAAGTTTTCCTGGTGAGAATACAAGTCGAATGCTAGCATCTTAAGAACTCAGTTACAAACACTCAGTTCTTACCTGCTTCCACTTTTATCCTCCAAACCATCTTCCAGTGACCATGTTGATAGCTGAATGGAATATGTTGCAGAGGGAGATTGTGCTGGCAGTTGCTACCTTATTTCTAACTAAGAATAAACTGATTTTGTTTCAGACAATATAAACTTTTATTGTCAACATCAAATTGTTTTCATAATGAAAGTATGGTCTATATTGCTTTTCCCATTCTCTAATTAGTCATTTAAAGTACACTCCTAAAGAAAATATTGCCTTTTGATGTCACTCTAGAGATAGTAAAATCAGTGGAAAACTGTCTTTCTTTAAAAAATAAACAAAATGATAAAGTGATGATATAATAAAGTAATTAGGAATTCTTAGGTAAATAGCTTATATGGATTTCCCTTAATAAATTATTGGCCTTTATAATAGGAGCTTCCTTGGCCTTTATACAAATTTCAGCAAACTTTACCAGTGTTCATTAAGCTATAGCATCAAGCAACTGAGTTCAACTTTAAAGCTTCCTTGTTTTGGATACTCAACAATATTTGCATCAGTTACAAACTTGGATGAAATTAAATAGCTAAAAGAATCATGTGACTGAATGTATCATAACATAATCTAGCATGGCACAGATTCTACTTTACACTATTAATATATTTGATAATTTGATCTAATAGAAACTAACTTTTTTTTCTTTTCACTGGTGAATCTTAATTAAAGTAAAATCATTACTTGCAGCTAAAGTTCTGATTCTGCATTTTATTCAAATTATGATCATATTCCTCTCAACAGAATTCAGTGAGCTTTTTGCAAAAACCATTTTATAGGCACATATAAAATCTACAATATGGCAAGCTAACCTTATACCAAAATATATGTTTCTCAATACTGCTTGAAAGAATTGTACAGTCATTATAAATGTTAATAGCCCCTATCTGAGAATAATAAAAACTGGGGATAGTGTTGAGGTGGGATGTGGGCAGTTTATCAAAATTTTCAGCTTTGTTTTTGCTTCTTAATAGTCAACTTTTGTTTTTGTTTTTGTTTTAAAAAAAGGAACTTGATACTTTGTGGAATCCATCTGTGCTATAATCAAATAATCCATCAGCAAGTCTCCATTAATAAACGTCGCTACCAGGAAGAATCAATGTTGCTAAAATTTTGTTCTTTGCTCAGCTCACAATTATTTCCTCTTTCTGTTTTCTCTGGAACAGATGCATACACCAGAATTGCTGTCAGTTTCAAAATTAATAAGCTAATTATTTTATGAGAAATAACACAGAATATATAAATACAAATATTTTAGTAATGTACAAATTGCAAATTCCTATCAGACTGAATAAAAGTGAAATACAGATATTTTTCATTAAAAAATTCTATTGAAGTAGTAAAATATTTGAAATCACATAATTCCACATTTTGAAATATGAATAGAAGTGTTCCTGCTGTATCACGTTCATTCCTTCTATAAACATGTATAGATTGCTATACTGCGCTAGGTCTGAAGCTCCAAAGAAGAAAACAAAGCAGGGGCTTCCTCAAGCAACAAAACCAGCTTGGTAGCCAACAAGATTACATAGGGAAGTGACAAGGTAGTTTTGGAATGCTAGATCAAGGGATTTGGCAAATGCATGTAATACCTCTGGTGGATGGGACATGTAATTTGTCACTGATTAGAGATTCACAGAAGAGATTCCAAACAGTATTAAAGATCAGCTAAAAGTATAGGCTAAGAATTTACAGTAATGCCTATCCACAAATTGTGTCAGAACTATGTTACCAGTGGAGGGTGTCTAGGTTTTTGGTGTCTTGAACAAATAATTGGACAAAACACACAAACAAAGCAAGGAAGGAATGAAGCAACAAAAGCAGTGAATTATTGAAAATGAAAGTGCACTCCACAGGATGGGAGGGGGCCCAAGCATAGGAGCTCAATAACTGCGCTACAGAATTTTCTAGTGTTTAAATACCCTCTAGAGGTTTCCATTGGTTACTTGGTGTATGCCCTATGTAAATGGAGAGGATATTTCTTGTCATAGCTGAAGTGTTTCCATTTGATTTAGTTCTAAGAAGTCAGCGTGAATTGGCCTTATGTTCCCTGCCTCCAGACCCTATCCTCCTGCCTCAGCAATATACTGCATAATTGACCTCTTTTTAAAGAAATAAGCATAATGACTCCAATACCTATGGCTTGAATAAAAATTTGTGTTGATCCCAATTTACAAAAGTCCCAGTTTACAAAAAGCATCAGGTTCCCAACCATAATTTTACATACTCAACTTTATTCTAGAAGGGCATGGAAGGCAATAAGAGTAAACAGCTATGCAACTATGGAAATCAGTAACCTGTGTAGAAATTACCAACATGACAACAAAAATACGTTCCAAATAGATTTATGAACCTCTCTTCTTTCTTTATCATGATGTACAGTAGGTTTTGCATTTCCCTTATTTTGGCTTTCTCATTTAACTTGGTGTGCACAGGAAATAAGTTTTTGAATGTCTTACTGTGACACTGAGTGTGATAATGAGGAGGCATACTGTGATTGCAAATGGATTAGGTGGGGGCCAGGGAAAGGGGTACTTACTAGAGAATAAAACACACAGAAACAATCTTTTTTGAAAAAACAAACTATCTTCATTTGTTTTTATTGTTTGGAATATATGTAATAAGAAAACTTTGGGGACTTTTTTTTTTTCTTATATTCTTAAGTAACCTAGAGACAAGAATGTTATAAGAAAGAATGTAGGCTGACTGGAAAAGAGACCCTAAGGAAGACAGAAAGCTCCAAAAATGTTATGGGCTAGTCAGGAGATAATATAGGCATTCATCTTCCTCTACAGTAACTTGTGTGTTAAGAAATGACTTTGCCTTATTCAAGCACTGTGAGTCATGATGAAATGAACCGCTTGGGGGAATTTTGCAACTCGCTCAATGTTCTGACCCTTTTCATATTTAGGTATGATTGGGGATTTTCTAACCAAGCTGATGATGATATTAGGGAACATTTTCATAGCTTGTTCTTTAGTCCATTAGAGCAACACATTGAAAACTAGTTTCATGGTATCCTTGAAAATTCCCCAACTTGTACCCTAAAAAAAAACTCTAAAATTGCCATGTGCATATGTATGTATATACACACACATATATATAAATAGACACACATACACACACATAAATATTTCATCAAACAACTGTATGTATTCTCTGCTTTGGATTTCTTTAAAATAGCACTACAATCTTGTTAAAATAAGTAGAAAATACTCTAAAATGTTAAAATAAAAGGGTGAAAGGAAATTTATAAGAACTTGGAGAAATCTAAACACATTTGAAAATTCTCATTTCAGGTATTAGACAATGTTGCTGTGTCTCACTGATAAGACCAAATAAGATATGACATGATATAAAAGTTTGGGATCAGGAACAGTTTAAAAAAGACTCCGTATGAATTGAAAATATTAAAAGTATATATTTTTATTTAAATATATGTATATATTATATGTAGCTAATGCTTACATATGGAAAATATTTTCATGATTTTTTGACATAATCCAGTTAAATTTCTTATTTTATAAAGGAAACTGTTGCAGCCCAGAGTCTCATCTGCTCAAAAATAGACACTCAGTTAGTGGCACAGTTAGAGTTGCTGATTCCAGGAGCAGCTCTCTTTAGACCAATCTCACTATAGAACAGTGTATCTTTATAATAGCATGGCAATATTTGTGCCATTTTATCATTTCTTTTTGATGTATGATTTTTCAATATAATAAAACCTATTGATTTAGAGACCCTTGTATGTATTGCCAAAATAATATTCAGAAAGTGAGTGCTTTCTATTTATATAAGTTATCACAGATCTTGAGCTGTTTCTGTCTTGTGTTTCCTGGCCAGAGATAAAGAGAAGATTATTTTTCATAGACAAGAAGAGGAAACAACTAAATTAATTGCCTTTGTAGCTAGGGATTTATAGTTCAAACTTTGGACCCAAGTTTTTAAATAATTCTAAAATAGGATTTCAATGGTTATTTTTTCAATTTAACAAAGAGAACATAAATTCTATAGCTGAGTTCTGAAGCATTTCATTAAATTTAAGTTCATTTATCTGCTCAGGCTTTCAGCTGACATCTGCAGAGCAAAATCAAGATCTTTTCTGGCAAATTGATTGATGGTGTGCCATATTATTTATAAGGCTCAAACTATGTACATTTGAAATATTTTCATTTAAATGAAATTTGAAACAAGATATGAAACCTTGCAATATGTATTTACCCAGAAAACAAGTGAAATTCATATCATAATTAAATATAATTTTTTTGCATATTCTAAGTTGGCAAAAGGTTATAGAAAAATTTTTAAATGGGTGGGTGTGGTGGCTCATGCCTGTAATTCCAACTTTTTGGGAGGCCAAGGTAGGAGGATTGCTTGAGGCCAGGAGTTTGAAATCAGGCTTTTCAACATAGCAAGCCCTCATCTCTACAAAAAAGAAAAAAAAATTAATGTTCTCTTTTAAGTGCAAGTTTTGTCACTATGGTTTAAATCATTTTGCTAGGAAGTTTATAATGTGGATGTCATAGTGTTGGAAACTGAATGCCACCATTTTATGATTTGCTGAAATTACCCAGTAGCAATTTTATTTTCTATTGTACATATTTGCTAGTCTATTCAAAGCAAATATTCATGAAGCTATAGCAAAAGAAACTGCCAGAGAATAGCTTCTAAGCATCTACAGTGTTGATGACTTACAGTGAGTCTCTGGAATTCACAGAAACATTTTCATTATAAATTCAGATTAAATTAATTACATTCTTATAGATAAATAAATACTTGTAATATAGTGACTTTTAATTTGATATTTAATTTAACAGGTTTTTTTTTCTCTAGTGCTCCAAATTTAATCAGTTACTAATGTTTTGACTGGAATGAAAAAAATACATAATTTACATATTACTTCTGGCCAAGATGTATTTTGGTTATGTTATTTGATGTGTATTCGTTAGCAGTCTAAGTAATGTAACATTGGTCTTCATTAAAATCTCTGATTTCTTTCATTTATCTTATAGAAACACCATACTGTAATTTCTGTTCCTTCTTCTGGTTGTAGAAGAGAGGTAGCAGACTCATGACTCACAGTTTGACTTGGCCTACTGACCTGCTTAATAACACAGATATTTAAAAATGAAATTAACTGTCAACATCTAAGTATCATGAGATTTTTCAACAGACATTTCAATATCTGGTGATTCTTTTAAAGATCAGAATATCTGGCAGTCCTAGATCTCTATTTCTTCATGATTATGGTGAGGCAGACCTAAATCGTGCTGTCTTCTATACTCTAGGCACTGACATCCTGTCCTTCACAGTCCCATGTACCGCTTTGTCTCATACATCCTGATAACAAGCCTGATTCATTCATCCTACTTTCTGGTTTTATCCAGCTCTCTAACCATTTGTTTTACTATTCTGCCTTATGAGAGTAGAATGAAGTATAAACATATATGGTAATTGATTCAGACACTCTCAGAAATGGAGAATACTGCATAGTTTCCAATGAATATCTCATTTAAAAATAATGACATTAAGACATTCTTGGGCAGATTAAGTGACTTACTAAGACAACATATACAATAGCTAGGTATCAAATATACATCTTTCGGCATGAGTTTAAGAAACCAAATTTGAAACAGTTGCAAAAAAGTAGGCCACATTTCACCAGTAGAGATTCCTTTCAGGCAGTGTGTGCTAGTAAATGTTTCACAACTAACTCTCTGGGAAAACAAAGTGGATTTATAGCATTTGCTGATTTTCATAATGTAAATACTCCCACCATGCCCAATTTCAAACTAATGAGGAGATGACAAGCAGCTCACAAAATTCCAAAAAAAGAAAAAATTCACTGTGGCTCTGTGGATCAGTAAGGGCCAGCTCTAGCACATCAGAATAAACATATGGTTCAAGGAGATTCTTGTGTAAATTGGGTGAAGAAAACTGCAGCTATTAACATTCAGGCTTAATAAATGAAATCATTTCTATCACACTGGCACCTCAATCAGAAATGTCTATCTCATGTATTAGAATATTTTCTTTAAATTTTAGCTGTCATCATAGTTTAGATTGGCCAATGCAATTGCACTGGCAACAGTGATATCTGTAAACACAAAGTCAATAGCTTTTACAGACTTCATCACTTCTGGTTTATTACACCAATCAAATATCAACATGTGTAATGGATACTTTATATAATAATCCCTAAAGTGGAGTCTCTAAATATTTTGGACAAAGAAAAAGTATTTAAATTCTTCATCCTCCTATTGAGTTTGGACTGGCTAAATGCTTTTGAAACTAGTTCAACACTGGCTCCCTAAAGCACTTGTGACACTTACTGATGACTCAGGTTTTGCAAGTGGAAAGTAGAGCTAATGATCAGAATGGTATCTTATTTCCCTCAGGTATTACGGTGTGTGTGTGTGTGTGTGTGTGTGTGTGTGTGTGTTTTAGCACTAATGAGAAAATTCCCTAGACTTCCTTTAGAGTTCCTATGTGTAAAGTCAATAGCGATAAGTGACGTGGGAGTATTTTAACCTGGAAATTGGAAAGTAAGTCTCCAAAGTATTACATTTTAACGTCAGTACGGAACAGTAGCAATTTTCTCTGATGGATTTTATTTTTTTCCAAGTTTCAGTCAGTGTTTTCTACCAAATCTAAGTAAAAAATTGAATCTGGAGATAATGCTTTTAGAATTTAAAAATTATGAATAATTCAAGTTGATTGTTTAAATTTCGTTTTCTTTAAAAAAAATTATTTGTCCACCTGGGAGTTATGAAATGATATCTTTAATTTGCCAAGTTGGAGAAGTCAACGTGAGATTTAACATTTGCTGTAGAAAAGTGAAAGTTATTTATTTCTAGGTTATACTTAGTAAGGAGTACCATATATTTAGTTGAGAAAGCATGTGAACCTTCCTTTCTACATTCAATCTTAGGTTTCTTTTCTATGTATTTTTATCCATTAGTAGTCTACCGTACCTAATGACAAATCTCAGAACAATGCAAAAAAAAATGAATGCAGCATTCAACCATGGCCAAATTAATAGTAATACTAGAGATCCAGCTCAACGTGGTCTTTAGGGGCACAGATTCTGGAGCCAGATTACTTTGTAATTCCCAGTTCCACATTTTACTAGCTCCATGACTTTGTGCCAGTTAGTTATTATCATCCCTTATCTGTAAAATAAGATTATTAAGAGTGTCTACTCATAGGGCTCTGAGAAATCATTTGAGTTATATGCAAAGCGTTTAGAACAGTGCCTGGCACATTATAAGTGCTAAATAAGGCTTATCTCTAATTAATACATCACTGAAAAATAGATTCAGTAAATTTTCCTTTGGGTAATTAAGCAAAGCTCATTTCTCTCTCAAGGTATTTCTCTCTTTCCAGACAACTCTTCCCTTTCTGCAGGTTTATTTAAATTAATCACAGTTGTTCTAATAAAGTGTCTTGAAATACATAAATGAATTTTGGTTAGAAAAACAAATAGGAGACCTAGAGATCACATCTTATTATGCCTTACCTTGATTTCAGAAAGTAATCTACTAAAAATATCTGAGTTTATCTTCCTTTTTACTTCTATATCTCTCTCAATTTAGATTGAAGTCAACTGATGGTTATCTTTCTATTCTGGTGAATATTAATAATGAATGAATATGTCCAATGTATCCCCCAAAGTGGGGATAGGTCCATTCCAAACTTGGCAGTTGAAATAGCTGTACATTAATTGTTGGTGAATATCTATGGACTTCACTATGTTACTTCCGAAACAATAATTGGCAACCACAGCATCTATAATGACGTTTTTATATTTTAAACTTCATCTTAAGCTTTTCACAGGAGTGACAAGTACAATCTCAGATGAAAAATTTGGTATGAATGAATACGAATTAGTGGAGAACCTTATTTTAACCACCAGTAATAGCAATACTGTAAGAAGTTAACTTTCCAATATTTATCTTTAATAGCATTACACATTTTCAAATTTCAAGTAGCCACATTTACTTTGGTTGAAAAAAAAGATTTTTAAAAATTTAGTAGTTTTTCCCATGCATTTTCCTACTCATTTACCTACTTTCATGTGAGTATAACTTAATTTGTTTATGATGGAAAAAATGACAACCTCTTTCAAAATAAGTAGAGAATCATTCCTGGCTGTCAAAATATCTCACAATTCCATGGAAAATTGATTAACTCTCCATATGATAATTCAAGGGAGAAGTGTCACTGTATAGCTAATCATGTGCCATTTACTAATAGATCTGAACTTACGGGTAGCTTTAGCATTTGTGATTGAAAATTTTGTGTACAAACAGAAAAAGAACAAATTAATATATTTTCTGGAATATAAAAATGCTACATCTATAATAACAAGAATGTAAATTGGAAGACATCTCAGCCCTAGTTCCTTGTTTGTTTTTCATTTCACCCATGTTTTACATTTTGAAAAAAACAATAATCCAAGAAGGCCGGATGTGTTAGGCCATTTTTATGTTGCTATAAAGAGATAACTGAGGCTGGGTAATTTATAAATAAAAGGGATTTAATTGGTTCATGGTTCTGCAGGCTGTATAAGAATCATGGCACCAGCATCTGCTTGGCTTCTGGGGAGGCGTCAGCAAGCTTACAATCATGACAAAAGGCAAAGTGGGACAGGCTCTCACATGGTGAGAGCAGGGTCAAGAGAAAGAGCTGGGAGATGGTACACACTTTTAAACAATCATATCCTGTGAGAACCCACTCACTATCGCAAGGACAGCACCAAGCCATAAGGGATCCACCCACATGATCCAATCACCTCTCACAAGGCCCCACATCCAATGTTGAGGCTGACATCTCAACATGGTATTTCCCAGGGACATAGATCCAGATTATATCACTGAATCAATTTGATCAGTAGTGACAACTTAAGAAAGAGAAAAAGTAATAAACAATAAGAGAAACAATATTAAAGCTTTAGAAACTCAAAACTGTCAACATAAAATAAATACCATAATAATACCTTTTTAGCAATTACATTTTAATGTCCCCATTCGATACCAAATTATAGGCATTTTCATAGATAAAAATATTTCTTTTTAATGTCAGTTAAATAGTTATGAGATAACTGTGCTTAATATTTAAAGTTTTACTAAATGCTAATTTCTAATTTCTAAGCATTCTGCTCTCTATGCCCTACAACTAACAATTGCTCCTTTTGTCACTAGAGCGTTCTATGTTTTATTATTCTTTTATTCTTCTACCTGTCTAATTCTATTAAAAATGGACCTCAGTAGTACATATCCATATACATTATATGTGTGTGTATATATAAATGCATGTATATTTAGATGGAATTTTATAGAAATAATGTCTTTTGATTATTATATTAGCACTCATTTGATTAAGATGATATCCTAATCTCTTCAATATCCTTTAATTCTTTCATTCACTTATTCAACAAATATTTATTGAACATATTCTAGGTGCCAGGCATTTTGCTATATCTGGGATGCACATTTGAATTAGATACAGTTCTTACCTCACTTGGATAATTATATTGTTATTAGGAAATTATAGTACCGTACGATAAGTGCAAGATGAGTGAGGAGTGGATGCTCTTGGAGAATCCCTTCTAGCAAAACTGAGTTAGGGGACTGATTAAAAGAAAAAGGCCTGCTGATGAAATTGACATTCTAGTTAATGCCAAGAACAGGGAAATACGTTTCAGGCAGAGAAAATTACATGTGTAAAACCAGAGGCCTTTTTGTTGTATAATATTAGTTAACACCCATGTAACACTATATGCCAATCATTATTACAAGTGATTTTCACACTATGTAAACAACCCTTTTGACATAGGTTTGTTATTACTCCTATTTTTCTCTTGAGAAAACTGAGGAATGAATTAGTTAAGTAACTTTCCCAAGTTAACATAACCAGTAAAATTCAAGGCTGGGATCCAAGTAGCTTGGTTCCATCATCTGTAAGTTTCCTACTTCCTCTCAATTCCATACTGCCTTTTACAATAAAAATGCACAGAAGATTTAATTTATTATGCTAGGTATTCATTTTGCAGCCCAATCAATTGAGTAAAATAATTTGAGAAACCAACTTACAAACGTTTAAATAATACAAAAACCCTGTGTGTCATCAATCATGAATTTCAACTCAGCAAGAAGGCTAGGAATTTACTTCACTTTAACAAAGATTTATTGTCTTCCTCTACATGCAAGACTCTGTGCTAGGTACCAGGGATGTAAAGATCAGTTAGTTTAATCTCTTCCCTGAAAGAGTTCACAATTTTTCCTGCAAAATAATATGTTAACCAATAAGAATTTATAAAACTTATGCCAAATACAACCAAGCAGACACCTACGTGTGATATAAGGGTACAGAGTTTGCCTGACTCACCTTTGAATGCATAGCACGATGTATATTACCTGACTAAAGATAGAATGAATGAATCAACACAGCAACATGCTATAAAGGGAAGAATTACTTTCCTCAGGGTAAATCATGAGATACTTCATTAAAAGGAGGCATTTAGGGCCTGTAAGAGTGGATTGGATTTTCTTAACGGAAGGTGGTAGAGTAGTAAGGTAGATGAAACTTGACACATAGAGGGAAAGAGGAGCAAAAGCAATAGAGTAGAAAAGTTAGAACTGAATAAGAACAATGAGAGAATGTCCTGAAGAGTTGGGTTGGTGTAAGTTTCTAGATGGCCTCGAATGATGTAACAGGAGCCTATAAGAACATTTTAGAGGTTAATTTGTTACCCTTTGTGCAAATTAATGGTGATCTAAGGCAGACTAATGAAAAAAAGAAGAGAAGGAAAGAGATATATGTGGAAGTTAGTTAGGGATGTATTAAGATTATGTTTTTAGAATGCTGCAATACATTTTAGTGCAGTAACCTACATTAACTGAAAAAGAGAGAGTCATACTTTGAAAATAAGAACAATCTCCTTCATTTCATTTATGGGCATAGCAAATTTCTCTTCTTATCATTGCAGTTTCTGTGGTCCAAAGCATGTTTGAAAATGAAACATCTGTGATACTGAAATATCTTCAATAACAAAACATCTGCGATACGAAAATATCTTCATTTTTTTTTAGAAATTGAGAAGGCTTCCCTTAGGCATATGTCCCAGATATACAGTATCACATCTTAGTTATAATTGAAAACACTGTGGTGCCCCAATAGAGCCTCCAAAAGAAAAACTAACCCATATGGATTTAACTAAAATAAATATAAATAATTAATTAAATAAAACCTAAAGTGTGAACTGATTTGTATCAAAGCTTCTGCTTTAAATGTCAATGAGCAGAACACACTTAATCCATCCAAATATGGAGTGTTTGTTATTGATATTTAGTATCTATGTAGAGAAAGATTAAAATAGCATTTAAACTAAACTAGATTCTCTTTAGAATTCATAGGTAAGTTCCTTCCTTCTAAATATTTCCTAGAACCAATATTTTAAATAAAGTTATGGTTCTAGATTCTGGGAGTATACTCAAGTATTTTTGACTTGCATACAATATGTAGATTCCCATCATTTCTCAATTCCTGTGTCACCTTTCCAGCCCCTCTCCCCATAACACAAACCAATTGTAGAAAAGTTAGTTCGAGTTAGATAAAGAAAATTTTTAAAAAATATATATTTTTTGAGCCCCCTGACCCTCAGAGATAATCAGACCCAACTCATATAGGAGCATTTTAGCTCTATGCATTGGGCCTGATGGACAATAATTTCAGTGGAGCAGAGATAGTGGAGAATGAAAGAAAAATGAATTTCATGAAACACAATGGAGATGAGAAAATATGCTGAAGAAGAGTTGTGTCTCTGCATGAAGGAAAAACAATGGTAGTAATAATAATTCCATTTATTGAACATTTATTTTATCATTGAATCATCATAAGTAGGTTTTATAAGTCTTTTTTTAAGATGAAAAGAATTGTGCCTCAAAAAGAATTAAAAAAAATCTGGTTAAGAATCCAGGTGGGAAGTTTTAGAATTGATAAATGTTTTATGTCTCAAGGTATAATTTTAGTATTTTTTATAGTTACATTTTGGAGATTGTCTTGATGTGGCACCTGCAAGGCATTTTATACAGTCCTTTTGTGGTTCAGTAAACAGCTACCTGGGCCTTAGTTATGGGATAGAGACTGTCAGTCACCCCAGGGTAAGGACTATGTCTTTTCTCATCTGGGCCTGTTCACCAGCCAAGTACCTGGAGAACAGTAGTTCCTTCAAAATTAAGTGGTCAATGGAGAACAGAAGCAATAATGAGAAAAGAAATAATTCAAAAAGTTAATTTAGGTAGACAAATATAATTATATAATGTAACTAATTACCTCTGGCAAGCTAGCTATTTCAATTTCAATTAATACTATTGAAGAGAGTTGTCACTGGACATTTATTATAAGTCCTATATGTATGTGTAATAGGTTTTATTTTGAGAAGCTATAGGTCTAATTTTAAGAATGCATTGGTTATACTGTGCTTTACCAATTCTAAGTAAACATAATAAAACATAATATTTATATTTGAAGTCATATGCAAGTATAGTTACATAAATAGATATGATTACTGAATCTCCTGTAGAAATTATTTGCTTGTATCCTTTAAAAATTAATTTTAGTTGTACTTACACACATATATTTCTTGCATATTTGTACATTTATGCACACACATAGACAAATATAATGCAACCATTTGAAATAATATCTTTGTCTAAGTTATACAATAATCAGTTGCCATACCATTCTTGATGGTGTGTCCTTGACTGCTTGCCTGAACTCATGAAGTTATTACAATATATTACCATCCAGAAATATTATAACACATAAAATAAGTCTGTTGACGGTTTATAGAGGTAACTTGAATTCGGAAGAATAAAATATTTGATGTATACGGATATCTGCTGCATATGACAGTTTCTAACTTAGAAATGGATTAGGCTTTAAAAATTTGAAATCCAGATAGGAAACTACTGGCTGTTTTATTCAACGATAAATACTACAGTACTAATTATGTGCTAGGCATTACTTAAAGCACTTTACAAATTTTACTTTATTTGGTCTCCATAACAACTCTATAAGGTAAATAATATTCCCATTTTATTGACGATGAAATAAAGCACAATGAAATCAAATATCTTATACCAGCTCACATAGTAAGTGGTAACACTAGGCTTTGAAACTCATCGGTCTGGCTCCAGAGTCTACACCCATAATTATTGCACAGAATGTCTTGTAAACTCTATTCCCTTTCACTTACTTGCCCCTTGTAACAGGTCTTCAACAGTTTTGCAAGCGATTGCTAAAGTCTTAGAGCGAGCCACATAAGTATTTTATCTTCAGTGTGGCACATTTATGACCAAAGATTGCAAAAATAACATGAGTATACTCTTAAAAATGAAACATAAATAATAAATAAAGACTTATCTCTTTATGTTGTTTAATTATGCTTTGGAAAGATCATTTTTCCTTACAGAAGAATATGTTGCTAGATAGAAGTGTTGTAGTAATTCTTTTTTTTTTTTTTTTGAGACGGAGTCTCGCTCTGTCGCCCAGGTTGGAGTGCAGTGGCGCGATCTCGGCTCACTGCAAGCTCCGCCTCCCGGGTTCACGCCATTCTCCTGCCTCAGCCTCCCGAGTAGCTGGGACTGCAGGCGCCCACCACCACGTCCGGCTAATTTTTGTATTTTTAGTAGAGACGGGGTTTCACCGTGTTAGCCAGGATGGTCTCGATCTCCTGACCTCGTGATCCACCCGCTTCGGCCTCCCAAAGTGCTGGGATTACAGGTGTGAGCCATCGCGCCCGGCCGACATGTAGTAATTCTAAAGGATCTGAATGTGTTCGAGAATTTTAGAGGTTATACACAACAAGTACTTTATTATGTCTACTGTAACTTATGACTTTCCTTTCCCCTATTATAGATATATCACTGTCAATATCCTATTGTTTCAATCTTTATTACTCTAAAATAGAATTCAGGCAAAGGAAAAAAGTTCAAGTAAATGAAAAGATTTATCAAAGCATTTAGGTAATAGTTGGGAGGAGTGAAGGGAAAAAATAGATCAAATAATATATAGGTGCTTGTATTTGAAAAAGGTTTGAGTTTAAATTTCTAATCCATGAGAGACCAAAAGACAAAGAATCTTTTGTGATCAAACCGATAGATAACTATTTGGAGGGGAGAGAGAGACAGTGCTGGGGAAGACTGCATAGCTCACACCGCTTTGTAGGGGCTCACTGGGTACTGTTCGCTGGGATTCTCTTGGCAATTAGCCCAAGAGAGCAGAGCATGGCAGTGAGGTGAGAGCAAGCGTGAATACACACTGATGCTCCTATGCGCAGAATATTCGCAGTTTATAGGTAAAGATATGTGACTTGCGAATATTCCTACACCTACAAATGACTATTCCCACACTGTTTTTATAGGTCACTGGGCTGTGTTTTGAGCTCAAATATTGCCTGCATCAGAATTCGTCGTTATTTCATAGTGAGTCATTTGACAAGTCTTTGTTCTTTTCCTGGCTGCAATAATTAAGCTAATGAAAATTCTTCTCAGTCTCAGACCTGCTGAGAAAATTTCCCAGGAATATGGGCCTTTGAAAAAAAACGGAACTCTTCCCTTGCTTACTTAAAAATAGTATTAAAAAATAGTAGTTTACCTCTTTTGACTTGAACCAATGCTTGTTCAAGACTAAGGATCTTCCACATCCCACACAGTCTTCTGATCCTCTTCTAGAATTCTAAGCCCTTTCTACCTAAATTTTCTAGAGGCAAAGTGCAGGTTTAGGCAAGGGAAATAGCCCTAGAGATGTCTATGGGGTCCCATGAGTGAGGAAATCCAGGGCAAAATCAACTTTTGGCCTGAGAGGAGCCTTTTAGCAAAGACGTGATTAGAAATCTTAAATCCAACCTATGTTTCTGTCTAACAGAAAAGCTTTTGATCCATAATGAGCCACTTTGAGGGATTTTCAAAGAGGTATTGCTTTTTGAGGTCTCAGAGAAGGAAAAGTGGAGCTTGGAGCCTGCAAAAAGCACACTGACCCTAAGGAGTACCGGAAAGTTGCTTTCTCAGGGAGCTATGAGTGAATGTTTTGGAAAGCTGCTTGCCTGGCACAAAAGAGGAACTCTGAAAGGCTGACAAAAATGTTCCTTATTTCAGCACGTATCAATTTATTACTCATCAGCTCATTAGGGTTTTACACGGTAGTTGGTTTATGCAGGCCCCAGTGTGTAATGAACCCGAGAAGTGAAAACTCCCCCAGAACCCCAGGCTCTCCCAGGACAGGTAATTTACTTTCCAGTGAATGGTAGTGGACTCATGTTTTTGTAGTTGCAATCGCAGGTTTGCTCTGATTAGTGAGATGTCCCAGAACTGTAAATTAGAGTGTTTTATTTTTGCTTCAGTATATACATTCTGTATATGCATAGCTAAGTGGATATAGAAATAGATTTCAGTTTGAAATTTGAATTACTTAACCAGTGTTTATCAACAGTGTACAGTACTGATGTTGCACATGGCATCAGGGCAAAGTGCTACAATAAAACATAGGAAATCTGTGATCTTAAAATGCACTTTGCCCTGTTCTTGTAGAGCCGTAGATTGTTGCTGTGAATGTCAGTGCTATTTAGGGAGGAACTAGAGTGACAAAGATACATCCTGGATTTCTTAGAGTTGCCTATGACCACACGTGCAGTTTGTCTCTGAAGCCAGGGAGTGCCTGATTAAATACAGGACCCACCCACTGTGAGAAAACACTCTGGCATCCCAGCTGCCATTCAGAATGTAAAATCCAGGATATGACCTGTCAAGATGAGCACTTCAGCATATTGTGGCAATGCAGCTGTCACTGAGATACATAAGTCTCCAGAGAAAAGCATTCAAACTGTTTCCATGGTGGAATGAATACAAATGCACAGCAGCTCTAGTCATATTTGAATGTGAGTTTTTTCAGCAGGATGGTCCATATTAAATATGCAGATGTGTGCAAGTGACCCCAGTACCTCTTCTCATCTCTGATTGCTGAGCATTTTCTGAAGGCATAATTTTCTTAGTTTTCATGTGAGAGGGGCAGGGAACATTTGTAAGCCATACAGAGTTAAGATATCCAGTTGTCCTTTTTCCTTAATGAAGACAAAATTGTTATAGATTATCCATGACACATCTGAAAAAGAGATGTTTTCACAACGTAGATTTAAGTTATTTTATATTTATTTCTTGATATTGAACTTATTCTCTTCAACACTCTGACAAATGTATAGTGCTAGCAACATATTTATAATAGAACTTCAAAACTTCTGACTTGTACCATTAGTGTCAGGAGAAGCCCAGTGAATATAATTAGTGATTTTATAAGTGTTTTTCTAATAAGGAATTAACGTGTATCACCCTACAAGTGTGCCCAAATAAGTGGTAACAAAAACTTGGGGAGGAAATTTCCTTCCTATGGGATGTGTGTGTGTGTGTGTGTGTGTGTATATACACACACATATATCTGAATAGAAAACTGAATATATATATTTACATATGTGTTATATACATTTACAGATAGGATTCGATGTATTAATGTATTATATATAATTGTTTATGTAAATATAATATACAACATATAACTATACATGTTATATAACTATTCTGAATAGGACACTCATATAGATATTTACTTTATTAATTAGAATGAAATGATATATTACCTAATGATACCCTGTAACAATTTGTTTCACTTGTTTTTCTCAGAAACTCTTGATTTTAATAATTCATTAATTTAACAAGTATATTCAGGCTTGTTATGTGAAAATGTTAAGTATATAAGTGTTTCCAGTTTGTTCACGTATAAATTTAGAACTTGCATATCCCCAAATACCTGAAAGCCATAACTGAACTACAGGATAACCTTCAGACCTTCACACTTGTCACTTCTTCATTGCACTGTGATTTTTGTTTTCGTATTTTTTTTTGGCCCCAAGTACCTATCATATTCCCCAGATGGCTTAGCCATCATCACTGGCAGATTATGAATAATGTTTTACATTGAACAGATGTAAGCAATTTGTAATTTTTCCCCTTTCTGAACCAGCTTTGTTTTGATGAATCAACTGGAAATTGAAACTTAAGTAGAACTTCTGTTTGAAAAGGAGCAATGTTTTCCCACATTGGCATATGTAGTCAGCTCTTAAATATAGAGAAGAAACAACGAATAGGGGAACTGGCCAGGGTGTGTGGCAAGAAATACTGGAAGATCATTATTTAGCATTGCCATATAGTTCCAATTTCTTTATTCTATAGAACCACATAATAATAAAAAAAAATTAAGTTGCTCCAAACCAACCAAAAGTTCATCAGGTTGCCTGTGTTTCTATCCAGTAAGAACATTCTTCAAAAGAACTAGAATTCTGGAAATACAGTAAGAGCTGGTGAAATGTTAAAAGAGAAAGAAATGAGCTATCCCCTTGACAAGGATGTGTTTGCTCTGCTGAATTGTATTTTATGTAATTATATAAATTATAATTGTATTTTTTGACCCTAATATAGGCAAGTCAAATTAAGCATTACTGACAATTTGGTGTTAGGATAAGCTCTCTACAAGCTACAAATTAGGTGAATAATCTCTCTACAAGCTACAGGTTAGGTAAATAATGACAAAAATATCTACCTAAGACAGACCTTAATTATATGGCTAGAAAAGGTACATTTATTTATATATCGATAGCCTATTCATAAATAATATATATTTTCCTTACAATAGCCAGTGGCCAGACCTAAAACGCCACTTAATGTCCAGAGTTCAGTTATGGTCCTGCACTTTCAGAGCCTGTTTCTGACCTGATAATTCTTGCAGTGGAAAGAGCAATCAAACTGAGTATCCTTCGCTTTCTTTAAAGTCTATGAGAACAATCTAATTGGCAGTTGGTCTGGAATAAATCTTAATTATTGAACACTTGCAAATTTGAAAACTTCATATGCTACAGACAGAATTTGATAACAAAAATGTCAACTATCCTAGGCAGACACTAATGCACTTCTTATTTCTGTGCTCATTACTTAATTTCAACATCACTGATATAGGAAGTTTAATGTTAATATATAAAATATAATTCAGTAGAATCATAGACCATCCTCAAAGTTTCTTTAACCCTTGCTTCCAAAAAATAAATAATTAAATAAATAAATAAATACACATGAAATCTCATGTCTATCTTTAGCAATATTTAGAATTGCAAAATAAATTAAATAATATGATTTGAACCCAATCAAAACAACTGTATTTATTATACTTCTTCTACTTATATCCCACTCTAGGAATCTGTATGTTTCTCTGACAGTGAATAATCATTGGTTCTAACAATCTGGTAAAATCTCTTATTTTTATTACTTTTTTAGAGATAGTCTCATACTGTCACCCAGGCTGGAGTGCAGTGGCATGATAATAGCTCACTGTAACCCCAAACTCCTGGGCTCAAGTTATCCTCCCACCTCTGCCTCTCCAATAACTAAGACTACAGGTGTATGCCACTACTGCTGGCTATTTTTTTTTTTTTTTTGTCAAGACAGGGTCTTGCTATGTTGCCCAGGCTGGTCTCACACCTTTGGCCTCCAGGACCCTCCCACCTCAACCTCCCAAAGTGATGGGATTGCAGGCATGAGCCACTGTGCCTGACCTAAGGATCTTATTAACTAAATCTTTTGTGTAGGCAGCCATTGGAGGAACTCATTAGGTGTATTTTCTTATTTGATTAAGGAACTGAATGGGATGGCTTACCTTGCCCCCCTCCACCTTTTTTTTCAGATGCTATAATTTAAAATTCCTTAGAGATATATAACAGAGTTCCTTAGTTCCTGAGTTTGCTTTGATACACAATTGTTAGACCAAAAATAAAAAGCCTTTTTTTTTCATGAATGTTCAAAATGTAGGATCCTCTGGATATCCCTTAAAGAGTTCCCATAAATTTTATGGATTCATAGCCTTCTTCCAAAGAAAGAATTAAGATAGCAACTGAGCTATTTCAGTTGTCTTTTAGTTAAGTAACCCCATTAGAGATACAATGTGAGGTTTCTTAATATTTTAAACTTAATATTTCCCCAATATTTTAATGCAGTTTATACTCTAGCACTCTATAGTTTCTTTTTGAACCTCTATATACCCTAGATTCTTCTCTTGCCTTCTGCACTCTACAGGTATTACATGCATTTTAGCAGTTTATACATGAAATTTGAGTCATCATACAAAACAATATTACATGAATGTACTAAAATAGAAACAGATGGTCAATAATACTGTACATTTCTTCGTAAACCAACTCCCACAGATTGCCTTTCTTCAGATTTTTTGCCCAAGTAGAACCAATCATCAAACAAGTGATTAGAGAGGCTTTATTATGGAAATATTCCTCTTGAACAATAACAACAACAAAAAGCCATTTCAATCACATTTCCATTTTAAAGAAAGTTATATTTCACCCTCTTTAAGTTTATTGTTATAAAGTCTGAGTTAATTATCTCTATCAACTTATATTCTTATTCAAACTGTCAGTAAAAAAGTTTGTGACTCTCATTCTTGAATTTCTATTACACCAGTTCGATAGAAAGAAAACAAATTGTATGGAATAAATGTTTGTCTTAGGCAGTGCCTCTAAATTTAAGTGAATTTCATGATTGCTATATTGAGTTGAATTGTATAGTCCACATTCCAGATTGACACCACATGATCAGTTTTCACTGCTTTCTAAAATGTATCAAGTCCAAAAAAAGTAACTATTGGAGTTTTTTGTTTCTTCATTTGTTTTGTTTTACCGGATAATTTTAAATTCCTGGTTGTATAATTCAGGCACTAGTTCGTTAAATTATAAACAAAGATAAGAGTTAAATGAAACTGAACTTAAATTTGTTGGTTGAGTTGAGTGTTATATGAGCAGGTATTACTGGAAAGGAGACCCCATCTAGACCCCAAGAGTGGGTTCTTGGATCTCACGTAAGAAAGAATTCACGGCAAGTCCGTAAAGGGAAAGAAAGTTTATTAAGAAAGTAAAGGAATATAAGAATGGCTACTTCATAGACAGAGCAGCCCCAAGGGCTGCTGGTTGCCCTTTTTTATGTTTATTTCTTGATTATATGTTAAACAAGGGGTGGATTATTCATACCTTCCCTTTTTAGACCATACAGGGTAACTTCCTGACATCACCATGGCATTTGTAAACTGCCATGGCCCTTGTGGGAGTGTAGCAGTGAGAATGACCAGAGGTCACTCTCATCACCGTCTTGGTTTTGGTGGGGTTTTTTTGTTTGTTTGTTTGTTTGTTTGTTTGTTTATGAGACGGAGTCTCACTCTGTCTCCCAGGCTGGAGTGCAGTGGCGCCATCTCAGCTCAGTGCAACCTCTGCCTCCCGGGTTCACACCATTCTCCCCCCTCAGCCCCCCGAGTAGCTGGGACTACAGGCGCCCGCCACCACGCCCGGCTACTTTTTTGTATTTTTAGTAGAGACGGGGTTTCACCGTGTTAGCCAGGATGATCTCAATCTCCTGACCTCGTGATCCGCCCGCCTCGGTCTCCCAAAGTGCTGGGATTACAGGTTTTGGTGAGTTTCGCCTGGTTTCTTTATTGCAAACGGTTTTATCAGCAAGGTCTTTATGATCTGTGTCTTGTGTTGACATTCTGTCTCATCCTGTGACTTAGAATGCCTAATCGTCTGGAATGTAGCCCAGCAGGTCTCAGTCTTATTTTACCCAGCGCCTATTCAAGATGGAGTTGCTCTGTTTCAAATGCCTCTGACACATGTACATAGGTATTGTGACCTGATTTTGTTAATGTGATTTCTTCGACATAATATATTAAATTTCATTTACATATTGATTCGTAATTTACAGTGAACTATTATTTGTACGTTATCATTCAATTCTTTTAGCATTCCTAAAGGGAAAATGTTTTTACCCAAATTTAGAGATCAGGAATCTGAAACACAGACATTGCAAGGACTAGCCAAGGCTTAGAGCTTACACTCTGAGGGCTGACTCCATTCTAAGTCCTAGGATTTTTCACTGTACCGAAGTTGTTCAATAGGAACATTAACATTATTTTAGAAACTTTCTCTATATTAATGTTCTTGATTCGGCAACCATTTTATAAATGCAGTTTATAAATTAAGTGATTCTGCCTAAAATGTGTTGAAGGTATCACCGTTGATTCAAACAAAAAGTAAAGGGAGGAAAATTAGCGATGGTTTGAATAGACTGAAATTTCACCAAATAGAGATTGACATGTGGAGGGAAAAAACAATCCAGGTATTTATTAATATTTGACTAATGAAAAATATTTCATAGCGTCTTATAGCCCTTTAAAGTTTCAGGGCTAAAAGTTGAAAGTTTTTCTCTAATTTTGTGGAGCAGAATTAAAACAGTGGCTTTGTAATATAATTCAAAACCCAAAGCCTGCCACCTTGTCATTGTCTTAACATTATCCTTCATGGAGGTTTTCCTCAGCTGGGAAGTTCCCTTTCTTATATGCTCATGGAAAGCCCTTGTCTGAGTGTTCAATTTATGCCAGGGACAAGGCAATTGTCTAAATGGGCAGTTCCTACAGTATCTGCCCTTTATGGCAGGAATAAAAATAGAGAATAAAGATTTATATTTGACTAACCCCCAAATGCTATTAGTTTGATACTTGCTGGGAATGCTTTTAGGAACCACTTAGAATTTGCTTATGGCTATCTTAATTCTATTCATTTGCTGGGATTTGAGAACTCTGATCCTTGACTGATGTTTAGTTAGTGTACTTTGATAGCAAGAATGTTACATTATTCAATGGAATATAGATCACATTTGTTGTTCCTTACTTTTCTTGAAATTGATTTTAGCACAACTATCTGGGAGGTTAATGTAACCTGATTTATTGATGTAAACTGAGCATATCCATTTGTAAAGAGTCCAGATCAAGCTAAAATAAGATCATCAGACCATTAGAAGAGTTGTTTATATTTTATTGTCATAGTAAAATTAACTTTTATTGGGAAACTAACCTCATATAGGCTGGGGAGTATGAAAGTATATTCTCTAAGTGCCTCCTTGGACTCCTTGTTAATGTAAATAAAAAATTTGCATGGATAAACACCTAGATCATTATCGTCTTCCCTATCTAACCCATTTTTACTGAGCGTTAGGATTACCTACACCACTACCACCCCTTGTATTTTAATGCTTTTTTTTTCTTTGTAGGACTCCATGTCCTCTGATAAATGATTGCACTGTTTCCTTTCAATCTTAGTAAGAAAAATGTAGTTTCCATGGTTTTTGATTTTCAAAAAGTAATCTGATCTCATAAGAGCACTTAAATGTTAACCTAATTTAACTCCTTCATCATGCTTCAGAAGACCATCCCTTTCTATTTTTCTAGTATTTCACTTTTTGTATGTCACCACTTCTTCATTCTGCAAGTTTAGATTACGAGTTTCAGTTTTTTCTCAGAAGGATTAAACGTGAAGGTCATTAAAATAGTAATGGATTAAAAGAAAAGGCCATTAACATCTGTGGTTTGACATCTGTTTCATATTTTACTCTACCTCCAATTTGCCAGCTCAAGATTTTAAGCATTCTCTTTGACAACTCCCAAAAGATATTTTACTAAATGCAGTTATAATCCATCTATTATATGATGCTTATTTTTAAAATTCTTCTTCACCAAAATCTAGCCCACATACGATTATTTAAATCACTCATGTAGTTTGGGAGTCATCTATTTTAGTTCCATTCAACAATCTGACATGGTAAATAAAGTCTAGAGTATTCTCTCTGGTTATTTTTGTTTAATTTTTCTCAGTTTTCAGCAAGATTCCATTTTCCTGTGACTTCATTCTCTTACATTAGCTTTAGCTTTGAAATTGTAAGGGGTCATTTTATGACTTTCAGATTATCAAGCATTATCAAAACATCATGTTTTATATAATAAATATATACAATTTTATATGTCAATTAAAATGAATAAGTAAATTTGAAAAAATACATTAATTATGAATTTGTTAGGAGAAAAGATTATATGACCCCTAGTTACAAGTGTTACAGGAAAGTGGAAATTATATTGTAAGTTTTTCAGTAGGGATGATCTTACCAAATAGCTCTATAATGCGATTGAAGAGAAATGCTGCATGTTATGTCAGATAAAGTAGGGGTAGTTAGTATCTGCCAGCAAGATGTAAAGATTAGACTACTGCTATAGTTGGATGAACTCCCGTGTTCCTTATTGTGAATTCATACTGCTTTTGACCATATAGAAGTGAATGTTTTAGACATAGTGAAACCATATTAAGATCCTCATTTTGTTGGTGGGTAAACTGGGTCCTAATATGTTTAAATGGTTTGACCAAGATCACATCATTAACAAAGGTAAATCAAGGCTGGGCTTCAGTTTTTCCAATACTTTCCCACTATTGAATATTGTAACTCAGGGATTAGCAAGTCATGAGAATGCTCTGTTTTATTAACACTACAAATCTCTAAAATACCAGCAAGAATAAATTAAATAAGCATGCATTAAGTACCTACTGTGTATCCAGCATTGTGTTGAATATGAGTTAAAAATAAAACCATCATTTATCTCTTCTGTTTCTATTTTTATTAGATAATGTTAAACATTTATATTAATATGTAATGAAGCTATCTTTACAAAGACAGCTTCCTTACTCCACTTTCTCTCTTTATAAATGGTTTACTCCATTTTCTCTCTTCACAAATGGAATAAACAACTAATACCTGGAAATGTTTCTAAGTAATTTTTTAAATTGATTTTCTTGATCAAAACTCATGAAGCTACAGGCCAGGAGGAATATTTTCTGTCTCTTCTGCGTCTGAAGAATACTGGAGCTTGCTTGTACTGGCTGGCAAGATCTCATTGCACCATCTCTTCCCAATTCAGTGTTCACTGATGTCAGGTTGGTAGCTTGAAATCAGCCATGATGGTAATATTTACCTTTTTTTGAGTGTTCAATTTATGCCAGGGACAAGGCAATTGTCTAAATGGGTAGTTCCTACAGTATCTGCCCTTTATGGCAGGAATAAAAATAGAGAATAAAGATTTATATTTGACTAACCTTCCCAAATGCTATTAGTATGATACTTGCTGGGAATGCTTTTAGGAACCACTTAGAATTTCCACAGAAATTGACAAATGCTAATATATCATTGAACTGTCTCCCGACACCCAGTGTCTGCTTTAAACATTCACCAACGTACCAATGTACAGCTTGTTGGCTGAGTAAAACTGGATAAGCTATTTTACTTCTTGAGCCACAACTGCATCCTCTATGAAGTAGGGATGATAATATATTCTATTGTGTATATTATAATATTTTATGAGGATCATGTGAAAGTGGTTTGAAACTATATGGAGTAAAATTATTAATATCACAATAATGAGAGTTACGTATTCACTAAATATGAGACAGTTGGCAAAATCAACATAATATATGTAGATCTAGAATTTCTTAACATTGTATCCATACTTGATGTGACAATGTGCATAGACAGATAAAAAGAAGAGGGGTGAAATTCAGAGCTAACAGCAAAGCCTTATTTCTCTGATAGACGTCAGATAACATACATCGGTACTGAATAGAATTTAGTGATCATTGAGCATAAAGTAGTATCTCCATTCCTTTCTTCATGCCATGAGTCCTTTATGCCTCTGATGAATTAAGCTTATAAAGTTTGATAAAGTATTGTCTGTATGTATACTATGAAGAGCTTCTGTAGAAAAGATTTTCTACTTTCTTTTTCTCAGCTACTTGACACAGACCTCTGAATACAAAGGGCACATAGAAAAAAAAATTAACAATTGACCTCTTAAAGTTACAGACTTCTGCTTTCATTTTAATGATACTTCAAAATACCTTCAGAGGCATCATGCAATTCTGCATGGAAATTCATACCCTTTGGTACAATGTCATTGCCTTTGTCATTTGCAATGTGGTTAAGTAAAATATATAGTGAAAGTACAAAATTGTCTTCTGACTTCAAGCACTTTTGAGAGTGTACATGAGAAAAGTGGGTCCTTTATACTAGTCCTCTCTTATTTACCTTTGAAAAAAATTCCCAAAAAGCTTCACACATAGAAAAAAAACCACTATTGATACTGGCCTGTTAATCACCATAACACCATACAGATCATTATTTATTTTTTCCACCTATTAACTCCATGTTGGAAATGATCCTAAGGACTTGCTATTCCAAGCTGAATGTTCTTAAGTAGCTAAAGAATACAATTTTTTAAAGTTAAAATTAAAATAGTTATAGCCAGATATATGTGAGCTTAAATCTTGGTCCTGTCACCTACAATTTCTGTGACCTTCAACTGATTATTTATCCTTTCTTTCCCATCACCACCAAGCCTCAGTGTCCTCAGCTATGACATAACATCTACTCACAGGTTTTTGGTGAGGATTAAATGAAAAAGCACCACATATAGAGCTCTTTACACTGTCTCTGGCCCATTATATACTCTCAATAAATTATTCTTATTGCTACCTCTTAGTAATCGCTTATCTTTTTATCCCTAGGTTTACTCTTAGCTTGCCAAATCATGTTAAATATGTCTGTCTGTCCCTTTATTTACACACATTAGAAGAAGATTTAAGATCTATCACTTATTGTCTGTCTGGCATACTATAAGGATTACTTCATGGCAGAGTGAATTATTCTCAGCAAGTTCAGTGCTGGAAGTTCCACTTTTATTTAAGAAATTTACTATCATCCCTGCTTTATCTGACAAACACAAGCCATCTCATAATCTTAAAAGGTATCATGAACTGTACCAAAATAATTTCAAAACAGAATTAACTTGTTTGTGCTTTATGTAATATACTGCAGACTAGAATACAATGAAAGGACTATTTTAACAGTAGGGAAGAAAACAGCAGATATTCTATTTCAATATGTCCACGGATGACTGCTTTAAGTTTCATGTTATGTAGCTGACACACATATACTCCTCATAAGAATGAATGGACATATTGACAAATGTGAATGATGGAATCTCAAAAAACATACATTTATTTATTGCTCCATACTGTGATTTTTGATGGGAAAAATAAGGTCATCATAAATGGTCTCTATTAGGTTTCTGGGGTGACTCTAGAGTTGAGAATGTGCAGATATGTCCTGCAAAGATTACTAATAGAAAGCCAATTATCTGGCTGGGCACGGTGGCTCATGCCTGTAATCCTAGCACTTTGGGATGCAGAGGCAGGTGGATCACGAGATCAGGAGTTTGAGACCAGCCTGGCCAACATGGTGAAACCCAGTCTCTACCAAAAATACAAAAAAAAAAAAAAAAAAAAAAAAAAAAAAATTAGCTGGGTGTTGTAGTGGGCGCCTGTAATCCCAGCTACTTGGGAGGCTTAAGCAGGAGAATAGTTTCAACCCGGGAGGCAGAGATTGCAGTGAGCCAAGATTGCGCCATTGCACTCCAGCCTGGGTGACACAGCGACAGAGTGAGACTCTGTCTCAAAAAAAAAAAAAGAAAAAAAGCCAATTATTTTATAATATCTCAAATTACTGCAGACTGGAAGAACCAAAAGACATTTTTTTAACCCTTGACATAGACTTCCAGTGGAATGCAGCACAAATCTCAGTTACTGGAAGACAAATATGAGAGGAGAAATAGAGGAGACTCCTTAATTAAGAATACAAAGGTATATTTTGTTATACACTTCATCTCACATTCCAGATAGAAGAATTTCTGGGCTCATTAATGGAAACTTTGCTTATAATATAACATTAAATTACAACTGTTGGCACAGTGAGATTCCATCCTTGATATTCAAATTCTTCTAGAAATTGTCACATTTGATTTTTGGAAGAAGAATAACATTTTAAGAGAAAAAACTATCATTATTAGGTTGGTATAAAATTAATTGCAGTTTTTGTCATTACTTTCAATAGCAAAAACTGCAGTTACTTTTGCACCAATGTAATACTTCTAAACTTTTAGACTTCTTTATTTAAATATAAACACAAACCAATATTCCTTGTTTGTCAATATATTGAATGTGAGCTCTCCTTAGTATCAACGTTGTTAAATATAACATTTTTGTTCCTAAAACTGTGGTTGCTTGAAATAATCAGGTATTTTGACTCATCGGGTGATTATTATCTGCTTTTATTATGAGATAAAATCTAAAATATTACAGGATTTAAAATCAATAAGCATTTATTAGGTACCTTCTTTTCTTTGCAATGTGTTACAACCTGAAGGAAGGAAAGGGAACAAAATGGTGAGGAGGAAGGAGACAAGGAATAAGAGTGTTTCACACAATTTCACGGAGAGAGAAGATTTGAAACTGCAATTGAATTTTATAGAGGAAACCCCAAAGCCATAGAATTAAATGTTTGTTTCAGAATTAAGGAAACATGTCCATTGAGGTTAAACGACGTTACCACAATTGTCCAGCCAATAAGTAGTCACAGAAGGTTCCAAGAGAGAAGTGGGTTTGTGAGTGGGACTGAAGAATGATTGTTTTGGGATATGTTGAGAGCCAAGTAGTATTGCTTATTATATGTCAAGCTTTATGTTCTTTTACCTTTACTGTCTCTTTTACAGCATTACAACCTTTCTTGTTAAATATTGTTAACTGGGCTCCAAAGAAGTGAAGCAGCTTTCTCAAGTACTTATAAACATATCACAGATACAAAGCTGTGTCTTCTGACTATAAATATAGCCTTCTATAGCACACTGATTTGGTGGGTAGAGACATTCCAAATTTTCAGTTTGTTTGAAGTAAGAAATTGAACTAATATTTTGGAGCAAGAGTATATAAGACACCTCACTTAGCCAAAACAGAGCTTTCATGCTCTGTTTTGTATGTGAGAGAGTAGTGAGATCTACAGAGGCTATCAAATTTATTAAAAAGTTATAAATGTTCTATTAACACATAAAGTCCAGAGTGAATGTTTCATACAACAGAAGAAAGTATAATAATAAAACAAAAGGGAAGGAAAGAAGGAAGAAAGGAGGGAAGGAAGGAAGGAAGGAAGGAAGAAAGGAAGGATGAAAGGAAATTAATAATATTAAAAATAAAACATAACCTCTCTGATGAAAAATAATTTGTATATGTCTATATGTGAATGTAACATATATTAAGATCCAAATCAGCCAGAGAAGCAAAAGGATGTTGCATGTTATAGCAGTAATTATCCTTATGTGGATGGATTATAGGTAATGTTTTTCTTAGATTTTTTTTCCTTCAAATTTTCTACAAGGAGCTTACATGGATTTGGTAACTCAAAAAAATCAATTTACATAGAAAGAAATACATGTATATAAACTAAATTATTGTTTGAATGTAAAATTTTGCTAAATTTTAAACCATAACATGTACAGTTGGGATAAAAGCTGGAACATGTTATACTGAAACAGTGTGAATATTCCATTATTTTATCAATGCATTATTTTCAATTTAATATTTTTCCTAATGAGGATGAAACACAAGTTAATATTCTATTTTTGATAGACTCCATAAAAATTTGCAGTTTTCAAATATCAAATTGTGTATAGGTAGATACATTCAGGTATGGATTTCAAAATTGTAGTCTGGGCTCTAGCTTTTGATGCTGATAAATATTATCTAACCAATTATGCTGACAGAATTAAAAAGAAGATCTATTCTTGTCCTTTTCACATGTGGAATTTGTTACTGGTTTAATACCGAATTGCAATAATTTAGATTGGCCTATACAATTTCAAACACAACATTAGGTTGATAATAAACACAAAATACAGTCTTATTGACTGTATTTGATCAGTTCTGTGTTTTTAAATTTTTAGAAAGTTATTACTTATTGCCTACTTAGTGACCTGATTTAAGGTATTTTTCAACTTATCTGTTACATATTGATGCCATTTATTAAGGTGTATCTTTCTGTGACACTTTTTAGAAATCAATAGGATAAGTGGCATTTATTTTGTGTTGTTTCTTCAAAAATGTCCTGAAATATTGACGGTATATTTTTCTTTGAAATTATTCAAACTGTTGCAAATCAAATATCACAAAATTTATTTTTCTGTTAGCATTTCTAAAGCTAAATTAATTCAGTATTTTAACTGCATAGATTAATTTATTTAGAACAAGACCACAAAAAGTTTTTAAAGTCACTCTACTCATTATTTTCAAATAAGATGCTTTGCAATCACAGTTTCATTTTCAAGACACTTCAGTGATATTCTATTTGTGGTGTCTCATAAGATGTCCTGTATCAAAAAATTTGGAGTGATTTCACGTCTCTGACACCATTTTAAAGCCAATAATTTTGCTTTCAGCATTTCTAACGTTGTAGTTACTTATTTGTATTGCATGTAGAAATTGCTTTGGTATTTGTCAATGAGCAACCATAGTTACATGAACCTCGAGGAAACCTCTCCAGAATTAGGAAATGGAAAGCATTTGTTGATAGTAAGAAGTCTGGAGTTTCATACAAGTAATATAGCAGCATTTTTCTCACTTTAGAAATAATTCAGCATGACCTTCATACTGCCAAATTGTTCCTAATCATTGACTTTGCCTAATGGAAATACTGTTTTCTTTTTGACTGATTTTGAATTTGCTTGGCTTACTTTAAAAATTTATAAATAGATAGTTTTTTTTTAACTAACCAACTCTATCACCTAACCTCTGCAACCATACATATTCACAATACTTTCACATAAATCACATTCACAATACTTTCTTATAATCATTATTTCATGTTAAAAAACACTTGTTTTCTCAGAGCCCAGAGAGCTTCAGGCCACATCATAGTTTCTTCAAAGCCTTCAAAGAAGTTTGACTATGCTCCTTGCATAGAATCACTGTCTATGTTTTCTTCATTGTGTTTATAGTGTATGAGTTATGGTTTTGCTCATTCAGTTACTTTGAGTTATGAGAAAATTCCTAGATGTTCTTCTCTGAAAATTTCTTATAAAATCGTCTTTACTGAGAACAGATGTTCTCAAAACAATTGTGATAATAAAGAGTTCATAACACATTTCATACAGCTCAAAATATTTAGCCCATGGCCTTCACTAAATGAGAAAAAATAGAATATGTGTGAGGCCAATCCTGATTCAGAGAAGGGAGAAAATGAAAGACAAAATATAGAATTATGATGGCCAGGTATATTTTCCCTGTTTTGGATGTTTCCAGTGAAGTTTGAAAGTATAAATTTATTTAAGGAAATGAAGTAACATATCACTTTAAGTTTTTTTCATACTCAGTACTCTAGATGTATTTTATCTCCCCTGGAAAGTTTTATAAAAGTTTTAGAGAAAAAGAAAATAATATGCGAAATCTAAAGCAAGCTTATTAAATACAGCAACAAACAGGATCTAACATAATATTCCCCTTACGTTTGGATGGCAGAGCACATATCTCTCCAAATAGAAGACGATAGAAAAACAAAATAATTTTTAAACTTATTAAGTTTTTGTGTTTATCATTGGACAACTTTGAAAGTAAGAGAAAAATCCACACTCTTTCAGCTGTTTTCAAAAAAGGTCATTGTCCTTAAGGAAATGAATATGCCAAGAAATATTGGAAGTCTCCTTCCTTCCAGAGATGTGAGTTTGCGTGCTTTTCACACCAATGTTTGACAGCAGTGATGGATTTAAACATTTTGAAGGACTTTATTGCCTATAAAGTACTTATCAGCATTGAAATATATTTTATCTATCTAACAAAATGTTAAATTGCATAACTGGAAAACTATCAATTATTCTACAACTTTTTTTTATTGTTGTTCTTATGTGAGTGGAAGTGAGGCTTCTAATTTGCTTTAGTAAATTGTGACTTGGAAAATTGGAGCTGAATAAATCAGTTGATATAACATAGATAAAGCATTTATTTCTTTGGATTTTTAATTGCAATATCTTACATTTTGAAAATCTATAGGCATAGTTTCAAACTTTTTTTTCTGGGAGGATTACTTAATCTCTACCCAATTACCATGACTTCTGCAGTTGTATTTAATCCTTTTTGAGAAAATTTTACTCTGCATGTTATATAAATGTTTGCTATTATTCATTTCAAAGGTGAGATTCTAGAGTAATATTCACCTACATTCCAGGTCCCTTGGGTATTTATATGACCTCAAGAATAAGAAAGAAAATAAAGGATAAAGAAGAAATAAAATAAAAGCATCAAATTTTCTAAATGCTTAAAAATATTTCTTCAGTAATTCTTTAAAATATTATTCATAAAGATACCTTTTAAGTTTTCTGCATTATATACTTGCTATAGGATATGCTCTATGTGTGTCTAAATTCTTCTCTTCTTGATTTTGTTTTTTGTTTTTCCAGTTACTGGCTGACCAACAAAGTTCCTATCAAAAGACCCAGCACAGGTCTTCTCATGTATACACTTGCCACAAGATTCTGTGATGAAATTCACCTGTATGGATTCTGGCCCTTCCCTAAGGATTTAAATGGAAAAGCGGTCAAATATCATTATTATGATGACTTAAAATATAGGTACTTTTCCAATGCAAGCCCTCACAGAATGCCATTAGAATTCAAAACATTAAATGTGCTACATAATAGAGGAGCTCTAAAACTGACAACAGGAAAGTGTGTAAAGCAATAAAGCACATTTTGAAACAAACAATATGCACTTCTTTTCTGAAGATGCTTCCGAAGATTTGAAAATAGGATCCAAAACACGGCTGGGTTTCAGCATCCACCAATGAACTGAAAGGTGAATAAAGGACGTTCATGAGAAATCGACTACCAGCTGATGAAATACCTGCAAAGTGCTCTAAAAATTAAATATTTTGACTTTAAGGGTCCTAGTAAGTGCCACTTCCACTAAGAATACAGTTTGAATGTATAATCAGTAGTGTTTACAAGATCCAACAGTGCACTCATCATTAGTTAACAAAGCAAATATGTTCATCACTGTCAGGCTGCCCACAGCAACACCAAGCATATTAGAAGAGGAACCCCAGGAACGCAACTCAGACCTTGGGAAATTAAACCATCCTTGTCAGCAGAAGCCAAGATGGAAGCAGTTTGAGCAATGAAATCCGTAAGATTAAACAACTCAAGTAAATGCTTCAGTCAGGACTCTGAGTCTGATCATGAATTTTATGTTTTAATTTATGTTTTTTTTTTGTCTTCTGGAATCTCTTTTGGTTTGGATATTGGGATGCTTAGAAATCCTTTCTGAGATGCATATGAGTGAGGAAATAAACTTTAAGTAATTATTTTTAAAGTTCTTATACTTTTTAAAAGCTATCACACAAAGACTTTTTTTTTTTTTTTTGTCTCGCTCTGTTGCCCAGGCTGGAGTACAGTGGCGCGATCTCAGCTCACTGCAAGCTCCGCCTCCCAAGTTCACTCCATTCTCCTGCCTCAGCCTCCGGAGTAGCTGGGACTGCAGGCGCCTGCCACCACGCCTGGCTAATTTTTTGTATTTTTAGTGGAGACGGATTTTCACCGTGTTAGCCAGGATGGTCTCAATCTCCTGACCTCGTGATCCACCCGCCTTGGCCTCCCAAAGTGCTGGGATTACAGGCGTGAGCCACCGTGCCTGGCCGACATTTTTAAAAAAGTTTTATTTTGCACGGCTCTAAACCTCCATGTTATTTTCCAGTGGTGTAGAAGGTACCAGCTAAAGTGAACCACTATGTAATATTAGGCCATTCTAAAGGAAAGATGTTCCATGTCATCAGAGATGGTAAAATAGGCCGGGAAAAAAAAATCTTTGGTACCAAAGATTACACTTGTGTTTCTACACAGCAAACCATTTTTCTTTCATGAAAATAATATATTATTAACATGAATATATTATTTTGCTATTAATGTGAAAGTTGTCTCTAAATATTTTTTAATTTTCAAACTCATACTTTATTTTCATTTGAAATGTTTTTCACACCTTTTGCATTACATAATAATTTTGTGGAAGCATTTTGCCCTTTAGAATAAATATTAGATTGATATAGCTGAAATGTGACTTCCAGTTCTTTGATATTCCCCTTGTTATTCAAATAGAAATATGGAAATGCTTTATATATTACTGTTAAATTTCTTAGTGCAGAAATAACATTATTAATAGAGTATTGTTTTCAAAACAGAGATGATTAATTTCAAGAGGTTTAACAGTGAAATTGTGTCAATATTTTGCATTTAAAATGAATTTAATTGACCGATATTTTCTGTAGTTAAATTTAGTCACAATATCACATATGTTCTTCAAGAAACACATGAAATTATTAATAAAGTAATTAAAAAATTTTTAATGTATAACAGAATTGACCAATAGGCCAGTTTTCTGGTAACTTATGATAGTAGATTGTTTCTTTAGAAACTGGGCAGAAGCTCTGCATTCTCACTTGTACTTTGATTTCTTATTTCTTGGGCAGGCAATTTGAGGAAAGAAGAAATGGCATGGGGAATATATATGTTTTGTTTCTTAGGGAAAACAGTCTGAGAAATGAATAAAAAGCATGAAGTACGTGTGTGTGTGTGTGTGTTACCATGGAAAAGGATATTCACAGTAGTACAGTTCTCAATATTTTTAATTAGATGTCATATTTTTTTAATATAGTAAAACCTTGGGATATAGAATATTACATCTTTTGAGAATGTATGTGTCTCTAAGTAAGTAAAATCTAATGCGTATAGGAGACTGATAGCTAAAAATGAATGGAACATTAATGTACTTTTATAATTAAACCTCTTATCTATCAGAAATTGTAAGAGAATAGATACATGTTTTGAATGTAAAGTTGAAAAGTCTGGTTTACTTAATAAATTGAAAGTGATTTATAAAATCTAAATTTGGACTACTTGCAAATGATAAGCTATTCTAGTAGCCTTTAGTTTAAATCCAACAGAAATCTAGAAGTCACAAGCAAATATCTTAAAGGTAAAATCCATCTGGGCACTCATTTAAAGTATATCTTAAAAAAGCAGCAGCAAGGTACCTTGCCATTTTTAGCATATTTTCTTCCTTTTTCTTTTTTCTTTTTTTTTTTTTTTTGAGATGGAGTCTCACTCTGTCACACAGGCTGGAATGCAGTGATGCCATCTCAGCTCACTGCAACCTCCACCTCCTGGGTTCAAGTGATTCTCGTGCCTCAGCCTCCCAAGTAGCTGGGGTTACAGGCGCCCACCACCACACTCGGCTAATTTTGTGTTTTTAGTAGAGACAAAGTTTCACCATGTTGGCCAGGCTGGTCTTGAACTTCCTGACCTCAGGTTATCCACCCACCTCAGCCTCCCAAAGTGCTGGGATTACAGGTGTGAGCCACCGCAGCCGGACCATTTTTAGTATATTTTCAGTAAATACATTTAAACAATGTTAAGGCCACAGCACACATATCTCAGCCATTCATTGTTCTGTGCATTGATGTTTATCTCATAGATGCATTGAGTAGTGCCTTTTTAGCTTTTTCACATTACTTTGTCACCATATCCTTTGTGTTCTCTAAATACATTGCCCACTTCCAAAAATGTTCAGCATGAAAAAAAGGGCTTCAGTGTCGATTGAGATTGCTTTTGTTCATCTCAGGGATTTCAATAGTCAAGAATGAATTCAGTTAAAGGTATTTAGGGTTCAAAGAAGACAAACTGTACAAGCCCATTTCATTCCTTGTTGTATACCTTTCCATCTGCCCTCCCATTTTAACTATCTACTGTGGCCTTTTTATGGAAACAGAGCAAGATCAATGAAGGCTAATGGCAAGAATAAGAAAAAGAGTTGAGATTTAACCAATAGCGGAGCATAAAGGATCATGACAAAATCAAATTATAAAAGCATACTTGAAATAGGTGGAGCTTTTTCTTTTGAAAATATATATTCACAATTTTAATATTTTAATTTATTTTTTACTATTTAACCCTGTACTTGGCAATGCTCAGGCAGCTGATTGTGAAATATTCTTGTCCTTTACAGAACATGGTTGTTATTGTGCTGTTGACATGAATAGACCATGGAAACATTTTCATCATTATTATTCAGCCTGTGCTGTAGTTAATGTTAAGTTGCTGAAATAAAAAGTGAGCAAGTAATAGATTTTCTTGGCAAATCTAATGATTCAGCCCACAGGACTGTTGAAACTACTGCGGAAGTTTTTCTATCTGAAAGAAGGTGCTGGGCATTCAAATGTGTTCATGTATTGTATATCATATGAATTGTATATCAATTACTAATGGGAATTTCTACATATATGCTTACAAAAGCAATTTATTTAAGTAATGCTAGGGGTAGTGTACATACCAATTAGTTATTCAGCTACTATACAGAAAAAGGATGAACAAATTAATTTATTTCTAATTGAGCCAGTTAGACATAATGCATATAACGTGATATTTGGTTCATGAAAGAGTTGTTTTCATGTGGTTATTGTAGGGAGTATATATAATTGTGGAAGGGGTATGGGAAGAGTTGTGTATAGTTAGTTGTTATCTCTACAAGTTTGAAAGTTTTCCCATCAAACATTATCAATATACCAATGTTTTAAAAATTGAGTGAGGGTTATTATTTGTATTTGATGAAAGAAAATCCAAATAAAGCCCACCTAGAAATAGATATTTTATTATATATGTGCTATAGATATACCTATATAGTACAAATAGACATGTGTGATGCATATATACAATGTTATATATGTGTATATGTCTGTATACACACTGAGTCTGTAATATGTATACACTAAATTTGTGTTATGCTAACATCTTCAGGGTCTGCACTGTGAACTCCCCTGGAGATAAGTAAGTCCACTTTAGAATAAAGAAGTTCTTTTGAGACTTCAGTTACTAACGTGCTTTAAGAGGTATCTACTTTATAACTGAATTCTATGTCGTTCATACGTAGAGTTACAGTAAGGGTCTAGTATGTCCAAATCTTAATAATAAAGAAGAAAAGTAAAGGCTTCAAGCTAGCAATGTATTCGAATTACAGTTTTCAGATTGTGGCTCCAGGCCTTGTGTTTCTCATTTAAGTAGCACCTTTTAATAAAAACCGTTTCTTTGTGTAGGCAAAAGCACAAGTGTTTCAAATGTAAATAGCAGGAAAAAAAAAGAGTTTACAGAGATAGCATTGCTGCACAGAATAATTGCTACTGAGTATTTCTTATAGAATTTGTGGAACTGAAAGATGAGGTTTATTCTGTCAAGTTCAAGTTCATTCTGTTCAACACTGTTTTCTTATTGTTTGTGTATAGCAACCGGGTATTATTGTTTTATCATTTGTAAAATTGTAAAATAAATTAATCCCTTTTTTTCACTGTTTCTCTTATCTCATATATCCAAGCCCTTGGTTATACTTTGTATGTCAATGTTAGGTGATCATTTTTAACAAGCTTTGGCTTGTGCTTTGCTTTTCCACTCCCCTTAGCCCTAGTGGTTGGCAATTAGGCAAACCATTTATTTTTAAGTGTATACATGGGAATATGAACAATGTCAAAAACCCCATGAATATTAGGAAATCCTTAACGATATTTTGTGTAGCACATTCTGTTTGCGGTTGAGGGAATAAAGTATTTCACAAGTGACAGTCATTTATATCCATTTTATACTCCCACTGACTAATGTTAGTGGGTTGTTTTAGCTACAATGACTTCATACACACTGCACATTCTATGGCAGATTTTTGATTTAGTATTTTGACTGCTATTTGATCCACTTAATACTGTTTGTGATTTGCCTTCCAGAGATGATTCTGAAAAACTACACGCTTAAATCTTCTTCCATGGCTTTCTATAACTTGCAAGTCTGTTTTCAGACTCTGTATTGATTTCTGCAGAAATGTTTAACTGTAGCATTCTGCAATTTTGAAACATTTACTGGAGACCACCAATGAAGCACTGACAATAACTAATACATATAGATGTTATTTATATTTGCATAATTACCTTTTTTTCAAAGATTCATATACAACAGGTTATTCTTAGCTACTTTGGGGGGTATAATCAGATCTCATCATGTGGAACTCCATTTTTGATGTTATGGAAGAGCTTTCAGGATTGTAATACGAGTTTTGATGCCTGAAGCAATTTTTTAAAAGGCAGTATTTACAAATAATTTATTCCTACTGTCAAATATTATTTTAAATGCTTATTATTTAAAAATAGGTTTAGGTATGGTTTTGCCTGAAATGGTGGATAGATTTGCTATAATCCTTCTCTTTACTCTTATTATTTTATATTACAGCCCAGTCCTTTTCAAAATGTATTCTGGGAAACATTGCTGTTCAACATGCTCTGCAAAGGAATGATATGTTCTAACATAATTCCACAATGGTCTCAGGAATTAATAAGAGGTGGTAGCATATTACAAACCGAGAAGTCTCCAAATAAAGAAAATGAATTAAATTTTCCTAACCAAGAATGTCAAAATGTATCAAATTTTTGCATATTTAATACTTATTTTAAGAAATTCCAAAATACACTATTTTTTACAAACATTTTCCCAGAATTAAAAACTGGGCATACATTTTTATTTGCCTTATAATTAATTATCTATAATGTTCTACACAATTTATGATATACAGATTGCCTTATTCACACCTTTCCTTATATTATATGCTACAATTTAAAATACAAGTGTCAAGATGAACATTTTGATTACATACGGCCTTTCCATATGGTTTATTAAAATGTACATTCCTCTAAGTTTTTGAACAAGCTTTATTAGCTATTGATTACTGAATCAAATCAATCCAATTCACCAGGGCCTATAATGTTAGTGTGAAATGGATTGAATATGCACTCATAGTAACCCAAAAATGTATCAGCCTTTTGAATCTCCCCTTTCATATGTTATCAAGACTTAAATTGTCCTTACTGTGGGCCAAACATAGTTTTCAATACTTTATGTGTATTAACTGATTTAATCCTAATAACAAGTCTATGAAATGGATTCTGCAAATATTATAATTTCATAGATAAGATTAAGGGAGAGGTCGTGTGATGTGCTCAAGATTACACAGCTCAAAAATGAGAGAACAAGGACTTGAAACCACTGACTTCAATGTCCACCTCCCTAGCCATCACATTTTGATGCTGCCTTTTCTTAGCTGCCAAGAAGTTCTTTGGGAAACAGTTTGCAAAATAGATGACCATTTAATGAGTACAGATCAAAAATATAGGTAAGTATATAGAAATAATATATAATTTAGACTTGGGGAAGGTCTAATTACTGATTCCTGCCCCCAAATAGGACAATCATTTCCAATAATAAGAATATCTTGATTTCCAGGTCAGTGTCTTTTCCCTGGATGGTGCTGGATAAAAACTGCAAATTCTTGCTTCTGACTCTTGTTTTATTTTTTACATGCAAGCTGGATTACCTTTATGTTCAAATCTGACTTTATGTATCCCAGAATTTATTACATTACAGTTATTTTAAAGTCTAAATATGAACTTCCTATGTAAACATTTTGATTGAATTTAAATGTTTTATTCATCTCCATTAGCAACTGTTTACAGAAATCTCTTAAAGTTGAACTTCTGCAGATAGCTAAACTCACCTATTTGATATTGTTTTTGTTTTGTTTTGTTTGGTTACTAATTTATCTCTCCTCCTGGGGATAGGAGTAACTTAATCTCCAAATTAAGGTGGCAGCTCAATTACTTGCTTTATAAACTAGCTTCATTGTGCATGATCCCATGAGAAGAAAAAAAATAATATCAGATATAAGAATAAAACTAGCAGCCGGGCACGGTGGCTCATGCCTGTAATCCCAGCACTTTGGGAGGCCGAGGAGGGCTAATCACAAAGTCAGGAGATTGAGACCATCCTGGCTAACACGGTGAAACCCCGTCTCTACTAAAAAATACAAAAAAAAAAAAAAATAGCCGGGCATGGTGGCGGGTGCCTGTAGTCCCAGTTACTCGGGAGGCTGAGGCAGGAGAATGGCGTGAACCCAGGAGGTGGAGCTTGCAGTGAGCCGAGATCGCGCCACCGCACTCCAGCCTGGGCAACAGAGTGAGACTCCATCTCAAAAAACAAACAAACAAACAAAAAGAATAAAACTAGTTTAACCCATTTTTAACAGATGAAATATTTCAGTCACTTAGTTGTTTATTTCAATAAAGAAAATATGTAAAAAATGAATGCCAATATGAAAATACCTCTTTATTTATTTACTTTTTGCTTCCAGATTGCTGATTTCAGATTCAATTACCAAAGTAGAATTACTCAAGTAAACACAAAAGAATTCTAGTACAGAATGTGTTCCACAAAAATATGTTCAGTAAAAGACAACTCCATAGATTCCCTACTTGGAGATTGAGAAAATAAATTAACATCATAAAAGTGCTGAGAACGTGCAATATAGAAATTCTATTGTTTTAAAAGCCATATATCCTTTTATAAGTACTTCTATTGGCTATGAAATTATTTTCTGAAGAACATACTTTGGATAACACTTCTGAATGTAACAAATGGTAACAAATGTAATAAACAATACAAGAAGAGAGAACAAACAAGAGTTTCACATGTAAAACCTCATACTTATTCAGTGTTTTCCCACCTACTACATATTTTTAATATTTTCAAATATGAAAAAGTTTAAATTGATATACTTATTTATTCTCTAAACATTTCTTAAATTATTTTTCACAGAAATTATTACTCTCTTTTCTAAAATATTGATCACACACCTACATGATTACATTCCTAAGAGCAGTCGGACAAGTAAAAGCTGTTGCTCATTCTAGGCCATACGTACAAATCAGTTAACTTTCAGGCCTTTTTTTAGCATAGGAAGAAACAAAGTGCTATGAGGCACTAATTTGCATTTTCTAGAACAAGTCAGGATATTATAGTAAGCTCATTCTCTGCTGTCTGTCCAGCCCAGCTTCCTTGGCTCCAGCCTCTGGGAACCACACAGATGGGCTGACTATGAGCACATCTGCCAATGCTGCCAAAATGTAAACACACTCAGCTGGCAGCAGATGTTTTCCAGGAAAGATCACTACCACTGGAGTTGTTCTGCTTTGGATTCTGTTAGCTGATCTTTATGGATGGATATAAGGCTATTCTGTTCAAATAGATCATTTGTCTCCCAGGTATAGAGCAATAACACAGTAGATTAAGGCTCAACTGTTTTATATTTACCATGTTCATATATGTAGAAATGTTGTTAAAGTCTTCCTAATGGGTCAAGATTTTTCTTCTTATATAAATGCGACTTATTTTACTTTAATATCTCATTTACTGAGCTCTTCAACCATAAAATATAAAGTTTAGAGAAAGAAAAATAAGCATCCTTTCTGCTTTTCTATGATCATTGGTATAATTTAATTTAGTGTTCTCTTGTGATGTTCTAATCCTTATTTATATTAATAGCTCTAGTCCTGCTTTTTTATTGAAATACTCAGCATTCAATTGTGGTAAATTTTATTTAATACTGTAGATCTTGAAAGTACATTTTTATATGAGTTTATGAACTCATTTAATATGTATGCATTTGTAAATCTTGATGGCATATAAAAATCTCAAAATACTTCATCGTATAAAATGGTTACATTTATTCCGCATTTATAAAGTAATAGTAACTACTTGTCACTCTGTGAAACATGGAGGAATAGCTTTCTCCGTGGTTATCAATATTTAAATAGAATCAGCATAGAAGAAAATAAATGATATCATTTGTTGTCAAGTACTCTACTCATAGTGTGCCCAAAGAGTTAGGGGCGCCTCAAGGAGGTTTGTGGATTAGGGACATTGATCTTGGCCTATAGAAATGGATCATCAAGAAAGCATCTACTGACCAGTGGCTATTAAACTGAGTGTTAAAGAACATCTTTAATTCAGTTTGACAACCGTTACTCAGTGTTGACAATGTGCACCTATGAAGAGCTAGAAATTTTTGCATCTGTGCAGCTTTATTTCAGTTATCTGAATGACAAGTCATATGGTTTGGCTGTGTCCCCACCCAAATCTCATCTTGAATTGTAGTTCTGAAAATCCCCATGTGTCATGGGAGGGACGTGGTTGGAGATAATTGAATCATGGGGGTGGTTTTCCCCATGCCCTTCTCATGAAAGTGATTACGTTCTCACAAGTTATGATGCTTTTATAAGAAACTTCCCCCTTTGCTCTGCTCCCATGTTTCTCCTTGCTGCTGCCATGTGAAGAAGGACATGTCTGTTTCCCCTTCCACCAGTGACTATAAGTTTCCTGAGGCCTCCCCATCCCTGGCCTTGCTGAACCATGAATCAAATCTCTCTCCTTATAAATTACCCAGTCTCAGGTATGTCCTTGTAGCAGTATGAGAACACACTAATACAACAAGCAACACAGGAACTCTGATAATCTACGAGTGCAGCAGTTGATTAGGCAGGACACGGAGCAGAAGAATTTCAGGAAAGAACGGAGCCTGGTGGAAGAACACCACTCTTTTTAAATAAATTGCCCTTGCACATCCTCTGCACACTTGAAATGTCCTGAGCAGGGGACATGGGAGAAGTTGGACATGGTTTGTAGTCAGTGGTAAAATCAAGACAAGGGATATTTAATTAATAAGATAAACAATATTCGTTTAAGACAGAACCCCAAAATAACAAAAGGCAGCTGTTTTTCTTGTTTGCTTGTTTTTAGTAATCTAAACAATAGAGTTTGATAGAAGCTAACTATTGTTCTAGAAAATAGAAATACCTAACAATACCTGCATATGGAAGTTATAAAATTCTCTGAGCTCCCCACATCCTGATCATAATTCTCCAGGTTAACTGTTGAACTACAAGTTTAAATAAAACTGAAGCATACCATAAAGAATGCACTTACTACCAATACCAAGTAACTGCAGACTTTCTGAAATTATTTATTTTATGAAACCTTCACTTGCAAATATTACTCTCAATATTTTTTCTGTGTTTGCAGCTTGAATGAATGCATCATAAAAGAAAATGTCTCAGACTTGATTCCAAATAATGAATTAAAATGATTTTAGTCACTTTAATATATGTTTTCAAATTATCCTAATTTTAAAGTTTGATTTTTGAGTGATCCCAGGATCTGAAAATCTACCTGCCAAAATTTTCATGATATATGATTTGAAACTCTAATATTACTTTTCACTCAATGGCTTGTCCTCTCTCCTCCATAGGCTCCTCTATTATGTCCTCCTCTAAAATACTGTGTTTTGGGGAAGGTATTTTAGTCTTGTTTTTAAATCTCCACACCTCTAGAGGTCTAATCTATTCTGATGCTTTTGAAAGATGTAGGGACACCCTGGAGATAATAAAAACAAGGAATCTAGTCTTAGAACAATGTGCATATGCATGTCTTAGTCTAGGTCCCCTTAAAACATGGCTCAAGGGAATTTTAATGCAAATAGTTTATTGGGCAAATGTTCCTAGGAAGCAGAAGTGAAGAATCGAGAAAAGTATGACAGAAAAGGAGTGAAAGCCTATATAAAGATATGTTTCAAATTGCCCTTTTCTGTGAATAATGGGAGCTCAATCCCACTTGGACTATCTGAGAGGCCTTAAGATAAGGGTCTCAGGATTCAAGAGATGAAAGAAAGAAGTAATTGTCCATCAGACCCCATCCCCTAAGCAGAGATTCCCTATGACTCATTAAGTCCCTGAAATTATGGGCTGTGCTTGTGAATTCTAAGCTAGCTCCCACAAATTACTCATAGCGTATGCCAGAAAAGCACTTGCAGTATCAAGCGAGGTAGTGCTTAACATGAGGCACTGTATGCAAAATATTGTTTGCTGAATTAGTGACTGGAATCGTGGGTGAAGCCGAGAGGAAGTGAGATAGTGTATTAGATGTTTAACACAGTCTTTCTAGTGTGTCACTTGCATAGGCTCCTGCACTCCGTTAATTCCAGTTCATAGCCAACTCTCCAAATTGTTAGAAGGCTGCCAAATTTATGGAAGACTGTATATAAGAGGGTTAGTTTGGAAACTATAGCCCCTCTATCTGTAAATCATTCCAGGATGATTGATATTTATCAACTCTTCCCATTACTCATTTTAGGGCCCCCTCACTTCACCTAGTGTGGGTTTGTTAACTAAGAGGTGACCCAAACTTTTACTCCAAGGAGTCTGTGCACTTAATTGACTTTTATATGGTGAACTTGATTGCTGAAATTGTCCATTCAGATTTATTTCTGGGCATTGAAGCACCAAAAGACACTTGATGACTCTTTTGGGTCCCAAACTTACTCTCCTTTACCTGTGTTATACAGCATAAACTCTAACTCTTTGTCATAATCAATGTCAATCACTCCTGCCAGCATAGTAACTCTTTTCCTTGCCTCCTGGTTCACTGTGATGAAGAGCCCAATTTAATAAAGTAATTGTTTTAGCTTCAAGTTGAATTTCTTGGAAGAAGCATTCCTCCATTAGAAACCAGGACTTCTGATGTACCACATCCTGAATTATGAATATGGGAAATCCAAAGTTCCAAAGTGGATTAATAGGAGTAATTGTACTTTTACCTCTTGGTTATGGAACTGGGATTCTAGATATTGGGGACACAGCATCATATATTAGCCATTAGTTTAATGTCTATAACGCATTTTAAAGGACAGCCTCCCAAACCTGCATGGTGTCTTGCCCCTGATGTGTCATTCTGCAAAACAGTTAACAGGTCATTCCACTGTATTATGTTGGCGCTTTGTGGTAATAAGCTATGTACTGAGAGAAGTGGATTCTATGCACTTAATACCTCACCTTGTTTGCTAGGAAATTGTTAGTCTGAAAACAACAACAACTACAACAACAACATTGTTCAGCATCCCATTCCAATGAATTAGTGATTTTGTAAGAGCCTGGATGACAAGATTGGCAGAAGTACTGTACATAAGAAAGCAAATCCATATCCAGACTTAATTATATCAATTTGATAAGATTAAATTACTGCCTTCTCCAGGGTTTAAAGAGTCCAATAGAATTGCACCTGTCTCATTTCAGCATGCCTCCAAATTATTCAACTTGAGTTGATAACATTTTAGGGGTCCACACTGGTTACTCTCTTTGACAATTTGTCCAATTAGCAATGGCAGTAGCTAATCAGCCTTAGTGAGAAGGAACTCATACTGTTGGGCCCCTACATAGTTCCATTTCTGCCACCATAAATGGCCCATTGTACAAACACCACGGCAGCTGAGAAACAAGCCAAGTGACATCAGCAGGACAAGCCATCCTATTCGCATACTGGTTGAGATTCTCCTCTGTGATAGAAGCTCTCTTTTAGACATCAATGAAACACACAGTAATTCACAAACTTTGAACTCTCTCCCCATAATCAACTGCTTATAATATTCCCAACTTTCTTTTATTCCCAATTTTTGTCTGTTTAGGTCCCAATTCAACTAGTAGAAATCATTTGCCATTTTGATACCAAAGTGAATGATCAAAGATATTACTCCTAATTCTGCTCCCTGGGAGGATATCCCCTCACTGCTGTCCTATAGGAACACACCTGGGATGGGCTTAAGTACAGCAGCAGTACATATTTAGGTCACAACATCTATTGAGCTGACCCATCTGAGAACTAGACCCAAATTTTCCATCTCTACCACTTGGTCATAGGGAGCTCCCTAGAAGACCATAGAAGTGAACTAAGAGATAAACAATGGTTCACTATAAGTAGTTTACGTGGGATTCTAGGCCACCTATTTGTGTAACTTAGGTATATACCTAGATGAAATAAGGTCCTGCTATAGTCTGAGTATACATGTTCCTCAAAAATCATAGTTTAAAATTCTAACCTTTCAGGTGATGTTATTATGAGGTGGGCTATTTTGGAAGTATTTGGGTTATGAGGGCAATGCCCATGAATGGGATCAGTGCCCTTAAAAAAGAAGCCAAAGAGGGTTTGTTCACATCTTATGAGCACATAGCAAAAAGAGGCTGTCCGTGAACCAATAAGTGGGCGCTTACCACACCAATTTTACTAGCACCTTAATCTTGGACTTCTGAGCCTCAGAACTGTGAGAAATAAATTTCTCTTTTTCATAAGGCACCAAGTTTATGGCATTTTGTTACAACAGCCCAAATGGACTAACAGGGGTTCTATCCTGGTTTTCATTCCTACATATGGTTGCAGTTGTATAATCTTATTGCTCAGAGTATCTGATAGTCCCCAGCTCAAGGTGGGCAGTGTTAGCTGCATAATCCCTTGAAGTCCCAAGCACAGCCATTCAGTCTTTACCAGAGTCCATTAGTATTTCCAGAGTTGCTTCTCAAACTGCATGTAGTTGTCTCCCCAAGAAGACATGACTCTGACTCCAAAACACTAGGGATTTATGGTGTGACATTCCAACTGGAGTATTCCAGAAAATCGACAAAGAAAACTTAGTTACTACAAAAATGTCAAGCATCATCTTATCTGATCATAAGACAAAAGTGGTAGGTTCAGCTTCTACTGCAGCCTAGACCTGCCACAGAATCCTCTGTCTTCTGTCATATGAGTCAGAGTAATTTTTCCAAGTCCATTGTATGCTGCCTTCAAAATCCAGTGTCCCTCTGAGTAATATGCCTCTGAGTAATATGCCTCTTTCTATGTCTGAGGAAACAGACAATGAAAATAAACACAATCAATGAGGAACTCTATACATTCTAGAGTCCCTGCCCCGATGCTTATGGGGCTGTCTGAGGGTCTGCAGTAGAGTTTGACTTTTTCCTTTGCCAAAACATTCTTTCTGTCTCCCTAGTTCACAGATATTCATACCTGATAAATACACAACTTATAAAACTCCATCTCAATGTCTGCTCCGTGAGAATTCAACCTGTGACAATTGGTGTTAGAGGTGGCAGAGAAATCAAGCAATAAGATACCACCTAGTTGAAAATTAGGAATTCATTTCATCACTGTTGGTAGGTAAATCACAGGTATCTACTTGCATGCATTGATGTTTAATTGTTACAACTCTAATTTAGATGTTATAGTGGTGTCATATAACAGGTACGGGAAAATAGTGATTATAAGAACAATAGGATTGAATGACTCTTGTTAAGCACAATAATTGATGCTCTAGGAAAAGATACTTCCAATTAATAGGCATTTTAAAAGTCATAGGAACGATAAAAGGATTCTTTGAGAGCTCACACAAACACATTCTTCTTCTGCAGTGGGAAGGCATAGATGGCGGAGGACCAGGACCAAAACCTAATTATAAGAATGACAGAGTAGCCCACCTCCAAAGAAGGTAAAACTGTTAACCAAGGGAGCTTGTTATGTCAAAATCAGGACCCTGGTTGGGAAAAAAATATGAGTCTGACACATGAGCTGATGCTTCTCAACTTATTGAATTCCTGGATTCTCCTGAGCCACATTTAATGTGTTCAAGAGCAACATAGGACTAATGACTATTGACTTGGACAGGACAGCCCAAAACATTCCTTCTTTGATAAATTGTGGAGGGACCGTCACAGTCAACAATCAGGTTACATCTATACAGGAAAGAGCCCCAGGGCTACAGGCCTGGTCTGGTCCTAGCTCCTTTACTCATTTGCTGAGAAATTTCTGATTTTCGTCATCTGTTAACTGGAGAGAGTAATAATACCTTCATAGAGTCTGACACTTAGGTATGATAAGATGCCATGATTAATAGAAAATAATCTTAGCAGTGAGAAGAATTGTGTGACGTGCTGAGTGTACTAGATATTGGGAATAGTGTAAAAGAACTAGTTTCTCATAACAACTAGAATACAGAAAACTTAACATGTACATTAACATTTATTCATAACAAAATAGAACACAGAATCCTTGGTTTTCTGTAATAATTTTACCACATGTTTACATTATTAAATGATATGTAGTTCATTTTGCATGGCTTTAAGCTCAATAAAAGTGGATGTTTGTAGGCCATATTGATGTTGATACATGTAGCACTATTTGATACATTTTCACTACTATTTTGTATTGCATTTTATGAATATAAATTTTAAAATTATTTTGGTTGGGATACTCAAATGAAAGAATCTTTCAATAATATCCTGCCCTCAGCTTTCCAGATGTAAAGCCAGTTTCTCTGCATGTGTCAAGATGCATTCCATGTGCACACCTGTATGTCTCAAGTCAAAAAGTTCTGTTAATTACAGGTTGATTCTCTAGGTAAACATTTTCTCTCACCACAAACACGTAATTCCATTTTCTCCAAAGGAAGCAGGGTATCTCAAGGAGAAGATGCACTCAGGGTGATTTGGACTCTTAGTGTATTAAATGACAGCTTTTATGGATCTAAATGTACTTTTCTGTTAATCTTTGCTCATCAACCCTTCAAGAACTTCTTTTTTGTGTGTCTCTTTAATCACATTTCTTGATGCTTAAACTTCAAAGGCTGTAGGGAAAAGAAAGAATTATTTTTCTCACCCATTATTAGGTCATGGCTGAGACCCCTTTAACAAAAAGCAGATAAATAAGAGAAAAGCATATTAATTTCTTTAATATATGTTTCACATGACACAGGAGGCTTCATAAGAAAATGAAGCCAGAAAGAAACAGGGAAACCTATGTGTTTTTATGCTTAGGTTTAATAAAGAGTGGGCAGTGATGGGGAAGTATGATTGGACAAATGGGGCATGAACCAATAGTGTTAAACTGGGGGAATCTTAGAAAGGACTGTTTGGATTCTTATCTGTGTTTTTCTGTGTCTTCAGAGATAAGAATGTTCCTTATTTCTAGGTATAGGAGGGTACCTTTTAAATAAAGGTTTTATAACCTGCCACAGGGGAAATGGTAAGAGAAAGTCAGAGAATGGCCTTCCTGGATTTTGTGGTCAGCTTCAGGGAAGAAGTTCAAGGGGAAGGTGAGAGTGACCTTCCTTCTGCTTCTATATTGTCAAATACCAATATAACATATTTTGGGGTAGCACTTCCTGGGCCCCATCAGGGCCAAACGGTATATTCTAGCCATACTATATTTTGTTAGTTTCCTATGTACATTGTCCTCTTTCTATTATCTCTGGTTTATTTCTTTCAATTAGAGTATATGCTACCCCATTTTCACTACATATTATCTGGTTAGTATCTATATCACTTGGGTCTTAGTTCAATCATCAATCTACATTCCCCCATCACAGCACCATCCAAATTTTATTATTACTACTTGTTTAATTGTCTATTGATTTCATAAAACTATCAAAATGATAGAGACATGTTTTATTTTATCAGTTCAACCTGTTATTACTAGAGGCCTCTCACAGTACCTAGCACACAGTAGGTCCTTGATACTATTAGATGAATGAATTATTTAATTACTGTGTTTCAATTGATTTCAAAGCACATATATTTTAACACCTCTGAAATCAGAGTACTGCTTATGTCTCGGGATCCTTAGGGTGTCACTTTTCCAGGTGGAAACCTCTGTGTCCAGTGGCACCTATGCCCAAGTTTTGCTCAGGCCCACTGGGCTCATCCCACCCACTTGGTCTTGCAGGCTGCACTCAGCTTGCACTATCAGCCTGGATCCCACACCTGCCAAGGGCTAGCCAGGTGCAGAGTGGCAAGGGATGGGTGAACGAATGCAAGGTCTGGCCACTGCGCACAGCCAGGCACACTGGCTGTGGCAGGGCAGGCAGCTCCAGGTGCTGGCACAGCTGTTGGTTCTGTGCGAGACTGAAGGTAGAGTAGACATACCACAAGAGGCTTCTGTTGTGGGCACCAGCATCTGGTCAAGGGGAACACAATGGTGCCTGAAAACTCAGAGATGCCAGGAAATGCAGAGCCCCAAAGAGGGTGTCACAGACTTAGGTTGGGGATCCCAGAATTCTGGGTTCCCAGAGAAGCCTCAGCACTTCTCTCCTTCTCATTGCCTGAAGCATAGAAAATCAGGGTTGAGGGGATGTTTCAGCCCTGTTTGTGTTACAGCTCTTTCAGTCCCACCATTCAGTGGGTCCCGAATCCTTATCCTGTGTCCAGGAAGAATGAAGTATGTGGACACCTGCAGGATGAGCAAGGTAGAGAGGAGCTTTATTGAGCGACAGAACAGCTCTCAGAAGACCCACACCGGGTAGCTCCTTTCTAAGGGCAGGTCATCCTGATGAGTCCAGGAGACCTGAAGTGGGTAGCTTTTTCCCACAGCTGGTAGTCCCATTTGTTGGAGTCTGGCTGAGTCTGGGGTTTTTATGGGCTCAGAAGTGAGGAAGTGCCTGCTGATTGTTCCATGGGCAGCCATGTGTGGGCCTGGAAAAACACCACAAGTTCTCACTCTGGGCCATGGACTCCACCCACTACTGGCAGCCTGGGCCCCAGGCTTCGAGTCTTCCCTGGCTTGACCATGGGGCTTCACCAGGGACCTGTTCCTTTCAACCCAGGATACTGTCTTTCTCCTGCTGCCATAAACATGCCATCCATGGTGCCCAGGCTGTTCATGCTAAGGGGTGCCTACAGGCCCTGCCAAGCTGCCCTCAGTGTCCCTTTGGCCTCTCTTCCATGCTCATTGGCACCCAAAGTCCAAAGCAGGCTGAAGCAGCAGGGCCATGGAGTGTCAGGGCACCCTGAATGTGTACACATCTGGCTGGGTTGTGACAGCACCTGGGCTCAGCCTCCGCTTTGCTCTGAAATTGGAGCAGGAGCAGGGAAGAGTGGGAGCAGGCACTTCCAAGACTATTGGGGAAGTAGGGCTTCCCAGGACCCCAAAAGTGCAGGGATGCCCGGGTCCAGAGTTGCCTCTGGGTGGCTGCAGCTGCACTAGGGAATGTAGAAATCCCACCCCACCAACTCAGTAGGGGGTGGGGCTCCTGCCCCATTGACTCCATGGAGCAAACAGCCCTGGCTGTGACTCCCCCGCTGCAACTGGCTGCTCCTAATGGGTGGCCACCATCACTTGTCTATACTGACCTTGTAGCTGCATCAGAACACAGGGGCCCCACCAGTGCATAGTTATAAAATCTAGACTTCTAAGGCTCAGTGGGCAGGAAGTACTGGTCTTCTTGTCTGAGCTATTGCTGCTAAGCTAGTACTCCCTCTCCTTGGTCTCTAGATTTTCCTCAAGAGTCAGACTCCAGTTGGCAAACCCCAGTTCTGACTGTGGGAAAAAAAATACCTAGATGGTCACATAGATATTGGGCTTCACACTCTTCTTTACCCTACTCTTGTCATCAGCCTACTGCACAAATGAGCCCACCTTGAAATTTTCAGAATGATTGTCAAGATGAGAAACACATCTAGGTCTTCTGAGTCCAATTTAGACCTCACATACATCATTGTTTTCATTCCCATGCTCTTCACGAAATGTTCATACTCTTCAATGCATTTTGACAGTATGGACTGTTATGTGACAAATAAAACCCCTCGTTCTTGGCTCAGGGAAGAAGCTGAAGCTTCTGGGATTAGTCTTGTTTTGAAATGCTCGAAAGAGTAGCTGTCAAATGAATCTTAATATTAACAGAAAATGTATATATCAAAGTAGTGAAAATTTTTAAGGTAAATTATCCCCTTTCTCACCTCACCCAGACATAAATTCAGTCCTAGATTGGTCCAACAGAATTTGCAGCACTCTGACTCACTCACATGCTGCTCTTCTCCTTCCCCTCCAGTCCACTGGTTTCCCTGCTGTTCTGACATGTCAGTCACGGTTCTGCCTCAGAGCCTTTGTCCTGATGCACTCTCTCCTCAGTATTCCTTCTACTCGTGGATATCTCAGGGCTCACTTCTTCTTCATCTTCCTCCCTCATACTTCACATTCTCAGTGGGCTTTCCTAGCTACATTATATTAAAGTTAAACACACCTCCCTTTCTTGCTTTATTTTTTCCCCTAACACTCATCACTATTGGATATCTATACATTACTTACTTCTTATTCATTGGCTATTTTCCTTTACTAGAATGTTAGTTTTGAGAAGGCAGGAAGTCTTGATCTTAGTCTCTGCATTATCCTTGGCATTTTAAGCATTATCTGATATATAATAGGTGCTCAAAAACTAGTTTTTGAGAGAAAGAAAAATTTTCAAAACATTTTAAGACTCAGGACAACCACGATATTCAAGTCCATAATTTTGAAAGTTGATAAAGGGATTAAAGTGGAAAACATATCTAATTCAACAAGCCCATTCTCCATGACTAAACTTACTAATTTTATACATTGAAATTCAGGGTAACATTCATTCCAAATGTATCTAAGGCTTTCAATTAAAAAATGTTGGACTCACCCTTGGTATTTTCAAAAATTTCTGACACTGTGATCACAACCATAAATTAAATTCAAAGAATCATTAATTTATTCACTTGTTCATTCTTTTAATGTAGGGTTATAATGGCCTCATGGTACCAACTAGTCAGTTTGACTTATCATGAGTCACCTTATCAAACAAAACAATAAATAGCAAATACAGAATTTCTGGTCTTAGGTTCCAGAACTTTACCACACAAATAAGGCAAAATAAATTTTGGTTATCTTAGCGCAGCCTATTTTCTCTTTTTTCATAATGTCAGATATGCTTCTCTAAAGACCTTTTCGACATAGAAATCTTCTAACTTTTTTACCAGGTGTTCTACTAAAGGATAGAAGAGAAGTATGCTTCTCAGATTGGCAGAAAGTGTGCTGCGTTTCACAGCTTACACATGTATACAAGCCAGTGTCCACACTGATGGTTTTGGCTGGTTTCTTTTCTAACTTTAATTATATTATTATGGTTCTTAAGTTTTTACTATGAAAGCTCTCCCTGTGTTTTCAAGTAACATGGATACATGTAAACATTTTCAATCAGGTCCAGTTATGAACATAATCTCCATGGCACAACTGAATTTAAGTTAGAGTGGTGTCGTGGAGTAAGGAAAAATAAAAGGTAAGAAAGACAAATGAAAATTTATTTTTAATGTTTTCTGAGAAACTTTTTGTTCAGACAGGATTCATTTTCAGGGAGGCTCCAGTAGGTTTTGAGGGAGAGTCTGACAAAGTTTCTGGTGAGTGAAGAACAGTTAAAATTTAATCAAGCGTATTCAGGCATCCCTGGCTGGATTCTAAGTGGTTATGTAAATCATTAAAAGAAGTAAGGCAGCAGAAGAGATAGGGGGTAGATTTCAGCATAATAAGTCAGTCCTAGATAAGCATATCTATATTGCAGATATATTTGTTTCACCAATTTACAAAAATCTTTAAAAAGCTAAGCAGCATACAATTTCATTAAGACTTTTACTTAAGAGTATGGATAAAAAGCACTTACACAAAACAGTTCTTTAAGCTTACTTTTCCATTTGCACATGGAATTCATTCACAGTAAGGTGATTATACAATGACACACGTAAAAAGTAAAACCTTCCATTCCAATAGATGAAATTTTAATTACTACCAGCTAGATTGAGATGCTGCTCCAGTTCAGGGAGTTAAGAAATCAGCACAATGCTGTTTATGTTCTCCACAACATATGATGCGGCAGTCATGTCTTTCTATTATCTATTGTTTTGGAAAGTGATTATGCCAGGAGCTATGCAGCTTGTGGGAAAAAACTGAAATGCCCCCACCTATTTCTAATTAAGATTAAGAGAATCTTCTGTCATGTTGACTCATTTAGGCATAAAATTACAATTATTTTGACATTAAATTCTCATTATTGTATTTCCCTTGTGTGATCTTTTTACAGATATTTGTGGAAATGCTGACTGACAACAATCTTTTCTTAAATACTATTCCCTTGTCTACTTTTCTTTCTTATCTCGATGTTCATTCCTCCCAACACTAACTCCACCCTCTTTTCTGTTATGACCTTTGAAATTTCTGTAGGAAAGAACCAAAAACAAAAAGAAGCACAAAATTATTATTTCCCCACTGGTTTCTGTAAAAAGAAAAACAAAGACAAGAAGCAATTGGTAAAATTATTCTCATACTAAATAGGTTTCTGAGAGCCCATTTCAGGTGTGGCGAGGCTGCAGTGACAGCAGGAAGAAGCATTTGCAGTGCTCTGTAGTACTGAGCCCTGGCAGCTGCGGCATCAGGGTTCTGTTCAGTGTCCTGGCAGCTGGAATGTGGTCTGAGGTCTCAGATACAGACAGACCAGCCCAACCTCTCACCTTCAGTTAACATAACCACTGAAGCCACCACCTCAGTGCTACAGGTGGCCCCTGGAGCAGTTAAGTTCACCTTTCTAATAATGTCCTGAGAGCTTGCTCTTTTCTGCTGCAGCCAATCTCCCCGAACTTTTCTGTCCTTTCCTCTCCGGAAAAGCTGACAGGCACAACCTTGGACAATGGAACCTTAAAGGAGGCATGCTGACTTCATTGTCTCTTTTAAGTGTCCCTTTTGAAATGAAGTAAGTCAGTCCACAGTAATCATTATAGCTCCCTCTAGGATGGCACTGCAAGGTCAGCTCTGCACAGGAGTCCTGCACTGGAGCATGAGAATAAGATAAGAATATTTGACTTCAAACCTCCTGGCGATTTTCATTAAAAGATAAATCTACCTCAATCTATTTTGAGACTGGGTTTTTTATAACACAATAATAAAAGGTCAGTGTAAAAAAGACTTCGTTTCATCTACCATATTTTTTCTACTGCTCGATCTACTCTATAAATGCGTTTAGCAAGTCTAAAGGCAGTTGGAAAGTGTGTAGCATGTGGTAGCTTTGCAGCCGGGTGAAATATTGCTCAATCAGGTTAGAAAATTCAAGATCTGACTCTCCCAGAGTGATTGTCTTTGTTCATTTCTGAGAACACAGCAAAAGTCATTGTACTCTCCATCTGAGTCTGTTAGTGTGAGGTGACAACATGATCGAGGGCTGCATTGTGTGAAAACACAATGAGCAGCAGCATGTCACCTACTATTTCAAAACTATACTTCAGAGCACCTGAGAGTCTGAGAGATCCTGAGTAGGTCATTTTAGTGAGAAAAACCTACCTTCAGTGGGCAACATGTCTTAGAACACACTGCTTATCCATGCTTTAGGGTTAGACTGTTCCTTGCAGAAGGTCTTCTGCTGCATGGAGTCAAGTCAGAAAACAAACACTCATATAGGAAGGGTGTGATTATCCCTGGTGGGGTAACCAAGAGGCCACATATTTCCTGGAATGACATATAAAACCTGACAGCATTTTAAAATGAATTAATTTCTAATATTTTAAAATACTTTAATCTGTAGGAAATACAAATTGTGATTAAAATTAATGTATAATAAAGCACTGGATTTGAACTAAAGAAAGATTTGTTGTTATGATAATGGTATCAATAAAACTAGAAGACGAATAGCCTCAAATGCAATCATTAATATTTATTTCAGGTCTAAGGGACCTATTTACCTTTTCGTCTCTGTCTCACATCATTTAATTTTCTTCTCTTTTCATGAATTTTTGAATTATTTCTTCTCTCTACTTTTTTTCCATACCAATTCCGTATTCAAAAAAAAAAAAATTTTCTCATGCATCCATGTATTCCTTAAGCTCCTATAAAGGTTTATAATAAGTCAATTATAAGCTTATTACAGGTATATCTGATTTTGTTCCACTCCATTTTATTGCATTGTGAGATACTGAATTATTTTTCAAACTGAAGGTGGGTGACAACCCTGTATGGAATAAACCTGTGGGCACCATTTTTCCAATAATATATACTCACTTCATGTTTCTATATCAAATTTTGGCAATTCTTGCAATATTTCAAACTTATCATTATATTTGTTATGGTGATTTGTAATCAGTGATCATTGATGTAACTATTCTAATTGTTTTGAGGCACCAAAAACTGCACCATGTAAGAGAGCAAGCTTAGTTGATAAATGTTGTGATGTGGTATATATTCTTACTGCTCCACTTACCGGTTGTTCCCCAGCTTTTGTTCCTCTACTCTGGCTTCACTATTCCCTGATCCACAACAATATTGAAATTAGGCCAGTTAATAACCCTACAATGACTTCTGAGTGTGGAAGTGAAAAGAAGAGTTTCAGGTGTTTCACTCTAAATCAAAAGCTACAAATGATTAAACTGCATGAGGAAGGCATGTCAAAAGCCAAGATAAGCTGAAAGCTAGGTCTCACGCACCAAACAATTAGCCAAGTTATGAATGCAAAGGAAAATTTACTGAAGGAAATTAAAAGTGCTACTTCAGTGAACACATAAATGATAAGAAAGCAAAACAGCTTTATTGAGTATAGGGAGAAAGTGTGTGTGGTCTGGACAGAAGATCAAACCAGCCACAACATTCCCTTAAGTCAAAGCCTAATCCAACACAAGGCCCTAACTCTTTTCAACTCTATAAAAGAGGTGAGGAAGCTGCCAAAGGAAAGATGGAAGATAGCAGAGGTTGGTTTAGGAAAAGAGCCATCTCTATAATACACAAGTGCAAGATGAAGTAACAAGTACAGATACACAAGCTGCAGCAAGTTATCCAGAAGCTCCTACTAAAATAATTGATGAAGGTAGCTATACTAAACAACAGCTTTACAGTGTAGATATAATAGTATTCTATTGATAGAAGTGCTATCCAGGACTTTAATCGTTAGAGAGGAGAAATCAATGCCTGGCTTCAAAGTTTGAAAAAACAGGCTTTCTTGTTAGGATCAAATGCAGCTGGTAACTTAAAGTTGAAGCCAGTGCTCATTTACCATTCTAAAAATCCTATGGCCCTTGAGAATGATGCTACATCTACTCTGCCTGTGCTCTATAAATGGAGCACCAAAGTCTGGTTGCCAGAACATCTGCTTACAGCACATCTGTTTACAGCATGGTTCACTAATTTCTTTCTTTCTTTATTTTTTTGAAACTAGGTCTTGCTCTGTTGCCCAGGCTAGAGTGTAGTGGTGTGATCTTGGCTCACTGCTACCTCTGTAATCCTCCTACCTCAGCCTTCAGAGTAGCTCAGACTACAGGCACATATCACCATACTCAGCTAATTTTTGTATTTTTTTGTAGAGATGAGGTTTTACCGTTTTGCCCAGGCTCGAACTCCTGGGCTCCAGCAATCTGCTGGCCTCGACCTTCTTCCAAAGTGCTGGGATTACAGGTATGAGCCACTGTGCCCAGCCAGTTTGCTAAATATTTTTTTTAATTTTTTTTAAATTATACTTTAACTTCTGGGATACATGTGCAGAACGTGTAGGTTTGTTATATAGATATACACGTGCCATGGTGGTTTGCTGCACCCATCAACCTGTCATCTACATTAGGTATTTCTCCTAATGCTATCCCTCCCTGAGACCCCAACCCTCCAAGTGGCCCTGGTGTGTGATGTTCACCTCCCTGTGTCCATGGGTTCTCATTGTTAAACTCCCACTTATGAGTGAGAACATGGAGTGTTTGGTTTTCTATTCTTGTGTTTCCTGAGAATGATGGTTTCCAGCTTCATCCATCTCCCTGCAAAGGACATGAACACATCCTTTTTTTACGGCTGCATAGTACTCCATGGTGTACATGTGGCATATTTTCTTTATCCACTCTATCATTAATGGGCATTTGAGTTGGTTCCAAGTCTTTGCTATTGTGAACAGTGCCACAGTAAACATACATGTGCATGTGTCTTTATAGCAGAATGATTTATAATCCTTTGGGTATATACCCAGTAATGGCATTGCTGGGTCAAATGGTATTTCTGGTTCTAGATCCTTGAGGAATCACCACACTGACTTCCACAATGGTTGAACTAATTTACACTCCCACCAACAGTGTAAAAGTGTTCCTATTTCTCCACATCCTCTCCAGCATCTGTTGTTTCCTGACTTTTTCATGATCGCCATTCTAACTGGCATCAGAAGGTATCTCATTGTGGCTTTAATTTGCATTTCTCTAATGACCAGTGATGATGAGCCTTTTTCATATGTTTGTTGGCCACATAAACGTCTTCTTTTGAGAAGTGTCTGTTCATATCCTTCACCCACTTTTTGATGGGGTTGTTTTTTTCTTGTAAATTTGTTTAAGTTCCTTGTAGATTCTGGTTATTAGCCCTTTGTCAGATGGATAGATTGCAAAAATTTTCTCCCATTCTGTAAGTTGCCTGTTCACTCTGATGATAATTTCTTTTGTTGTGCAGAAGCTCTTTAGTTTAATTAGATCCCATTTGTCAATTTTGGCTTTTGTTACCATTGCTTATGGTGTTTTAATCATGATGTCTTTGGCCATGTCTATGTCATGAATGGTATTGCCTAGGTTTTCTTTTTTTTCTTTTTTTTCTTTTTTTTAGTATTTATTGATCATTCTTGGGTGTTTCTCGGAGAGGAGGGGGATGTGGCAGGCTCATAGGATAATAGTGGAGAGAAGGTCAGCAGATAAACACATGAACAAAGGTCTCTGGTTTTCCTAGGCAGAGGTCCCTGCAGCCTTCCACAGTGTTTGTGTCCCTGGGTACTTGAGATTAGGGAGTGGTGATGACTCTTAACGAGCATGCTGCCTTCAAGCATCTGTTTAACAAAGCACATCTTGCACTGCCCTTAATCCATTTAACCCTGAGTTGACACAGCACATGTTTCAGAGAGCATGGGGTTGGGGGTAAGGTTATAGATTAACAGCATCCCAAGGCAGAAGAATTTTTCTTAGTACAGAACAAAAGGGAGTCTCCTATGTCTACTTCTTTCTACACAGACACAGTAACAATCTGATCTCTCTTTCTTTTCCCCACGCTTCCCTCTTTTCTTTTCGACAAAACCGCCATCGTCATCATGGCCCGTTCTCGATGGTTGCTGTCTCTTCGGAGCTGTTGGGTACACCTGCAGAAAGGCTGTCACTTCACACTTGGAAGATTGCACAGCGGCCAGGCAGAGGCTCTCCTCACCTCCCAGACGGAGCGGCCGGGCAGAGGCGCTCCTCACTTCCCAGATGGGGCGGCTGCCAGGCAGAGGTGCTCCTCACTTCTCAGACGGGGCAGCCGGGCAGAGGCGCTCCTCAGTTCCCAGATGGGGTGGCGGCCGGGCAGAGGTGCTCCTCACTTCCCAGATGGGGCAGCCGGGCAGAGGGGCTCCTCACATCCCAGACGATGGGCAGCCAGGCAGAGACGCTCCTCACTTCCTAGACAGGGTGGCGGCCGGGCAGAGGCTATAATCTTAGCACTTTGGGAGGCCAAGGCAGGCGGCTGGGAGGTAGAGGTTGTAGCGAGCTGAGATCATGCCACTGCACTCCAGCCTGGGCAACATTGAGCACTAAGTGAGCGAGACTCTGTCTGCAATCCTGGCACCTTGGGAGGCCGAGGCAGGCAGATCACTCCAGGTCAGGAGCTGGAGACCAGCCCGGCCAACACAGCGAAATCCCGTCTCCACCAAAAATACAAAAACCAGTCAGGCATGGCGGCGCGTGCCTGCAATCCCAGGCACTCGGCAGGCAGAGGCAGGAGAATCATGGGAGCCCGAGGCAGGGAGGTTGCAGCGAGCCAAGATCACAGCAGTACTGTCCAGCCTCAGCAACAGAGGGAGACCGTCGGAAGGAAGGAAGGAAGGAAGGAAGGAAGGAAGGAAGGAAGGAAGGAAGGAAGAGGAAGGAAGGAAGGAAGGGGAAGGAAGGAAGGAAGGTAGGTTGGTTGCCTAGGTTTTCTTCTAGGGATTTTATGGTTTTAGGTCTTATGTTTAAGTCTGTAATCCATCTTGAGTTAATTTTTACATAAGGTGTAAGGAAGGGGTCCAGTTTCAGTTTTCTGCATATGGCTAGCCAGTTTTCCCAACTCCATTTTTTAAACAGGGAATCCTTTCCCCATTTCTTGTTTTTGCCAGGTTTGTCAAAGATCAGATGGTTGCAGACGTGTGGTGTTATTTCTGAAGCCTCTGTTCCGTTACATTGGTCTATATATCTGTTTTGGTACCAGTACCATCCTCTTTTGGTTACTGTAGCCTTGTAGCATAGTTTGAAGTCAGGTGGTGTGATGCATCCAGCTTTGTTCTTTTGGCTTAGGATTGTCTTGGCAATGCAGGCTCTTTTTTGGTTCCATATGAAATTTAAAGAAGTTTTTTCTAATTCTGTGAAGAAAGTCAATGGTATCTTGATAGGGATACCATTGAATCTATAAATTACTTTGGGCAGTATGGCCATTTTCACGATATTGATTCTTCCTATCCATGAGCCTGGAATGTTTTTCCATTTGTTTGTGCCCTCTCTTATTTCCTTGAGCAGTGCTTTGTAGTTCTCCTCGAAGAGGTCCTTCACATCCCTTGTAAGTTGGATTCCTAGGTATTTTATTCTCTTTGTAGTAATTGTGAATGGGAGTTCACTCATGATTTGGCTCTCTATTATTGGTGTATAGGAATACTTGTGATTTTTGCACATTGATTTTGTATCCTGAGACTTTGCTGAAGTTTCTTATCAGCTTAAGGAGATTTTGGGCTGAGACGATGGGGTTTTCTAAATATACAATCATGTCATCTGCAAACAGAAACAATTGGACTTCCTCTCTTCCTATTTGAATACCTTTTATTTCTTTCTCTTGCTTGATTGCCCTGGCCAGAACTTCCAATACTACGTTGAATATGAGTGGTGAGAGAGGGCATCCTTGTCTTGTGCCAGTTTTCAAAGGGAATGTTTCCAGTTTTTGCCCATTCAGTATGATATTGGCTGTGGGTTTGTCATAAATAGCTCTTATTATTTTCCATCAATACCTAGTTTATTGAGAGTTTTTAGCATGAAGGGGTGTTGAATTTTGTTGAAGGCCTTTTCTGCAACTATGGAGATAATCATGTGGTTTTTGTCATTGGTTATGTTTATGTGATGGATTACGTTTATTGATTTGTGTATGTGGAACCAGCCTTGCATCCCTGGGATGAAGCCAACTTGATCATGTTGGATAAGCTTTTTGATATGCTGCTGGATTTGATTCCTAGTATTTTTTAGCCCACTATTGAGAACTACTGCTCAGGGGTGAAAAATTCTTTCAAAATATTACTGCTGACACCTATAATCATAGCATTTTAGGAGGCTGACATGGGAGGATCATTTGAGCCAAGGAGTTCAAGATCAGCCTGAGCAACATAATGAGACTCCTTCCCTAGAAGAAAAATTTTAAAAATTAGCCAGGCATAGTGACACATGCCTGTAGTCCCAACTACTTGGCAGGATGAGACAGGACGATGGGTTGAGCTCAGGAGTTTGAGGCTGCAGTGAGTTGTGATCTTGTCATTGTATTCCAACCTGGGCAGCAGAACAAGACCTTGTCTCAAAAGTCATACATATTACTGCTCATTAACAATTCGTCTTGTCACCAAAGAGCTCTGATGGAGATGTACAAGATTAATGTTTTTATGCTGCTAACACAACAGCTATTCCACAGTCTGTGAATCAAACAGTAATTTTGACTTTCAAGTTTTATTAGTTAAGAAATACATTTTGTAAACCTATAACTTCCATAGACAGTGATTCCTCTGATGGCTTTGGGCAAAGCAAATTGAAAACTTTCTGGAAAGGATTCACCATTCTAGATGTCATTAAGAACATTCATGATTCATAGGAGGTCAAATTATCAGCATTAACAGGGGTTTGAAAGAAGTTGATTTAAACTTTCATGAATGATTTTGAGGGGTTCAAGACTTGAATGGAGGAAGTAAGTGCAAATGTGGTGAAAATAGCAAAAGAAATAGAATTAAAAGTGGGGCCTGAAGATGTGACTGAATTGCTACAATCTCCTGATAATATTTTAACAGAAGAGAAGTTGCTTCTTATGGATGAGCAAAGAAAGCAAATATGCAGTCTACTCCCGGTGAAGATACTGGGAACATTGTTGAAATGACAACAAAGGATTTGGATTATTATTTAAATTTAGCCAATAAAGCAGTGGCAGGTTTAGAGAGGATTGACTCTGAATTTTAAATTTAGAAGTTCTACTGTTGGGTAAAATGCTACCAAGCTACATCACATGCTAATGAGAAATAGTTCATGAAAGGAAGAGTCAAATGTGGCAAAATTTATTGTTACCTTATTTTAAGAAATTGCCACAGCCACAACCAACCTTCAGGACCCACCACCCTGATGAATCAGAAGTCATTAACACAGAGTAAAGACCTCCCCTGGCCCCCACACCAAGTAAAAAATTAGGACTCACAGAAGGCTCAGATAATCATTAGCATTTTCAGCACAGTATTTTTAAATTAAGGTATACACATTTTTAAAGACATAATGCTATTTCACACGTAATAGACTACAGCAGTGGTCTCTAACCTTTTTGGCATCAGGGACTAGTTTCAGGGAAGACAGTTTTTTTCATGGACAGGGGTGGGGAGTGGTGGATGGTAGGGTGGTGATGAAACTGTTTCACCTCAGAATATGAGGCATTAGATTATCATAAGGAGTGCACAACCTAGATCCCTCGAATGCACAGTTCACAATAGGTTTATGCTCCTATGAGAATCCAATGCCATTACTGATCTGACAGGAGGCAGAGCCCAGATGGTAATGCTTGCTTGTCTGCTGCTCACCTCCTGATGTGCAGCCCAGTTCCTAACAGGCCACTGACTGGTACCAGTCCGAGGCCTAGGGGTTGGGGACCCCCAGACCACAGGATAGTCTATTAAGTAAAAGTAGTGTACACATAACTTTTATATGCACTAGAAAACCAGAAAATTTGTGTGACTCACTTTATTGTGGTGATTTGAAGTCAAACCTGCAACATCTCCAAGGTAAATCTATATTTTTAACAGGTCATTTTTTTCTCTGAATGACAACTTCTAGTGGTATCTGTTGTTGGAATCTTGTGGCCCAATTTACAAGGAAAGTGTCACAGTGCCCTTCCCTTAAAGCCATCGCAAGGAGACAGGCCATCATGAGCCAATTTCTACATTGCAGAGATAGACCAAATCAGATCAGACGCTGACACCAAACTAAACATTTTAATATACAAAACTCCATCTTGCTCTGAGAAGACCCCTAAAATCGAACAGATTTATTCATTTTTTATCAAAGTTTATTTTTGGACTTGATGAATATCAACCACATACAGGGTTCACTGCTGGGCACTAAATCCAGGTAAGCTACTCTCTTTCACCTCTTCTCATGCTATATATTCTCTATGGGCAATCTCTTCCATTTGTATGGTTTTAGTGGTGGCCTCTTTATACCTATATCTTTATAATCTGATCGTTCAGTGCAGACCAGTCTCCTCACTTCAAGACACATAGAAATGACTGCCTATTGGCAAATGCAACATATTCAAAGCTAAATATTTTACCCCATTTCTATCCCTTTCCTTCTTTTAATGTTTCTATCTTAAATGGCATACTCATCCACCCATCCAAAATTGAGAGCCATCTATTTTCTTCAATCTTTACAAATAATGAAATACCATTCACTAAAACTTTTAATACCTCCTAAACATATAGATTTTTCTCTAGTCACTTTGCCACTGTTATAGTTCATGATGCTATAATTTTTCACCTGAATAATGACAAGATTTTTTATGATGGTCTTCCTGACCCCACAATCTATTCTCGCATAAAGGCAGATACAAAGACAAAGCTGATTATACCTATGCTTTGCTTTTAACAACCATCAACCTTCTGAAAAATTCAGCCCTACTTGATTTGCCTTGACAAATCCTCCATTATCTGACTCCCAACTGAGATGGGGCAATATCTTTCCTATCTGTTTGTTTTTTCATTCATAAATCTATTTCTACATTTCTAAGATTTAGTTCCTAGACAGAACAAAATTCACTCTTACCTCCACATACTAATTATTATTTTTCTTTGTTTCTGCCTTATCTCTTAATACTATTTATTATTTTTCTATGTTCCTGCCCTATCTCTTTAATTTGACATACACTTGTTCATCACCCAAGACTCAGTCTAAATATCACTCTCATTGTGATACATTCCATTCCCTCCTAGAGTACTTTGTAAACCTCTAGGGTGTTTTTTACCTAGATGATGGACAGGAAATGATCACGAATTCCCCTTTTTGTGTGAAAATCGTACCCAAATCATACTTTCAAATCACCTTAAAGATTTCTTCTAAATAACAAAAAAGAAACCATAATTTCTTTCAATGACTGGAAGCTAACTTTCTTCTATGTGTAATGCTAAGTGCTTTGCATGCACTTTAATTAGTCCTTACAGCACGTATCATCTCATTTTACTTCTGAAAGATCTGAAGCTACATTAGTGAAAAGTGAAACAGGAACTTAAAGGCAGGAAGTTTGATTCCTAAGGTTACACTAGGCTCACAAGTTAGCTGTGCTCACTCACAGTCTGTCTACAAAATAGCACAAAGATAGGAGAGAATAGTTGTGATCGCAAAAGTCAGGAGTCACTCAGAAAAAGGAGGAGTTGTAGGAAGTTGGGAGTCTGTGAAAATAACAAAGAAGACAGTGAAGATGAACCCCCCACTCAGTAGATCACCAACAGCTCAGAGTGAATTCAGCCTGAGAGAACTTCCATGGTAGCTAATCCCTGAGGTGGCCCTCACCTCTCATTTTTACCTTCAGATATTCTGGGATAGAGACTGGCTGTAAGCGTGCAGATCCCTTTTTCGTCACAGAAATTGAGCAATTTCTCAACATGACCAGAGTGGCGCAATGTAAGGGACATTGCTTATGTGGCAAAAGTGGATCCCTAGTAGACACCAGCAAGTGCACTCACCCTCACCTCCATCCTGACATGCACTTTCAATAAGGAAATGGCCTCTCTTGAGCTACCTCTCCCAACAACAACAAAATACAAAGGCATAAACAACACCAGGCCAAGCCAGTACTTACTGATAACTCCAGGCAAAACATCTCCCAAACACCCTGACTAATTTAGGTATATATACATTATGGTCTAACACATATGGCACAATCAATTAACAGTTGTGTCCTAGACAGGCAGATCGCCCCTAGATAGGCTGCCCACTAATGACAGAGCAACAGCATAGAAACGCTAACGCCTCTGAATGTACTGACTACTTTTTTAACATAATGAAAATTCACGAAATATGGATGATTTGGCCATTGAGAATACACTGAAATTCCCAGGCATATTCACAGTCCCAGAAATATCAACTAGTCTGGACTCATTTACAGCCCTTACTGCATCCTAATACTTAGATCGACTCCATCTGTTCTGTCCCAGTATCCTGTGGGCAATGAGTTAAGGAGGAGGCGCTTAGGTCATTCAGAATTCCCAGCAGGCCATATTACACCTTCATGGTTTTACTAGATTTAACAGTAGTGGTTTTTATTGAACATTTCAGTCATTGAACCCACTACCCACCTATTAATCACAAGAAAGCTATGCCTATGTCACAAATATTGATATCTATTTAATCACTTCTGAACTCAGTCTGTGAATTTCTATAATATGTACTGTTAAACATGTCATCTATGTTGAACCTTACATAATACCTTAAATGGTATATAAAAATTGACTGTACCTCTGAGTATTTCATCAGGATATTTTTAAAAAGAATTTATTTATATCTTCCAAATCAGAATTATATCCCAAAACACTTTTTCAAGATTTCTATAACTGGCTTTATAAAAAGCTATATCTGATGCAGATTTTTAATAGTCAACATTAAAATAGAGAATATTAGGGGTTTATTAGTAATTATTTAGACCTGCCAAACAGTATCTTTTATCATGGAGACAATTAGTTATTGTTAAATTTGACATGTTAGCTCTGTATTCCTAGGTCCTAGTGTAATGTCAGGTATATAATAGACAAAAGCATTTGTTAAATGATCAAATGAAGCAATGGTTCCTCTCTCTGGGAGTTTCTACTCCGGATGAGAATATGAAACAATGGAAACACAAAAACAGTACCATAGTAATAACACTAAAACATTAGAGACAAGATTGAACATTGTGGGAGGTAATATTGCAGACCAGGCTGAATTTTAAGTGACATAAACTTGTTTTCAAACCCCTGCTCTGTTACTGAGTAGCTAGGGGACTTCAGGCATATGACATCTCCTTTTGAGCCTTAAATTTCTCATCTGTGAAATGGGTCTAAATGAAAGCACATTAGCTTTCCAAGATATTGCTACTTTATAAATTAAAATAAAATTTGACGGCCAGTAGAAATCATGGAAACTTTTGAAGAATTGGACCATAAACTGAGATTTTAAGAATGAGTAGAATTTCAGATAAATGAAGAGAAAGGAAATGGAAACTGAGTGTAGTTGCAGTAAAGAAAGCAGAGGAGAGAAGAAAATAAGTGCTTATATGAAGAGAATTGTTAAGCTTTCTGATAATATGGGGGAAACATTAAGGTAGCTTTGATTAAATCAGTGGTGATGGTTGTATTGTATTGCACATGTGGATAAGTCAAAGATAACGCCCATGTTTCTAATTTGTGAAACAATATAGAGAGTGATATAATTCACTGAGGCAAAGGACACCAGAAAAGAATCAGATTGAAGAGTGGTAAATCAAGAACCCTGTGTATGGTAAGTTGAACTGCTGTAACTTTTTTGTGTTAATGTGTAATTATTAAAGAACCAGTTGAATATTGAATGTACTGATCTGGAGCCGAGAGGTTTGAATTAGAGATGTGGTTGCTATTCAGCGGGGAGAATCAGGAAGCAAATTCACCAAGGAAAAGGTATTCTCCAAGTGCAACATGATCAGAACAGGCTGGAAGCCAGAAATATTACATAGGATGCACATGTAAAGCTTACGGATGGGGAGCTGAAATTTTAACTGGAACCAAGAGAGATATGCTGCCAAATAAATGAATTGAGAAATCTTTAACTTAGTAGCAACATTTAAAGCCATAGAGGTATATACAATGTATAAGAGAGAAAACATAGAAAGGGAACAGAAACTTGGCAGAGGGCCCCATTTATGGAGCAGACGGCAGAAGAGAAGCTGAAACAGGAAATGAAGAAAGCATGAGTCACTGGGAAGCAAAACTTTAAAATGCAACTTCAGAAGAATCAAAGGAAGATAGTTTTAAGATAGCCCCAATAAACATTTAAAAAGTACCTCAGAGAAACCAAAGAAAAGAGCTTAGACATACCCCATGAAATTAGCAATTTTATCATACTTGAAGGCAGTGATGGAGTCTATAGTCAACTTGTAAGTAATGTGGGAAGTCTATAGATATTTGTCAAAATCTTTACTGGTTGTTTTCCCAAGGATCCAAATTCTTCCTTTTAAACAGTATGTCTTTATCTCTGGAATCAACATGAGAATATCAGAAAAACAAAATATTCTCTTTTAACATTTGTCATAATAATGTATATGCAGGACAATACGTTATAAGCATTTATATTAGTTATACATGTTACCAGTTATCTGAATTACATTAAAATTAGCATCTCCATTTCCAGGTGGATATTTTAAGGCCAAGGAAATGTCAAATGACTTGCCTTTTGTTCTGGTAAATCAGAGAAAATGGGCCTATCACTTAATGTTAATAGCACTTGGAATGCCTTCCAATTTATTTTAATTAAGGTCTTCATTTTCTGTGCATTTTTATATAATTTATTTTAAAATAATTTATAGCAAGGGAAAATTGTGATTTATTAAGAATAATCAGGACTTAATTCAGGCTAATATAACAGAATACCAAAGACTGGGTGGCTTAAACAACAAACTGTTTTTTTTTTGTTTTGTTTTGTTTTGTTTTGTTTTTGAGATGGAGTCTTCCTCTATTATCCAGGTTGGAGTGCAGTGGTGTGATCTCAGCTCACCACAACCTCCGCCTCCCAGATTCAAGCCATTCTCCTGCCTCAGCCTCCTGAGTAGCTGATTACAGGTGCGTGCCACCATGCCCAGCTAATTTTTGTATTTTGAGTAGAGACGGGGTTTCACTATGTTGGCCAGGCTGGTCTTGAACTCCTGACCTCGTGATCCACCTGCCTTGGCCTCCCAAAGTGCTGTGATTACAGGCGTGAGCCACTGCACCCTGCCAAACAACAAACATTTATTTCTCACCATCCAGAGGCTGGGAGGTCCAAGATCAAGGTGCTAGCAAATTCAGTGTCTAGTGAAGGCCTTCTTCCTGATTTTCAGATGACTGATTTCCTGCAGTATCCTCACATAGTGAAGAGAGAGGGAGTGAGCACTCAAGGTCTCTTCTATAAGGGCACAAGTCCCATTTATTAGGGCTCCACCCTTATGGCCCAATCACCTTCCAAAGGCTTCATCTCCTAATTACATCACATTGTGGGTTAGGATTTTAACATATAAATTTGGCGGTGATACAAACATTTAAGCCACAACAAACCACAAATAAATAAATGCTTCCAAACTTATTAAGAGCATTCTTCTCTCCTTTAAATTAATGTTGACATTAGAATTCACTAAAGGAGACCAAATTTTTTTTGTATTCTGCTGTTGTGACTCAGCAATACATACTTCTTCAATCAGCCTCTCTTGTATGAGCCTTATATTTCACAAACAATGGTTTGTGAAAGAAGTGTATATAATATATATAATTATGGCAAAGAAACATTGTGATTTGTTAAGAATAATCATGTCTTAGTTTAGGCTGCCGTTACAGAATACCATAGACTGGGTAGCTTAAAATATAAATAATATATATTTTTGAGTAAATGCATCAGAGACATTTAAAAATATTTTAAGCTTTAGGGTAGAGTTGTGGTAGGGAAAAGTTTGTATTTCTTTACCTGTGCCACTGCATCTTCAAAAAAAAAAAAAAAAGGAACTAAGTTATATATATTAAAGGAAATGTGTCACGTTAGTAGACCTAATTTCCTTTTCTTGATGCTTATTATCGGAATGGATTATTGCTTAATGAAAATTTTTAAAAAGGGGACCTCCTTCTACCCTGGGAATTTTTACAACATTTTGAAGAGCAAAGCTTAGTTTAAAAAGAATTTCCTTTGAATTTAAAAGCTGTTTTAAACATTGAGCACGTGCATTTTTATATGCATTTGTAGGCAAATGTCACACTTTCAGGCTTTAGCACCCTCTGGCCTCTACCCACAATGTCACTCTGCATGCCTCAGAAAACACAAAGAAGTAATGCCACTGGATAAATAACTTGAAGTGAGAGACCCTGTTCATTGCTGTGAGAAGCCAGCGATTTGTTTGACTCCTGCAGGGACCAGCCCTACAGGGTCCATGGGTCTCTCCCCGTGTGCGACGATGAGAGAGTGTAGAAATAAAGACACAAGACAAAGAGATAAAAGAAAAGACAGCTGGGCCTGGGGGACCACTACCACCAACGCGCGGAGACCAGTAGTGGCCCCGAATGTCTGGCTGCGCTGTTATTTATTGGATACAAAGCAAAAGGGGCAGGGTAAAGAGTGTGAGTCATCTCCAATGATAGGTAAGGTCACGTGGTTCACGTGTCCACTGGACAGGGGGCCCTTCCCTGCCTGGCAGCCAAGGCAGAGAGAGAGAGGAGACAAAGAGAAAGACAGCTTATGCCATATTTCTGCATATCAGAGACTTTTAGTACTTTCACTAATTTTCTACTGCTATCTAGAAGACAGAGCCAGGTGTACAGGATGGAACATGAAGGTGGACTAGGAGTGTGACCACTGAAGCACAGCATCACAGGGAGACGGTTAGGCTTCCGGATAACTGCCGGCAAGCCTAACTGATGTCAGGCCCTCCACAAAAGGTGAAGGAACAGAGTCTTCTCTAAACTCCCCCAGGGAAAAGGAGACTCCCTTTCCCGGTCTGCTAAGTAGCGGATGGTTTTCCTTGACACTTTTCGCTACCGCTAGACCACGGTCCGCCTGACAATGGGGGTCTTCCCAGATGCTGGCGTCACCGCCAGACCAAGGAGCCCTCTGGTGGCCCTGTCCGGGCATAACAGAAAGCTCTCACTCTTGTCTTCTGGTCACACCTCACTATGTCCCCTCAGCTCCTATCTCTGTGTGGCCTGGTTTTTCCTAGGTTATGATTATAGAGCGAGGATTATTATAATATTGGGATAAAGAGTAATTACTACCAACTAATGATTAATGATATTCATATATAATCATATCTAAGCTCTATATCTGGTATAACTATTCTTGTTTTATATTTTATTATACTGGAACAGCTCATGTCCTTGGTCTCTTGCCTCGGCGCCTGGGTGGCTTGCCACCCACAGACTCCTTGCTCTAGCAATAACATTTCTCTTGTCACCAAGCATCAGTAACATGTAAGGTCTATCAATAAAATATAATATGATGTTTGCTTCAAAAATGCACAATTTTTATACCACATTTTTGGATCATCTTCATTTTATCATTCTCTTAAACCTCCTACTCACTTTCCTTCTTTGAAATTCAGTAATTTTATTTTTTATTGTCCATTTTGGATATTGATTTTTTTAGATCTTCTTTTCTTTTGTAATCGGCTGCCATTTTGACCCTTCATCCCACCACCACATACACCTTCTAAAATTTGATGAGCTCTGTCCTATGTACCATCCTCAGAAAGTTTCCTTCATTACACCTATATCTAAGAAAGTAGATCATAATATTTAAAAATATGTTTTTTCGATGTTGCACCTTTTTGTGGTAAAATGGTTTAATAATGATTTTTAACATTTTCTTGCAAAGATAAAGGAGAGTCTTTTATCACAATGTACAAATTGCTTATATTCAAGAACAGAATTTACAGCATCTAGAGTAGGACTCGAGGAATCTCTCTTCCCACTTAGACTCTATCCTCTCATCTACCCTGTCCCCGGAAGGCCCAGCTAATATTGCCTGACCAGTAAACTATGAAAACAAAAGTGAATGAGTCAATATATTTCATTAAGATTCCACTCAAAGGGCTGGGTGCGGTGGCTCACGCCTGTAATCCCAGCACTTTTGGAGGCCGAGGCGGGCAGATCACGAGGTCATGAGATCAAGACTATTCTGGCTAACACGGTGAAAACCCATCTCTACTAAAAATACAAAAAATTAGCTGGGTGTGGTGGCGGGCGCCTGTAGTCCCAGCTACTCCGGAGGCTGAGGCGTGAACCTGGGAGGCAGAGCTTGCAGTAAGCTGAGATCGCGCCACTGCACTCCAGCCTGGGTGACAGAGCAAGACTCCGTCTCAAAAAAAAAGAAAAAAGATTCCACTCAAAGAGAATTTCTACCTTGGGGCCAGTGTAGTTCAAGGTTGGGCTGATGATCTTATGCTAATTTCCTATTTTCTCTCCATCTATGTGTACTTTAAATCCTTTAAAATGTATGAGATGTAAAGTGTAGGAGAAATAAAAAGAAATTATTTTGCACACAGATGGTAATACATATATATGTACCATCACCCCCCAAGATATGGTCCTAACATAAGTGGATCCCAGAGAGGTCTGGACACTTTTGAAAATGATGAAGCCATAAATGGTAGTGAATAGAGCATGCGAGTGAGTATTGTGCCATATCTTCAAGTTTGATTTCAGGCAAGCAAATACAACCTCCATGGTATGAGCCTCAGAATTCCTTTTGGAAGCAGAAATCCGAGCAAGATTACAGATAAAAATGACCCTCCATTGGCTACCCAGTGTCACTGTAGTGCCTTGGTTAAAATAGGCTGCCAAATCACTTCAGGAGAGTTGTTTAATTCCATCCTGATCAAATTTTACAGGTCTGTGATTCAAATTATTCCATGTTGTCGGTTTCAAGACTTCATCAGGAATGAATTTGTTCTGCTTGGAGTCCTTAGTTAGTGTTTGAGAAAGACCTCTGTGATTAGCCAAATCAAAACCTTTCAGCTGCGGCAGCAGCCACATTCAGACTGAATTTCTGCAGCTGACTTATCTAACAAAACATTATCCTCTCTTTAATCAAAGGCCTAAACACATGATTTTGTTACTCACTTTCAGTAAATAATTGAACTGCGAGCAAACTGCAGAATGTGGAGGAGCTACGAAGAGACACACCCTATCCCCACTCCCCAGGTGGGGGTATCTCTTCATTGCCACTCCACATAAATCCTCTCAAATCCTCTCAGTCCTCTCAACCCAGCTACTCATTCAGGGTGACAGAAGTGAGGCCTTTAGAATACTTCTGCCAGGGGAGCAGCTGAATGCAGGCAATTCAAATGTGTGTGAAAAATCTTAACAGGAGCACATCAGGGAAGTCTCTGCCTGACCAAACAAAGGCACATCTCCCACATTTACCAGCCAGAATCTGCTTTAGGTTAATTGTTCTGCATATTGCAGGTAGCTTATTTCCTGGGGCTTCCAGGAGCCACAGCTTCTTTCCACTATATGCAGAAACTGGTGGAGCTAGGAAGACACTGGGTACATTTCCCAGGGTCTTGAAGGGGATTCTAAATAGCCATCTTGTTTTTTCCACAGACTTTCTTTTTTTAAAAAAGCTCAATGACTGGCATCTCTCCTAGCTTAAGCATGCACACAAGTATAAAATTCTGATTTCTTGTTTCATGCATGGATAGTTGTTTATTGTTATCATTTGCTGGTTGGCTAAGCTCATTGATGACTTTAGAAGGCAAGCAAGTACCTCTAGTTTACAGCTGAGTACCTTGGCTGGTGTGGAGCTGTACTGGATGGGAGCTTATTTGGATGTCTGGTGTTTGTTCACGGTTATATGATGCTCTTACTTCTGCTTCAAAAACAGCAATTAATCAAGACATCTGACAAGTACTCTAGGATTGCTTTAGAACATCTAGCTTCCCAGCATCACCTGCAACCCTTCCACAGCCCCTAAGAGAGTAATGTTTCACTAATATTGCAGAAAACGCATCTGGACGATAATCCTGTGGCAACTCTACTCATAACTGATATTTTTCTTCCTAAACATGCGTATTCTCTGCTTGATTCTTTTTGTGACAAACAGCAATTAGTTGATTTGATGTTAAAGGTGAAGTCTATGACATTCAGATAAGATAAAAATGAGAATACTTAACGAGTGTTGTATTATTTAATCTTTATAACTATGAAAGATGGGTACAGTTATCTTTATTTTATTATTGAAGAAGTAAAGCACAAAGAGGTTAAAATACAGCTGAAAACAATACTGTATTATTAGCAGACGTTTTTTCTCCTGTTATTTCCACCTTAATTTTCCAAACCAAGCAGTATATTCATCACTGTTTTAGGATGAGATTTTAGTAAAGAAATAGCCAGTCTCTGGCTTTTGCATGCCCCATGCCTAAATTTATTAATACAGTGTTTGAGGCAAATATTACAATAGAAATAGTGACTTTTAGGGAGAGAAAAAATATCAAAATTTAAAAGAAGGAAAATGCCTTCCCATCTCCCACCTTCTAACCCCAACCCCTGGCTAAAGGAAAATTCTCCCACTTTAGATATCTGTGCTTACGTGATGAGTAAGAAATAAAGCTAAAGGGGAAAAAAGATGAAAGTGGTCCTGAGTTGAGACTATTGCTTCCTCAGAAAAATGAAAGCGATAATTAATTGCTAATAGACTTGTGTTGTGCTTGGGACCACAGATAGCCTAGGAGAGAGTTTCACATCAGAGGTGACAAGCAGAGATGAGTCAAATTCATTTAAATGGGAATAACAAGATGAATGATTTTGCATGAAGAAGATGTATGTTAGGTGTCCCTTTTGTATTTGTAGAACTAGTGATGAATTTTGGAAGAAAGGTAAGTTTTAATTTAGAAATACTGAGTTTGTATGACAGCAACTCCTCCAGGATAAAATATCAAAGAAGCAAGTTGAAATGTGGTACTGGGAATTAGCAGAGAGAGCCAGACTAGGGACATCATTTTAAGAGTTAAGCATAAAGATTATGGTTAAAGTCATGAAAAATGATAACTGAAAAGGCACTTAATATAAGCAGCAGTCATGTTCCAGTTACTATTGTATTCCTAATTTCTTTTTTTAAAATTACTTTCATTTATTCCTTCCGTAATGTTCTTTTTTAAATTTTTTTTAATTTTTATTTTTTATTTTTATTTTATTATTATTACACTTTAAGTTTTAGGGTACACGTGCACAATGTGCAGGTTAGTTACATATGTATACATGTGCCATGCTGGTGTGCTGCACCCATTAACTCATCATTTAGCATTAGGTCTATCTCCTAATGCTATCTCTCCCCCCTCCCCCCACCCCACAACAGTCCCCAGAGTGTGATGTTCCCCTTCCTGTGTCCATGTGTTCTCATTGTTCAATTCCCACCTATGAGTGAGAACATGCGGTGTTTGTTTTTTTGTCCTTGCAATAGTTTACTGAGAATGATGATTTCCAATTTCATCCATGTCCCTACAAAGGACATGAACTCATCATTTTTTATGGCTGCATAGTATTCCATGGTGTATATGTGCCACGTTTTCTTAATCCAGTCTATCATTGTTGGACATTTGGGTTGATTCCAAGTCTTTGCTATTGTGAATAATGCTGCAATAAACATACGTGTGCATGTGTCTTTATAGCAGCATGATTTATAGTCCTTTGGGTATATACCCAGTAATGGGATGGCTGGCTGGGTCAAATGGTATTTCCAGTTCTAGATCCCTGAGGAATCGCCACACTGACTTCCACAATGGTTGAACTAGTTTACAGTCCCACCAACAGTGTAAAAGTGTTCCTATTTCTCCACATCCTCTCCAGCACCTGTTGTTTCCTGACTTTTTAATGATCGCCATTCTAACTGGCGTGAGATGGTATCACATTGTGGTTTTGATTTGCATTTCTCTGATGGCCAGTGATGGTGAGCATTTTTTCATGTGTTTTTTGGCTGCATAAATGTCTTCTTTTGAGAAGTGTCTGTTCATGTCCTTTGCCCACTTTCTGATGGGGTTGTTTGTTTTTTTCTTGTAAATTTGTTTGAGTTCATTGTAGATTCTGGATATTAGCCCTTTGTCAGATGAGTAGGTTGTGAAAATTTTCTCCCATTTTGTAGGTTGCCTGTTCACTCTGATGGTAGTTTCTTTTGCTGTGCAGAAACTCTTTAGTTTAATTAGATCCCATTTGTCAATTTTGGCTTTTGTTGCCATTGTTTTTGGTGTTTTAGACATGAAGTCCTTGCCCATGCCTATGTCCTGAATGGTAATGCCTAGGTTTTCTTCTAGGGTTTTTATGGTTTTAGGTCTAACGTTTAAGTCTTTAATCCATCTTGAATTAATTTTTGTATAAGGTGTAAGGAAGGGATCCAGTTTCAGCTTTCTACATATGGCTAGCCATACCTGTCACTTCACTGATTGGACTCATTGGACAAATGTGTGAAAAGAGCGGCTAGAGAAAGAGGAAAGGAAGTCAGAAATATTGGAGAAGAACTAGAAGCATAACATGTCAAGAAATGAAAACCTCTCAAAGATATCAAAATCTCACTGAATTTCAGGATAATCTTCAAATTAAAGGATATAGATTATTTTAGACGTTTCCAACCTGGCTACATTTTCACATCACTTGGGGAACTTAAAAAGGAACACACAAGCAAATCAAATCAAATCAAATAAAGAATATCTGGTCAGACCACTCAAATCCACACTTCATGCAACTGATTACAGATATCAGTATTTTAAAAATATTGCTCCTCAGTTGTTTTTAATGTTCAGCCAATAAAGAACCACTGGATTCAATGAGCTTTATGACCTCTTAAATCATGGAAATTTTAACTTTTAGAAAATTTTTAAGTACTTGTTACATGTCAAAATATTTTTTGACTTTTCCAAAAAACATGAAAAATATTGACCTTGACTTTTCCAAGCCTTCTTTGTCTACATCGTCTTTAATCTCATCATTATCCTTCTGTTATCCAAAGTCATTTTTGACCATTGTTACTTCATCTCCTACATCCCATCAGTCATGAGATCTCACTGCTATGTTCCCTTCCTTTATATTTTCTTTGTGACAGCTGTGGTTTTACACTACATGCCCTCTTGCTGTAGTGTTAATAATTTGTGAAATGATCCCTTTAATTTGAAGTGTTGGCTGCTGCACTCTATCCCTTTCTTTGCTACCAAACTTACCTTCCCAAACACAGGTCAGATTGTGCCACTCCCTGCTTGGAAACCCTTTATGGATTCCTACGACTTAGAGAATGGACTCGAAACTCTGTAGTGTCCTTCATTAATTAACTTCAACCACCCATTCCGGCCTCAATTCCTGCTTCATTCTCCCCGCTCCCAGCGTTCTAGCCTCTAGAGTACCTGCTCCGCAAGCCTCAATATACACATTAACTCCTCATGTCTCACAGATTCCTTCCTCCCTTTCCGTATCACAATGTGAACTTTTCAAAACAACTTGCTCAAAACCTACTTTCAGGAAACTTTTTCCTTCTCTAGCCAGAATTAATTCCTCCTTTTGCACTACCCTCCTGTCACGTTGTATCTATATTACAGCACTTAATACATTATGTCTTACTTTATAGTTAATTGCTTTAAACTTCTTTCTCCCACACTAGATCGTGATCCCTTGGAGGCTAGCTGTCAAGTTTTACTATCTTCCTATCTCACATTTCATCTAGCACTGTGCTTTGTAGAAGTAGTTACTTAATATGGACTTATTTCTTTGACTTGAACTGAATTGATAGCTTTATACTAAAGATTTTTTTTACATAAAACGTTAAAATAAATAAATATGTCCTAGGAACCTAGTAAATACTTTTCCATACTAAAGGTATATTGACATTTAATACTACTGATGTGATTCAGTTTCCATTTTAAGCATATATTATTGTTTTGCAGTTATGAGAATGTCTAATAAACAAGTCAATAAATTTTTGTTTTTTGTTTTTCATTTGACCCTGTTTATCTGTCAAACAAGAAGCAATTTAAAAAAAAATCCTGAGGGAAATGATAGTGTATCTAACAAAATTGCCTTTGTTCTTTCGGGATTTAAGGTAAATTGTGTTTGTAAAATCAGTTTGGATTTAGCTTATCTTTTTGTTAGAGCTAATGGATTTCTCTTTCTATTTAATAATTATGGTAAAGACTATTTCTGAATAACCATGGGCTTAAAACATCTAAAATGAAGCTCTTAAAGTTTTGCTCCCTACCCTTTTAATAATACGAAAGTCAAAATTGCTCTCATTGTGTTGCCTAGGTTGTACCATGCATTAAGAAAACATTCTACCAGAATAAACACTAAATTACTTTTCTAGCCACATGCCTTCTGCTTCACTAATGATCCATTCTGAGGAGCTCTAATCAGTTATTTCTTCCCTAGGCATATAGGTGACATAATGCATGGATAGAAGCTATAGTTATAGTGTTCATTTTTTATTTTTTCCAATGATTTACAGGAAATCACTTTTCTAACTTGTCTGAAAAAATACTTTATTAATAAGCCTTTCTAAATCCAAATTATAATCTATATTAAAGACAAAAATCAAACAGTTCTCATTATTTTCCCTTTCTGTATTACAAAGCGTTTCTTTTCTGGTTTGCTAGCTTCTGTTATTTTGTCCATGCTGTTTCAATACAAAAACTAAAATGTAATTTAAAGTTACTGTCAATGAATTAATATGCACTTTTTTGGTGAATAAAAAAATGCAAATATATGCTGCCATTTTAGAATATAGAAATGCATTTTAATGGGAATTACAATATTATTTCAAATCACATGAGGTTTTTGGTAGTGGTAGTAGGCAAGATGAGAAATGCAGTAGTCTCTTGTCAGACAGGACATTAGTTTTTTGCAGATGTATGCTGCAAACCAGAGACCACTGAAAGGCTGTATAAACAATTACACTCACTTTACCTGTTCTTGTAAATGACTAAATTGTTATACTAAGAAAAACAATATAATGTCCATCATATGTGTCTGTTTTTTGGAGGGAGGAGGCTATTTTTTTGTATGCTTGTCCACTATTGTCCTAAAGGCTACAAAGATAAAAGTTGTATCCAGCATTTTTCCTAGTCTGTTTTAATTCTATCAGTCTTTCAGTCTTTCCTATGTATTTACTTATTTCTGAACAAGCTTATTAAGAATTTGTCTGCTCTATCACAGAACACCTTTCCTGATCATCCAAATACATAATAGCACCCTGTGTATTCCATTGTCTTTATTTATTATTCTTCCTCCCACTTATAATTGACATTATTTTGCATATTTTAATTTATTTGTTTATTATGTATTATTGATCAGAAGGTAACCTACATGAAAGCAGGACCTTTATCAGTTGTGTTCTTCATGGGATCCCCAGTACCTAGAACAGCTGCTGCCACAGTGCAGGTGCTCCTTAAGTGTATACAGAGTTTTGAATGAGTGAACCCTATGTATAACTTTTAACTCCAAAAACAGTAGGTACAAGTTTAAATAATTTGGTAAACTTCAGAAAGTTTCAACCTTCAAAAAGAAAATGTCCAATAGTTCAATAAAACATTGTTAACAAATCAGTAATATTTTAAGATTAGAGATAGTAATAAGGATTATGCAACTTGTGCATAATTATTTAATCAAAAAGCATTATTTGGTGTCTCTTTTGGTCCTCTTCTATGCTAGATTATAAAGATACAAATGTGAAAAATGTATCACCTTTATTCTTGTGAAGAATATATCTCCTGAAGAAAATCATATTCTAATAAAGAAATGTAAGTAAATAATCTCAGTCCTGTGATTAAAGAACAAGCAAAATAAAACCAAGGGAATTATATAAGGAAGGGTTGTTCAGTGGGAAGTGTAATTGACCCTTTAGGGGAGGTCATCAGGGAACTATAACAGAGTAGGTGAGTCTTGAGCTGCAATGTGTGGTTTCCTCTTCTATTTCTTCTGGAACCCTTTATGGTGAGAGTGGGAAAAAAATCATAATTTTGCAAGTTACTTTGAACAAGACCACAGATTGCGGGAGTCTTTGTTACACTGACTCTAAGTTCATATAGAGATCTAAAACTTCACTTAGAGCTAATGAGTCCACACATAAAGAAACATTTTAATCTTTATTAATATTATTAAATTGAGTAGATTTTGACACAACTACTACATTTTTCACATTTGTATCTTTATAATCTAGCATAGAAGAGGACCAAAAGAGACACCAAATAATGCTTTTTGATTAAATAATTATGCAGAAGTTGCATAATCCTTATTACCATCTCTAATCTCTAATCTTAAAATATTACTTATTCGTTAACAATGTTTTATTGAACTACCTGGGTTATTGGAAGTTTTAAAAATCAGCTGAAACTGAATCTGTTGATCAATAAAGTTACTGCTAAAACATAATGAGTAAACGTTCAAGAGGCCATCTACTCAATAAATAACTGACTATGTTTTCAAGAAATTAAAGCTCATGTGTCTTTCTCTATTTGGTTCAAATGGTGGCCCTTTGTCCATTGCAAGCATATGAGTAGACAGACACTTCAGAGATTCTAGTTTTTTAAATTAACCTACTGTGAGTCCTTAGAAAAGCAAGTAATATCTACGTATTCTCTTTACCTGTGCAGGGGAAGGAAGCGAGCAGTTATCTCCTCTATAAGATTATTCTCTATGAAAACTGCATCTTATTATTCTTCTCATTCCCATCACAGGAGAGTATTACTACCAAATCATCTTTGCTTTAGTACTGCATCTTGGCTAAACACTACCTAATTTAATTGTATTTAATTTTAAAACATCTATAGGAATAAAAATGTGTGCTTTCTTTACTCTTTATGATAAAAATAACTAGTCTAGGTGGTTGAAATTTTAACTGTAGGAATATAAAACTAATTTCCAGCATCTTAGGGCCACTACTTTCCAATGGCCATGAGAAGTCATTTAGGAGTTTTAATCAGAAAACTGAAAGTTAAGGATAAATTACAGAGGTCCAAGCCAAAGGAAGCTGAGCCAAGTTTAGGGTGTGCTGCAATCTACCTGATGTAGATCGTGACAATGGTTTGGATGAGAGAATTGGTAGCAGGAACTGTAAGGCATAATGAATTTGAGAAAGAAACTAGAGGTGGATTCAACAGGGATTTGAAATTGATTTAACAGAGTAAAGAGAGAAGAAATGTTGAGAAATCAAGAATGATATCTTAGTAGCTGACTTCAGGACTGTAAACATGTCAAAGGAAAACGAGAGGGAAAAACTGGTTTGGAGCAAGAAATGATTTAAATTTTGAAATTTTTGGATGTTAGGTTTCTAAGAGTCATTCACATGGCAGTAGTTAGTAGGTAGCTATATGTATATGCACATGTAGAACTAGAGCTCAGCAGAAGAATCTGTGTTGAAGACAAATTAGGAAATCAATACCCTTGATGTTACATGAAGGCTTGGGACATAATGAGTGATCTAAAACAGAAAGAATCTCATTGAAAGAGGAAAGCTTACCTGTGATATAATCACAATGATCACCATTATATGTGTAAAAACAGAAGATTCACTAAAGGTTATTGAGCAATGGAAGGTGGGCAAAAATTTTAAGAGAAGGGAATGTTTTTGAAAGCACGGAATGTTCAACAGCATCATAAGCTACTGGGAGATGAAGTAAATATGGACCTGAAAATAGGCACTACATTCGGAAGCAACAAGACTGTAACCATGGTAATAACAGTGTCAGTGTGGACCAGAGTAGTAGAGATACAAGCAGATTGAGGAGAGTTTATGGAACACAACAAAATGGAAACAGCGAAAGTCCCAGCCATTTTCTGGAATTTGACTGTAAGTGGAAAGAGGAAAGATGGCTGGAGAGAATACATGGAACGTAGACTGTTGTTTTGGATTAAAGAGGCTAAGGCATATTCACATGGAAGGAGGCAGTAGAGATGGTGAAGCTGAAAAACAGGGAAGGGATAATAAGATTCTTGTGACAATGTTCCTCAATTCAAATTTTAAATCTGGGTAATGCTACATAATCTATTTCCCTTTGGGACATATGTAATACATAATACATAATGACATTTTAATAAAGCAAACTTCTGTGAATTTAGAAGTAAATCTGTCTTATTTTATGTATTCTAGGTTTTCTCAAACTAATTTCATCAAAGAGCATCTTTTTCTTATGCAATACTTGTTAATTACTTAAAGAAAGAGAATTCCTGTTTTGGAACTTTGTGGTAAGACAGGGTTCCTAGCTTAGGGAGAGGCAGTAATGGGATTCTGTGCTCACATAGGAGGATTCATTTTAAAAGTAGGATAAATTGTCCCAGTGTGACAGGATAAAAGAGTTCGATGCTACCTGGTTTATAAGCTTGATGGCAATAAGTTGATAAATTCTATTTATCTCTTAATTTTAAGATTATGTCCTAGCAACATATACACTAAAGTAAACTCACAAATACATAAACTGAGCTACAAACATACAGACCAACACACAGACATTCACATAAATACAAATCATACGTAAACTTACAAACACTAGCACTTAACATATATAAATTCACATAAATGGAGACACTACATAATATTCAGATGGAAGAGGATTACAGTTTATAAAAAGATTATTGAAACAATCTCTGAAGAGAACGTCAGAGAAAGCTGAGTAGAATTTCTTAGCATTGTTGAGTCCCAAGTAATGTAGAGATCATAATTTATATTGACACTCATCTGCTTCATAGTGCAACTTCTGCAGTAGCTTTAAATAGCTTCTTTTGTGGAAAAAGAGAATTCATAATTAGGACCGATTTAAGATCAAGGTTTTCCAGGCTGTGTAAAGGAGAAAAATAAGGTGAAAGAATTGAGCATATTGGTAAAAGAAAAGTTGAAGTATTGCACAATAAATCTGACAGTGTAAATATAACATTAATCATAATTATGATATGCAAGATCCTCAGTAGATCTGGAACCCCAACTCAGATAATCTGGTTTCAGGTTTTGTGCTCTAGAGAAGACTGGCCAGACCAAATAGTGAGATAAATTGCCTGCATGTCTTGATGGAGTCAAAGATCAGCTACAGTAAGAGACACTGAATAAGAAAGATAGAAAAAAAAGGATTTTGTATTAGGTAATGTAGTATTTGAAATTATGAATTTAGAGATGGAGTTGAGGTGACAAGATCTAGATTTGGGCCCTAGCAAATGGATGGTTGGAGTACAAAGGAGATTAATGTCACTGGAGAGGAGATTAAGAGATTGTAAAGCTAGAATATTGAGTAGGTCATCTATACAGCCACTGGATTTACCTACTATTAGAGAGAGAGAGAGCAAAGAAGACAGTGAAATCTAGAGATTTCAAGGAACTGCAGGTAGTTTGGTGGCAAGGCAAGGTAGAGAATATGTAGCTAGAAGAGTGGAATAGCATGTCATCCATAAGCTGAGAATTGTTTTATATGAAAATAGGTTTTTTTGTAAAATAATGCATGATTATCATTACAAATTCAAACAATGAAGAAAATCACAGAGAAAAAGAAATTAAAATCTAATCACATGAAATTACTATTATTAGTATGTTTACATAATCTCTTCTAGCATGACTACAGTCACAGAAGCAAGGTTTTTCATGAGAGTGGAGGAGTTCTTATCAGGATGTGGAAAATGAGGAGAATGTCAAAGCCACATTCCAACACTGAGAAAAATGGGTTGTGGGAAAACATATGTCTGCCTGAAAGGGGAAATAGTGGCTTAAGGAGATAGCCATTGCCAGATAAAGGAAAGAAATAAAGATAATGTTCTTTTATTAGAGAGTGATTGTGATGATGTGATGTTTGTTAATCACAGAATGTAGATTTCAGAAGTCATAAAAGACTGTTTGGAAGCAGGACAGCTGGTAACAGATGGGTCATGCTAAAGGGAGTGTGCAACTGCATGGACAAAAATGTGGCCAAAGAAAGATGATACAGGGATTCCATCTCAGATGGCAACCGAAGAACACGCAGCATGGCAGAGGAGGCTGATGCACAGCTAGCAATGCATTTATTCCAATGACCACTTCAGAATCTGGTGGACACACAGGCCTCTCAGGATTGAGTGGCAGAGGTGGCACTCATTTATTCTCTCATTCACTCAAAAATAGGCTAAAACACCTAGTATGGCCAGGAACTGAATTCATCTCTAGTGTATACACTGATAAATATGAGAGACATAGTCCCTGCCCTCAGATTGAACAGAATGGCAAAATAGTATGTGTTTATAAATGATAATTGAATGTCTGAAAGTAGACAATGTACAAAGAAATATGTCCCCCCATAGAAAAATATGAGAAAAATTTTCAGTGAAGCAAGAACTGTCCCAGGAAAGGAGCAATACACTTCAATCGTAGTTTTCAGATAAAATAGTTAAAAAGTTCAGCATCTCCTAACTGGTTAACAATTACCTGGACTCTTCAGTTACACAAATAAATTTTGACATATTTCAACTTTAGGGAATTAGCCCAAGAGTGCCCTTGTCTTAAAAATATTAAGAAAAAGAAGATACCAAGTTATATATACAGATATTATATACTTGAATCTTCCATATGTGATTATTAAATATTATTTAATAGACAAGATTCCTTTAATGTAATAAGATACCACATAGTTTCATGCATATGTACAAAAAAGGAGTCACTGGCTTTTTGAGTCATGATTTAATTCACAAAGACACAAAGCATGACTTTGCAAATCTACAGCAAACCAGACCTGACATCAATAGCAATGTCATCATATGTATACCCAGAGAAGTTGCTAATATGTTCAATATATTTATAAATCTCTAAAGACCATCCACAGCAAATTTCTCCTAATAGATACTGTTTCATTTCTGAATCTTTCCTATCTTTCAAAGATAAAAATTATAATATTCTTTCAAAAAGAAGATTCAGTGATTCTGTACCTTTACAGATTCCTCAGCAATTTCAAACAGATTTTAAATACTATTTGGCCCAAAGAAATATTTTGTACTGTTGGCACCATGATTCATAACATAAGCTAAATCTGTAGGTAATATTGTTAATTTTTCTTTTTTATTTTTAGGAGCTGATGAACTGTGGTTGAAACAGTTATTCGTAAACCAAGGAAATGTGATATGCTTGCCAGTGAGGAGAATAAAAAGCTTTTCAGTTTATTCCAGGGCAGCTCTATTACAGGCAGTTATGCTACAAGCTTTAGTAACATTTTTCTGAGAGCAGGCACCACAGGGAGACAGAGGAGTGACAGATGGATAGTGGCAGTTACATTTTAGCACCACAGAGTGAGGGCAATTGTTCACCTTTGAAGGCACTTGCTCCTGTGGCATTGGCTTGAATGTGGTCCCCATGAGAGGACATCACCTGGCTCACCTTAGGCTGTGTAAATTAGAAACATACTATCTAGCAGATGAGCAATAAGGATATGAACAAAACGGTAGCGATGTTTTAAAAATCTAATTTCTGATTACCACTGGCTTGGAAGCTTATTTGTCAATAATTTGATTAGGAACAGCAGGAAATTTCTCTGTGTGAAGATGGTCTGGACTAAACTGCTGAAATAGGTGGCTGTTTTTCCCCTACAGGTGGTTATGTATCCCAGGAATAAGTCGCAGAAGAGAAAATTCTGGGAATAATTCCAGCCAAGGAGAAGAAAAGAATCCCACTTAAAGCGCCCTCTTGGCCGGGTGCGGCGGCTCACGCCTGTAATCCCAGCACTTTGGGAGGCCGAGGCGGGCATATCACGAGGTCAGGAGATCGAGACCATCCTGGCTAACACGGTGAAACCCCGTCTCTACTAAAAATACAAAAAATTAGCCGGGCGTCGTGGTGGGCGCCTGTAGTCCCAGCTACTCGGGAGGCTGAGGCAGGAGAATGGCGTGAACCCGGGAGGCGGAGCCTGCAGTGAGCCCAGATGGCACCACTGCACCCCAGCCTGGGCGGCAAAGCGAGACTCCGTCTCCAACACACAAAAAACAAACAAACAAACAAAAAAGAATAGAAAATGCCCTTTCAGGCCTTCTCCTTAAGTGTCTAATTCTTTGAATAATTATTATACTTTCATTTTTAATTGTTTTTCCTGACACTTATACAGTTAGGATACCAACGGCTCTTCTAAATATTCTCTGACTCATTGTGCAGAAAATTATGACATAAAATGGCTTAATACAAGATGGATGTAAATGAACGATTTAGAACTTAGTTAAAAGTACTAGAATCATTTATGAAGCTTTTCCATGTGTGAGAACTTTCTGGATACAGAAAAATCCCCTTTCCAAGGTATTCTGTTGATGATTAACTTACCTTAAACATTCAACAGGGAAAAAATTCACTTAACATTCAAATTAATTAAAATTTTGAAAGCTGGCTAATTTGTAGAGTACATACTCATTGTTTGCAGAGCAAAAGCTGCAAATTCTGCTTTGCTGAAATGGTTTTCTTTGTATTGTGCATCTTCATGTTTCACTGACCCCATTTTTCATGTCAGCATCACACTTCATTTCTTGCTCATGTGTGCCCACCATCTGAATGGTCGGGGTGAACGGAATGAAGGACTATAGGCCAAGACTTAGAACACGACTTCATCGTCTACTTGCCCAATTCTTCTAAAGCAGGGAGGTAACCAGAGAGCCATCAATAACCTAGACAGCCATTACCTCTCTTAAGAAAGCCTATAATGTATTAGGTGAATCAGAAGCAAATTTCCCTCACACCCCAACTATACATTTTTCTTGGATTCTACTAGCTGTGACATTTTTCCTTAAGAATCCTCATGGTTGTCTAGTCACAGAACATTGAAATCATAAAATTCTGGAGCTACTTAATATTTTTTAAAAACCCTATAATTCATATTTAAGATGTTACCCCCAGAAACTCATGTTAGTTACATCCTAACTGCTTTCTATTCTTAGGAAATTAAATTATTTTACCTCTTAGACATCTTTGGAAAAAAACTAATAAAATACTGAGACATAAATTGGGGAGAAATGTGGTGAAAACAAATTCTTCCTTTTGTAAATAAGTATGAGTCATTTTCAGGTGAGTGTTTTGTCTCTGCACACATCAGACTTACTACCTAAATAACAATTGTTGCTGCTACGGTTTGAATATTGTCCTCTCCAAACCTCATGTTGAAATTTGATTCCCACTATTGAAGGAGGAGCCTAATAGGAAGTGTTTGGATCATAGAAGCATATCTCTCATGAAGAGATTGATGCTCTCCCTCTGGGTGATTATTGCCTTCTCACACTATTAGTTCCCACTAGAGCTGGTTGTTAAAAAGAGCCTGGCATCTCCTCTCTGTCTCTCTTGCTTCCCTTCTCACTATGTGATCTTGCACACACTGGCTTCCCTTCATCTTCCACGTGAGTGGAAGCAGCCTGAGACCCTCATCAGAAGCAGACACTGCTGCGCTTCTTGTACAGCCTGCAGAACTGTGAGCCAAATAAACCACTTTTCTTTATCAACTACCCAGCCCCAGGAGTGAGACAGATGCTAACATATATTAAACACCCATTATGCATCAGGCGCAGTGGAACGTACTTATACAGAATACGTCATGAAGTCCTTCTACTCTGCCAGTGAGTCAGGCACTATTACATGTAAGAAAAAGGAGATGCAGAGAACTTAAGTCATTTTTCCAACGTCACACAGCTACTAAGTGGCAGACAACAGGACTCAAGACCACAGAAGGTTGATGCCAGACTGCACTCAGCTGGTAACTCTTTCCAGTGTCTTTCTCCACTAAGACAATTCTACTGGCACAAATCTCACTAGAAAACAAAAACTAATGAAAGATATAGAAAGACAGAAATAGCAGGAGAAAGAGAAATTATTTTTAGGTTTAAATCCAATCCCAAGGTGCCATTCTGCATCAAGCATACCTAGTAATTGTTCTTTTTCTTTCTTTTTTTTTAAATATAAGAAATTTGTGTTGAAGCAGGACTAATTATCTATCTGAAGTAATTAATTGCATATGCCATTTAAACTGAAGAAAATATATTAAGAAGAAAAATTCACTGTGGCTTTTGGAGATAACTACTTTCAAAGAAAAAAAGTCAGATAAACATATCCTGGTACAATTTCCAACTGCACAGCTATATGTTGTTTCTGAAGTAATACAAATCAAATAAGATCAGCAATAGTGATTCCATTGAGGAAAAACTCACCTTTAGAATGGAGGAATTTGTGTATCGCTTATGCTGATTTAAGAGTTATACACATGAAAAGGAATCCCCATGGTGTCTGATCTAATCTTGACACTGACAGCACCCACAAGATCGATTGTCATTCGCAGCTCAAAGCTACTGCCTGGGGAAGAACAAATGCTTTGATAACTCATTGTGTCAAAGAAAAAGATTTCGCGGTGTGAAATATTGATTAAAACTTTAACGTAAAATTGGTACGTTCTGAAAGAACCTTGTAAAGGGAACAAAGCGAATAACAAAGAAAATCCAAAGGGCACTTTTTAAGATTGTTTTCAAAATGTTGATCTTTAAAAAGAATCTTGTGAAAAAATGTACATTACATTTTAATATCTACATCAATATTTTTTTTTCACTGTGGCAATATGCTTTCTTCATATTATTGTTATTGTTTTATATTTTAAGGTCAAAGTGCACCACTGTGGTTTTTTTGGTTAATAAAAGAAATGCATTTGAGCTCTAGCTTTCAGACTATTATTTCTCTCAGTACAAACAAGATAAGGGAAAGTCAATAGTGCCAATAGACATTTTATAGTCAAGGAAGACCTGTGAGTTTATCTAACCTTTTCAATCAATAAACATATTTATAAAATACTATAATGTGCTCACCATAATTTTTGGAGAGCTCCTATTATATTAGAGGGTGTGGGAAGTTATATAATATTCTAAGTAATGGCAAATTGGGGCCCCAAAAGTGATTATATTACTAAGAGTGTTTGAGAAATGTTTAAAACGTGAAAAAGTCACCCTAGATAAATCATATTTCTTTTAAGAAAATGGGGGTGGAGTGCAAAGAAGGTAAAAAGAAGGGTTAAAACAGGAGGATCATACTGAATCTCAGCTAAATTACCGTAAGCTCTTCAGACAAAGGTAAGAGCAAAGATGTGTGTGTGTTGTCAGACTACCTCATCTGCCTCCTTCAAATGACTTATCACTCAGTCCACCTACATTTACTGTGCACCTACTCTGATGACTGCTATAAAAAAAAAGCAAGTCTAAAAATATGACTCCTAATGATTTGATTAAGCGAAGATTTCTAACGAAGTATTACAGTGCATAAGGTTCATCTGAAGATATATGTAATATTTTAAGAGGGCGTGATGAAATGGCAAATTATATGAGCACAGTGCCTGAAAAATAGTAAATGATCAAGAAATATTAGTTGATAAAAGTGTAGGGACCACTGAAGATCCAAGGATATGGGTTGGATCCTACTTCCTTTTCTGACACTTACCTTAGTGTGAGACCATGAATTTGGGGATCTATTTCTCCATTGCCAAAACCAAACGAGGAGCAAAATACTTCAAATGATGGATTCTAGCTCTCTAGCAATATTATTATATGAATTTTGAAAAGAGAAGGGTGTTTTAGATGAAACAAAGGGAAAATGATGGCAGTACTAAAGATGGAGGTCAGACACCAATTGAGAAAGGCAACTAGGTTGAGGCTCTCAATTCAACTCCTGGATTCAAATCTTGTGCCTACCACCAGCAGTGTGATCTCGGCAGGCAACTTAGACCCTGCATCTCAGTGTCTCCAGTATAAAATAGGAAGATAATTATACTTCCCTTATTGAGTTAATGGACAGATTAAGTGAGCACATTTAAGGTGCTTAGAACTGTGATTGGAACATAACACATGCTCAAAACATTTTAGATGCTGGTAAAAATGGCTTAGGTTTATAGCATCCTGGAAATTCACATGGTTCTCTGATTTTAATCTGGTAAGTTTGTAAGCATAAAGCAATTTTTCCAGGAAGGCACATAGCCCTAACTCAACTTTGTCATGATAGGATGGTTCCTTTTTAATCCTCTTGACAGGGCTACCGGCACAGAAGTAATGTTATACTACTTGCAAAATAAAATTAAGAGATGTATATTTAGCTCATTTATTTAAGGAGAGTCACTGTTTTACCCTTCTTCCTTTCCATTTCTGAAATGAATTTTTCTAAAATATTGAAAAATAAAGACAAACTATAAAGATTTTCCTTTAGTTGTTTTAAGATCTTTGCCTAGTTATTTCACATGACATTATAGAGATAGTCATGTCTGAGAAGTGGGGTGCAACTCTCGAAACACTCTTTTCTTTTAACTTAGCCTTTCAAACTATTAGTCTTCTTTGTCCTTCAAATCATTTTATATTGCATAGCCAGACAAATCCAATTATTTTCTTAATGCTGAGGTCTGTGACTAACATTCATTCCTTTGGGATTTGGTTAGAAACATTAAACCTGCATGATGTATAATATGAAGCAGAGCATATTTACTAGCTGTGACCTTTATCATCCATAGCATCAATAAGCAGTTTAGACAAAGTCGGGGAAAAGGTCAGGTTAAAGATAAAGAAGCTGGTCTCAAAGAATGGCCTTTAAGTGATATTTAATTTAATTGTCTGTTTTATCTTAAAAATTATGGAACCTTTCCCCTTTCTCCATAACCTGTGTCCTACATCTCCCATTCTGTGATTCTAACTACTGTACAACTTTGCTTAGTTGTGCTTTTAAAATCATTTTTTAATCAATTTTGCTACATGACAATGATACTTTCTGATGTAATAGAAAAAAATATCTTTTTCATTAAGATAATTAAGAGTGTGATGTGTGTAAATGTATAATACGTTTAATATTTCAACCTTTAACTTCCCTTATGTTCAGCATGTCTTAGAATGTGTTGTTAGTACAACTAAATTACCCATATATTTAGCTATCCTACTGCAGTTTATTTACTCAACCAGTAGTTATCCATTTGTTTTAGAGTACTAAGCATTCACTCTCTAACACTTTCACTTGTACCTCATGTTAGTTTGACTCCTTTACCTAGCCGACCTTGTTTTGACACAGTTGTCACAAATGTAAATGTTTATAGGAGCCAGGCAAATACAATTAATGCCCAAAGCAGGTGTAAGATGATTTTTTTTTTTCTTTGAGACAGAGTCTCACTCTGTCACCCAGGCTGGAGAGCATTGAGGTGATCTTGGCTCACTGCAAACTCCGCCTCCTGGGTTCACACCATTCTCCTGCCTCAGCCTCCCGAGTAGCTGGGACTACAGGCGCCCACAACCATCCCGGCTCATTTTGTGTGTGTGTGTGTGTGTGTGTGTGTTTATTTTTAGTTGAGACGGGGTTTCACCATGTTAGTCAGGATGGTCTCAATCTCCTGACCTTGTGAAACGCCGCCTCAACCTCCCAAAGTGCTGGGATTACAAGCATGAGCCACCGTGCCCAGCCAAGATGAGTATTTGTATGTGTTAAGTTATGTTTTCAGGGAGCCATATAATACAACGTGGAATTAATATTATTTTGCAAAGTATAGCGTATACTTTTTGAGTGATAATGTCCTTTTTTTTTTTCTGTGAGCAACTGATCTGCTAGATTTAGATGAGAAAAACTTATGCCAAGCTCTTACAACTATGTCAGAATTTCCTCAAAAAAATTGTCCATGTGGAATTCTGGCCTGGACCAGAACAAAGCTAGCCCAATGTCTAGGCTCTGTGATTATACAGCAAGACTCTTGACTCATTTGATTTTTGGAATTTTACACAGCAGAAATGGGCTCTGTTCACTTTTCAGGCTAAAAGAGTACATGATTTTGGTTAATATATGTTAATGCTTCAAACCTCCACATACTGAGTTCCATCTTACAGAATACATTGCGGCATCCACAGTAAGTTCATTGCATAGAACCCATGGAAAGATTCCCAGGTGCACATCATCACTAGGGGACAGAGGCCGTCTTAGTGGATGGCCTTTAAGGATCTTGATCTTACTGTCCACTACATCACTCTTGCCCTCACAGATTTTCTTTTTTCTTTTCAACCAAATCGTTATACTCAAATCTTTATTTTTTTCCAAGAAAAAATAAAGTACTCTAAATCTTGTTAACAGACAGGATTCTAGTAGCAAATGATATAAATAAAATTTTAAAAATAGATACATAAAAGGAATAGTCATAGTAACCTTGAAATTTATTTCAGGGCTACACCAAACTTGTATTTTATTTAATTGTAATTTCTTTGTTTTCTCTTTTTATTTTATTGTATTCTTTTTTTAAACAGAGGCAGGGTCTTCTTATGTTGCCCAGGCTGTTCTTGAACTCCTGGGCTTAAGGGATCTTCCTGCCTCAGTCTCCCAAAGTGCTAGTATTACAGGCATGAGCCACCATGCCTGGCCTTTAATTTCAATTTCTATCAAAAATTTAGCATAAAAAAAGTCTTTACAGAAACAAAAAAGCTTTTGAGACATGCTAGTAGGTGTTTAATTTATTGTGGTACCACTGCGGTTAACTTTACCCCCCCACAAAGTATTTAAAAACAGTTGCTGACCCAGAAAAATGCTCCCCAACCTCTGAGCGATATGCATCTGCTCTCACTGCACCAACATTTTATTGTGGTCCCCAGTAGTGTTGTCCCCAGGTGAATTTTTTTTTGCAGCATCCCAATTTACTAATTCTTAATTAGTAAATTAGGATTTACTAATAATTTGATTTTTAAATGTATTATAAATTGACCCATAGGGAGTATAGTGATTTATTAATGAAGATCTAGAATAATAGATATAGAAATGGTACTTATTTAGTTTTTGTTCAATCAGTGCTTGTGAGGTATCTTTATACTTTGTGTAAAGTGAATGAGAATCACCCCAAATCATTGTGTCAGCATCATTCTGGTACCCTAATTGCAAACAATTCAACAAAAGTAATGTTGCGCTGAAGAGAAAGAGTGATACATGTCTGAGCCCCACTCTTGGAACCTCAGCCTGGTCAAGGCGCAACATGGCCTCATATGTGCAAGTTCTGAAACACCTTGGGGCATGTGTTTCACTTCACTGGTCTGATACACAGGCAGAGAATGAGAGAACTCCTGGAAGGAGAGAAATGGGTTCAGAGCCCACACATTTTTCCAGTTCAGCCTCTGGATAAGGAAACAGCACTGCTTTCTTCAGCCCCACCATGTCCAAGATACCAGCACTGGGAGACATAGAAAATTTCCAAAAATGCAACTCAAAGTCACAGCAAAGGCATTGTTTGCTATGGTCAGAAACTATGCTGGACCTCAAAGAAGATCTAACTCAAATCATCCCTGAACTAGATTTTATTCACTACTGCTCAGTGGACACAAACTAACTGAAAAATAAAATCCGCTGGGTAAACTACCATTCTAAAATGATCAAAACAGCCAGACTTGAGTTTTTCTGTTACCAACTGCCTCATCCTAACTCATTTCTATACATACATCTCCTAACTTGCTCTCCACTGTCAGACTGCTCTCCTTTTTCTGTCTAGGTTCATCAGGAACCTGTATCTTAACTGTTGCTGACTGTTAGGACAACTTGTCTTTATAAACAACACCTTTATGTTCCCAGTCTTCCCAACACACTGGCACTGGCATAAGTCTGACTTTCTCCTTACCTATTGGCTTTCTTCCTCCTCCCTCTTAATATTATTAAATTTTACTTTCCCTATGTCTGGTTCATGATTATCAAGAAGCTATTTAATCTGTAGAACAGGTTTGTGAACATGTATTGGGGAGTTGGAGCAATTTAATGAAATGAATTAAGACTTCAGACGTAAATAGACTAGTTTTGGCCGGGCGCGGTGGCTCACTGTGCTCAAAGTGCTGTAACCCCAGCACTTTGGGAGGCTGAGGCAGGTGGATCACTCGGTCAGGAGTTCGAGACCAGCCTGGCCAACATGGTGAAACCCTGTCTCTGCTAAAAATACAAAAAAATAGCCAGGCATGGTGGCACATGCCTGTAGTCCCAGCTACTCAGGAGGCTGAGGCAGGAGAATCACTTGAACCTGGCAGGCGGAGGTTGCAGTGAGCCAAGATCGCGCCACTGCACTCCAGCCTGGGCAGCAGTGTGAGACTTCGTCTCAAAAACAAAAAAAGACTACTTTCAAGTGCCTGCTTCCTGTGCTTCCGTAATACAGAGAATGCACACACTTTGGGAGTTTTATACATCATAAATGAGATGGCTGAAATGACTAGCAATAGTGTCTGGCGTATGACTATTATTTTAAAGCTTAATAATCATTAGAGTGACATGAGTCTGTATAAAAGTATCTTTTGTGGAATCTAATAATATAAAAGACCAAACCCTTAGAAAAAATGTGTGGTCATGTTAAAGGGTAATTGAAGATGAAATAGAGAGGACAAACTTGGCTGTTTTTGCTTAGAGGCACGTTTACCATCATATTCCCCATCCTTGTCTTTCCTTGAACACTCGCAAAGTTGCTTTGAATCAATGACTGCAGTCAGACTTGGCTTTTAAAAAATTTTAGTTGCATCAAGAATTCCTCCTGTTCTACCATATTGTTCCCCCTGAGCTGCCATGATGTCTGAAAAATCTCACTTGTGAAGCCAGTATTTTGAGTTAATTGTAGTAGATGCTTCTTTCAATCCAGGGAAGTTATTTGAGTGGGATAACACATTAAACCATTATCATGCCATTAGTCTCTTGAATGAATTAGCTGTCACAGTACACAGAGTAAAGCCCCTAGGAAAAATGAAGGGCAAGCAGTGATGAAGAAAAAAGAATTTTTTGTGTTTAGATTTTGCTGTCCAGTTGAGCAAAGTTCACATGAAAAACCTGAATGAACTCTGTATAACTTAGAGTCCCACTGAGGATCAAGGATCAGGGAGGGCAGAGACAAATTGGTAGAAAACAAGGCTTACAAGAGGTCTTGATCCTAAACAATACATCTCCCCACTCCAAAGCATTTTTCTTACTTTCCTCTTTTTATATTTTAGTAGGTTCAAAAAATCTATATTTTATAATCTATGTTGTTAATTACATGGAATATTTTATTGAAGGCAAGCTATTTAATGTTTATGATTAGAGTAGATATAGTCTCTGGCACAAAAATACACACCTATATTCAATGTTTTTGAGCACTTTCCACACATCAGTTTCCTTGTAAGGTAAAGGTAATTCAGAGAAAAAGAACTTAAGTTTTCTAGCCCAGCCAGCATAACACTCTAGTGCAAGTCAATACATTCAAGACAACTAAATTGCAGAAGAACTCTCCCTTTAATATTTCAGTCAAATATCTCATCTATCAATCCTTGACTTATCCAAATCCAAGCAATTTGTTCATCCCCCTATAAAAACACCATCCCTTGCACATACCTTGTACTGTGCTTACCACCCTGAGTAACAATCATATTTACATTTCCATCTCCAGAATTAAATCTTAAGTTTCTTTAAAGCCAAAGGTCAACTTTTGTTGAATTCTGTGCCTTTAGTACCTAACACAGAGTTTGATTTGTAATGGGCACTCAAATATTTAATGAATGAATAAATGAATACTATAATCACATCACAAACTGTCTTTGAAGAGAGCATAAAAAGACAAAACATTAATTCTAGCAAAGAGGAAGGCATCACCGAGGAGATGACCTTCAACTTGGATTTTGGAGGCTGGGATAAATTATGCTAGTATACAATCAGACAAAGCTCAACAGATTCCTAAGCTGATTCTAAATGCATTCATCTAAATTGCTTAGAGTGTCCAAACACAATCTAAAGACAGCTTGTCAAAATAAACTAGAAATTGCTTAGAGAAATATGTTGAAGCTGAAGGCAGAAAAAGTATTTATTTTTCAAGCAGTGTAAGAAGGAATTTATGGGGGGGAAGCTAAGAATATTCGTATTAGTGAACTTCTATCAGCACCATATACCACGGTGGGCCTTTTCCCTGGATTTCAGGGCACACAGCTGAAATCTGCATGAGGCTGTGTTGCGAATGATCCTTTAATAACGCAATGAAGGTGAGCTGACAGGCCTGCAGCAGTGTGTCACGTGATTGACAGGATTTGACACACGTTGGGTTCTCCTCATATGGAACTTGTCACTGGTTTTTAAGCTTATCTCTCTTCTTGCCTAAAGGGGGCAAATCAGCTTCCTAATGTTTTTCCAGATATTTTCATGCTGAGACCGGAATGATGTGTGAGGAAATCTTGCCTAGAAATAGGAAAAACATGTCATGATATTATTATGGCCAATTTGACGTAGATTGGTCCAAGGAAACCAGATCTCCTGTGAAATTAGCTACAATAGCACATTTACTGTACTGAATGGCAATTTTGTGATGTATGACCATAGAAATGACCAATCTTGGTGTATCTTGGCAAGTAGCAAGCCAAGGATCTCTGAGTTAGCCCATAAAAAAAAGATTTTGAATATCATAAATTTAACTGTACTCAAAAATATTGTTTTGTTTGTTTTAGTTTAAAGAGATTTAGAGTCATTCCAGTGATGATGGTTAGTAGACTTGGGTAATTTTTGTCTGTTTTTCAAAGTGTGCTACATTTTAAAGAGTTTACATTAGATAAGCCATGGAAAGAGAATCCCACAATCATGTTTTAGTGTCCCCATGAAGAGAGACTATGATTTCACTGTACTCTATCTTTACCTGACCACATTGGAATTACTGGTTTTTCAGTTACACATGCAATATTTTAAAAGGATCAAAGATCAAATGGATTGTGCAGAGAGGATAGCTATAATTGAGACATGTCTGAAAACCATGGCTCATGAGGACAGATAATGTGGCTAGGGATATTGAACCTGAAGAAAAAAATACTATAGAGATGAACATGATAGCTGAAGAATTATTGATCGTGTACAAGATGAAATTAACCTTTTTAAAATTTTGTTTCAGAAGGACTAGTTATAGTGAAAAGGTAAAAGTTACAAGAGGATAGGTTTTGTTTCTAAAATGGTCATGGGTAAAGAAAACTAATCAACATTGGGATAGATTACCTGGAAAAATATTAACAAGGCTGTGTGCATGGACACTGAGCATGATCCATCTGGCTTATTGTAAGAGATAGTTGGGTACTAGATGCAAATTTGGACTAAATAACGTTATTATTTCTTCATATCTGTAAAACTGACCAACTAGATAATTAGAGATTACAAAGTCATAATAATAAACATGGTATAGTATAAGACAAAAACAGACAATAGTTCAGTGAAATAAAAGAGGAAGCTCAGACACAGAAACAAGAATCTATAGAACCTTAATTTACAATAATGGGTTCCCACAGATCAATGAATAAAAGGTAACTTTTTATTCTATAATGTTAGAAAACACTAGCACATTATATGGGAAAAAATAAGATTGGATCACCACAAGCAACACATAAAAAAGAGGATTGCAAAAGAATTAAATACTAAGTGTTAAAGATAACACTGTAAAAATAATAGAAAGGAATTTGGAAAGTATCCTTATGATAAGGAAGAACTTAAAATGTCAAAAGTACAAACCCTAAAGCAAAAATCTTATTTAATTGTATTATTAAAAAATAAGAATGGATGTTCATAAAGGACTCTGCACAAAATCAGAACTTATGTAACATAGTGGGAAAAAATATTTGAAGCATACAAATGGTAGAGCAATCAAAGCTAAAATTCCTGAAAAAGCAACAAACCAGCCACAATGGAAAAAATGTCAAAGGATATGAAAAAAAAATTTACAGTCAAAAAATAAGAAAAAGCTAAGAAACATACATGGGGGTGCTCGAAATCATTTGTGAATAGAGAATTCTAAATCTAAAGGTAATGAGATATCATGTTTCACCTATTAAATTGCAAAACAATTGGAAAGCTGGATAATACAAAATGTTGGCATAGATACGAGATGTATGATTTCCATGTGCTGCTGCTGAGAATGTAGATTAGCATCTCTGAAGGGATGCTGTCATTTCCTAAAAAATAATGTATGCCTTATGGTCCAGTAATTCTACTCCTTGGTGTACATTTCTAAAAAATTATCACACAAGTCACCAGACAGATATGTATATAGATGTTCATTTCAGCAGCATTTGTAGTAATAGAAATTTTGGGGCAACCTAAAAATGTTTTGCTAGAAGGGTAGAAAGAACAAAGTAGATGTAAACCATGAAATACTCTGCAGTGTTGAAACAATGAATTAGAGGTACACAAAAAACCATGAATGTTCTTAGAACATATAGATATTTACAGAAAGATGGATGATAGATCAATCATATATAACATGATATTATTTAAGTACATTAAAATACATATACACAAAATGATGCACATTTGCTAAAACATACGCATGCAAAATATACATTAAACATATTAGTATTAATATCGGATAACCAGGGATGAATAGAATAAGAGAATAAGGAAAAACAAAAACAAAAAAAGGGCTTTGCATACATCGTTAATCACTGCATGGATCAGTGCCCTGAACTGAATTAGCATAATTAATTCAGCCAATGCATCTGAGATACAGAAATTAAAATAACAAAGCAATGAAGTTATATTTTGTTTTCAGGAGACCTAGAGACTCAGGACATACTATTGCATGTGTTTCTAGACATTTCAGCTGCTATTAAACCACAACATTTACTCAGATCTCCTAAGAAGGTGTACGACTTTATTTTCACCCCATGGAAGGTCTCAAGTTTTTGCCTATATAATGCAGATTTTTCTAAGGAGTTTCTTCCAGCTTATTATGTGCATACATATATGAAAGAACAGCAAAAGAGAATTATCTCTAGATTCTTCACTTTGAAACAGTTTCCAACTATGTACCAAAATATTTCAATCACTTTTAAAGGTTTCATTTTTTAATGGAAGAAAAGTTTAATTTGAAGATAATATGAAACCACTATAATAGCTTATTAAACATAAAGGATAAAAGAACTAGTGAAGCTTTAAAATGGTAATTAAAAGAGCTGATGTGTGTCTAATGCATTTATTCAGCGTCTTCTAGCAGTAAGTGAGGATAATGTTAAAAATTTTGCCTATATAGTAAAGTTACTATTATTGCTGAAATTTCTATCTCCATCAACTGTCAAAGTCCTGTGCTATTGCTGCATTGGAGCCACCAAAAATAATAAATGATATACTCAGAAATCCAGACACGTGGACACATTGCCTGCAGCAACCCTACATGCCTCCATATAGGGAAGTACACAGGCTGTGTTGCTGTCACATAACTGGGGAAGGAAGGGGTTGTAAATGTGACTTTCAGAGCAAAATGAAACTAAAAGTGACAAAAATAATTTAATGGTTCTCCATATATAGGACATCCATTCTTTTTCAGGATGCTTCTAAGTTTGCAAAGAAATTTACATGTATTAGTGATCCACTGTCTCATAAATATCTGTGAGATAAGTAGAGTGGTATTATTTGGATTTTACAGAAAAGGAAACTAGATCTACAAGGACATTTTTGTAAATTTGCAGAAAGGCACATAGTTGTCATGCTAAGGGGTGATTTGAACACAGGTTTCCTGGTCCCAAGTCAGAATCATTTTCTCCAACACAATTTAAAATTTCCATCAGATCATAAACAATTTCCTCAAGTTCCTCAAGTCCTCTCTCAGCTTGAATCAGAAGTTACATTTCCATAACACCTGCAGTTAGGGAAACATATAACTTATAACAGAGAGGGGTGGGGGAGGAGCATGAGAGACTGTGATAGAATCATAGAATATTTTGGCACAATATAAGGTTTGAAGTGATACTTTCAAACTGGATTTATGTTGATTTGGTTTACTTTTATGGGAATAATTAGCAATCCCTGTAGAAGGATTAAGGAATACATGCTTTCAATAAAATATAAAATGATATGATTATGTTGGTAGATTGATTAATCCATACACTGCCTCATCTTTAATTTTATTTGATGATTCTATTGCATAATAGTGTAGAAACAGAAAAATCACAGAAAACTAAATAATGAACAGAAAAAAATGTAAATTTAGAAATATAGTACTAGGTTCTTCTGCATATCAGAATAGTATTTTTCCACGTCAGAATTGTATTGACAACAACAAAATGTCATTATGAGTATGTAGGATGCTGATTTGTTTGTAGAGAGCCTATCTTAAGTGACTGTCAGGAGAAAGAAGAGACCCACAAGTCCTTGAGTAAGCATGGAGTCTCAGAAATCCCTGCTCAGAAAAACATCTCACATAATTTCTATAACTTGTGATTAATCTGGCTAATGGCTGCTTTTAGCAACTGCAAATAGCCCAGGGTGAGAGAGAAGCTATTTTATAGAATATTCACAGGTTGGTATCAATCATTTTAATTAAATTGGGGTTTTACCAATTGTAGATGTTGACCCACTAATGAGTCTCCATGAGCAATTTTTAAACATAAAGTAGAATGAAAAATGAATAGAAGACATAACAGTGGATTGCAAGTGGTATGGGTACAATCTTTTCTGTGAAATGTTTGTTTCAGTTACTTCATGTATGTGTTTTTGTGTTTATATTTAGGATGTAAAGTCTATTTTTATGGTTCCTAAATTTTTAAAGCCAATGAATGCTGTGAACTTTATGCCAACAGCTTAAGAAATGTTGATGGAGGCAGACAAGAAGAAGTAAGGAACTGAAATAACAAGTTTCTTTGAAGCCTATAACTGTTGAAGGCCAAAAGAACCGTGGATACTGATGAGCCTCAGAAGAGTCCACTATGACATAAGGGATTAGACACTGGTGTGTCATGTAAGATTCTTGGATTAGTTAGGAATGCAACTCAATCAAGTCTTCCCCAGTTCAGTCAATTTTCTACAGTTTAGATCAGGAGCCTGCAAATTATTTTGTATATATCTCAAAACTTAAGAATACTTTTTACAATTTTTAATAATGGAAAAAATCAAAAGAAGAACATTTTTGTGACATTTGAACATTATGTGAAATTCAAAATTCTCTATTCATAAACACTCATCTAGCCAACACTCATTTGCCTATCACCTATGATTTCTTTGGCACTACAACAGTGTCAGAGTTGAATTGTTGCAAGAATGTATGGCCAGCAAAGCTTAAAATACTTACATTCTGGCCCTTTGGAGAAAATGTTTGCCTACCCCTAGGTTACTCCAGGTTCATTACAATGTTTAGAACCATCTCATACCATCAGACTGGATCACAGAGCAGATTGAAACATCTCCTCCTAATTCCATGTTTAAAGACATCACCTTAACAGCTTGGCATTACCATATAGGAGTATTTACAACACTGAAATCAATACGTAAAAATTAGGGGCTTTTTTTGTTTTGTTTTGTTTTTTAACCTGAGAACCAGTTGTTAAATATTTGTCAACATACCACTGTATTAAAAGCATACTGGAAGCACTTAAAATATGTGTGATATTTTGTTTGGTAACAACCCATGTGAACCATATTTTTCCATATTTTAGCCTTGACCACTTATACCACACAAAATTGCTTTCAGGATGAAATGAAATTAGGCAGTTGCATACTATTTAAAACAAAAACAATAATTAAAAAAACACACACATACACTGAAAGTGTAAGACTTCTTTAATATTATCTCTGGAGATTTGAGGTCATTTCAAAACAGTATAACCTAAAAATGTGAAGATGAAGTCTGATCTTTGGATTTCACATAGGGTAGCTGATGTTATGCTCTTTGAAGTTCTTCTCAACATTGTCATTTTCTTCAATTTTAGTTAAAATGTTGTTCACTTTAAGACTTTTTATTATTATTATAGGAAGGGACTGTTGGGATCATTTTTACTCAGTGTGTTTCAGTTGACACATTTGGTCATATTCATTTGATATTAAAAAATGAAGGTATAAGCAGAGGGATATACACAAATGTGTGCTATCTTTTGTATTTCTTGTTGAGTTCTGAACTGATACCTTGTGTCACTGTTCGCCTTAGAATTTCAAGCATCTGTAGAAACCTTTAGCCTTGGCCAGGCGAGGTGGCTCACACCCGTAATCCCCACACCTTGAGAGACGGAGGAAGGCAGATCACCTGAGGTCGGGAGTTTAAGACCAGCCTGACCAACATGGAGAAATCTTGTCTCTACTAAAACTACAACAAAATTAGCCAGGCGTGGTGGTGCATGCCTGTAATCCCAGCTGCTCGGGGAGGCTGAGGTAGGAGAATCGCTTGAACCCGGGAGGCAGAGTTTGCAGTGAGCTGAGATCACACCATTGCACTCCAGCCTGGGCAACAAGAGCAAAACTCTGTCTCAAAACAAAACAAAAGAAAGAAAGAAAGAAAAAGAAATCTTTATCCTCATCAGATAATTTATATACTTCAAATCTCCAAATAGCATGTGTTTTCCTTCTATTACCAAAATTAAAACATTATAATCTTCTCTTGAATGCATTTTTAATATAGAAATAGTTGTACTATTATAGTATAATATGACAAGGTGAAAAACACACAATGTTTGAAATTATGGGAATCCTGGCCTCACATTTTACTTTTCTTAATTACTTCACCACTAAAATGGTCATTGTGAAGTCGGCAAGGAAGGGTGCTGGATTTCCATGTCAGTTTCTCTATCTCCAAAGCTTTCATATTGGGTGGCCTGAGATGGAATCTCTTCTCTGTCATTTAATAGCTGAGCTACTTTGGGCAAGTCTTTTCACTTTCTAAGCCTCCATTTCTACATGGGAAAATGTGAATAATGATAGGGATTCATGTTAAAACTAAATAAGTTAGTAGAGATAATACATGTGAAATATTTAATAAATGTGAACCATTGTTATTTTCTACTGTGGTATAGGCTGTTTGTGTACATTCTCATCCTGTATCCCTCTCTTGATTCTTAAACTTACTGATATTCATTAGAATTAAAGTATTAAAGAATTTAACATTTGCAGGTTTTTTTGGATTTTAAAATATGATGGTAGAGCATAAATTATCCGCTAGTCCTTGATTATGATTCTCGTCTCTTTTATTGATGCATTTTTCTGTTATTTGATCGCTTTCTACTTGATTAGTGTCTACTTTTAGAGATAAAAAGAGCAGGGGAGACTTCTTATCAGTGCATTTTTTAAAGTGTGATTTGGGAACTTTAGCTTTCAGCTATTAATGTCTACCAAAAGATCTTTCTGAATTTGAATTTATTGGATAATTCCATAGAATAGCTTGAATCTACACAGAATGAGAAAAATAACTGTCAAGTGGCCAGTATCCAAAAGTTGAGCAAGTTCACGAGAGATCTGGTTGTTTAAAAGTATTGGTACCTCCTCCCTCTTTCTCTTGCTCCCACGCTGGCCATGTGACGTGCCTACCCCCACTTTGCCTTCCACCATGATTGTAAGCTTCCTGAGGCCCTCACCAGAAGCAGATGCTGAAACCATGTTTGTGAAGTCTAATATCTAAAGTATAAAGATGGATAGTGCAGCTATTTTGAAATAATAGAATAATTGGCTTGTCAAAATTGTATGCTAAGCTTTGTGTGATCTGTGACAATCTAGACTGTTCATCTTTTCTAATCTGCCTAATTTACACAGCTGTACATAGCAAACTATATTTTTTGTTAAATATTATATTAGTTTATTTTATCTGAAGTGCCTTTTTGCTAGTTTTTGGTTTTTATTTGCTATTTTTTTAAAATATTATATTAGTTTATTTTATCTGAAGTGCCTTTTTGCTAGTTTCTCTGTTTTTTTAATTTGCTGTTTTATTTAGGCTTTTGTAGTCATATTTATTAATGAGGTTGGTGGGAAGTTACTTTTTAAAAAAAATTCCATTTTTATTTTAGATACAGGAGGTACATATGTAGGGTTGTTACATGGGTATATTGGACCCAGGTAGTGAGCACAGTACCCAATAGGTAGTGTTTCAACTCATGACCCCCCTCCCTCCTTTTCCCCCAGTAGTCTGCAGTGTCTATTGTTCTTATGTTTATATCCATGAATGCGGAATGTTTAGCTCTCACTTATAAGTTGGAACATGTGGTATTCAGTTTTCTGTTCCTGCATTAATTCACTTAGTATTATGGCCTCCAGCTCCATCCATGTTGCTGCAAAGGACATGATTTTATTCTTTTTTTCTTTTTAAAAATTAACGCCCTGTTCAAAATTTTCTCTTCTGAAAGTTCTTCCTCATCAACCTGTAGTAAGAATTATTTCTTCTTCAGTGCTCTCAATACATTTTTTCACATCTCAAACACTTTGAATTTTAATTAATGTCTTGTTTTATTTCCCTTGTATTTGTGAGTTTCAGAGGATAGTGACTGTTCCTTACACATTTTTAGACGAGGATTTAAATGCATTTTTTAAAATTTTAGTTTTTATACTCGTGTAGCAGAATACAAGATTAATATACAAAAGTTGAACACTTTCCTATGTACTACCAACGAACAATTGGAATTTGAAATTAAAACCACATCATTTATATCAGCATAAGAAATTGAAATACTAAGGTATAAATCCTAAAAAGTATATACAAGATCTATATGAGAAGAGCTACAAAACCTAGATGAAAGAAATCAAGGCCAGGCGTGGTGGCTCACGCCTGTAATCCCAGCACTTTGGGAGGCCTAAGCAGGTGGATCATGAGGTCAGGAGATCGAGACCATCCTGGCTAACACAGTGAAACCCTGTCTCTACTAAAAATACAAAAAATTAGCCGGACGTGGTGGCGGGTGCCTGTAGTCCCAGCTACTCGGGAGGCTGAGGCAGGAGAATGGCATGAACCCAGGGGGGCGGAGCCTGCAGTGAGCCGAGATTGCACCACTGCACTCCAGCCTGGGTGACAGCGAGACTCCCTCTCAAAGAAACAGGAAAGAAATCAAAGATGATCTAAATAAATGAAATGATATTCTAGGTCCTTGGATAGGAAGACTCAATATTGTCAATATATAAGTTCTCCCGAACTTCATATAAAGATTGAATGCTATCTCCATTAAAATTCCAGCAAGTTACTTAGTGGAAAGTGACAATTTGATTCTAAATTTCATATATAAGGACAAAAGACTCAGAGGAACCAAGATAATATTAAGGAAAGAGAAAAGCAAAATCAAAGGACTAGCACTACCAAACTTCAAGTCTTACTATAGAGCTACAATAATCAAGGGAGTGTAGTATTGGTAAAGGAAGAGACAAATTGATCAATGGAACAAAATAAGGAGCCCAGAAATGTACCCAAATGAATATATTAAATTTATATATAAAAAGGAAGCAAAAATAGTCTAATGGAGACCGATAGTCTTTTCAACATATGGTGCTAGATCAACTGGATATTGACATGCAAACAGATGAATGTAGGCACAGAACTTACACCTTTCACAAAAATTTACTCAAAATGGATCCCGGACCTAAGGATAAAATGTAAAACTATAAAACTTATTGAAGATAATATAGGAGAAAATCTAGGTGGTCTTGGAGTCACGGATTTGGCAATGACTTTTTAGATACAACATCAAAAGCACAATCATTGATGTTAAAAATGGTAAGTTAGATTTTATTAAAATTAAAACAAAAACCCCTCCTCTGCAAAAGACAGTATTAAGATAACAGAAAGACAAAGCACAGATTAGGAGAAGAAATTTGAAAAACACATATTTTTAAAAAAAGTATATCCAAAATATAAAAAGAACTCTTGAAATACAAACATAAGTAAACAACCCAAATAAAAAAGTGGGCAAAAGATCTGAATACATATTTCACCAAGGAAAATATATGGATGCTATATAAACATATAAAAGATATTCAACATCATATGTCATTCAGAATTGCAACTTGAAACAACAATAAGATACTACTACATGCTAATTAGAATGGTAAAAATCCAAAGCACTGACATCACCAAGTCGTGGAGACAATGTGGAGCAACAGGAACTCTCATTCACAGCTGATGGAAAAGCAAAATGGCACAGGTTCTTGGAAGACAGCCTGGGTTTCTTACAAAGCTAAATATGTTACATCACTTTTACTAGCAGCTGCTTTCTTTGGTATTTATGCAAATGAGTTGACAACACATGTCCACACAAAAAAGTTGCTTGCTATTGTTTATAGCAGCTTCATTCATAATTATTCTGAATTGGAAGCAACCAATGTGAATGCAAACTGTGGTGCACACATACAATGGAAGAATTCTTCAGCAGTAAAGAGAAAGCAGCTATCAAGCTAAAAAGAGACATAGAAGAACCTTAAATACATATTGCTAAGTGGAAGAAGCCAGTCTGAAAGGTCTACGTACTGTATGCGTTTAACTGTATGACATCCTATACAAAACTATGGGAACAGTTTAAAAAAATTAGCGATTACCAAGAGTTTAGAGAGAGGTAGGGAGGGATGAATATGTGGTACATGAGGGATTTGGGGGGCAGAGAAACTATCATGTGTAATATTCACTGAAATAGTAAATTCAAAATATCATACTTTTGGCAAAACCAGTAGAAACATATAACACAAAGAGTGAAACTTAATGTAAACCATGAACTATAGTTAATAATAATCTATCAATATTAGTTACTCAGTTATAGCAAATATAGCACAAAAATGCAAGATGTTAGTAATAAGAAGCACTGAGGGTAGAAGAGAGGGAGTATAGAGAATCCTTCTTATCTTTACATAATTTTTATTCTGTAAACCTCAAAATGCTCCAAAAATAATACCTACATGAAGTATTATGTACCATGACCTCTTGGGATTATAGAAAGAAAATAAGATTTGTTTAGCATCTGAAAAATAAATTAATGTAATAAATCGTAGCAATTTAATAAAGAACAAAAACCACATGATTATCTCAATTGCAACAGAAAAATCCTTTGACTAAAATCCAACACTCTTTCATAATAAGAAATCTCAAATACTTGAAAATAAAAGGGCAATTCCTCAAGCAAATAAAAGGAGTCTATGAAAATTCCATGAGAAATATTATAATTATTGCATATTTCCCCCTATAATTAGGAACAAGATAAAGATGTCCGCTCTTACCACTTGTTCTCTTCATTGTGCTGAAGGTTCTAGCCAGGGCAGTTAGGCAATATAAAGACAATTTTTAAAAATGAAAATCAGATTGGAAAATAAATAATAAATTTATCTTTATTTGCAGATGACATGGTCTTATAAATAATCTTGTATGTAGTCTATCCTATATAATACTCTAATAATCTAGTAGAACTAATAAATGAGTTCATAGAGATTGCAGAAGACAAGAACAATGTATAAAATCAATTATATTTATATATACATACCAGCAAGAAAAAAATAAAAAATAAAAGTTTAAAAAACGTATTTATACTAATAGAATCAAAAAGAATAAAATACTTAGGAATAAATATAAGAAAACAAATATAAACCCAAAATTGTAAAAGCATTAAAGGGTTGTTGAAAAAAATTAAAGAAGTCTTAAGTAAATGGAAATACATTCTATGCCCACAAATCAGAAGACTTAATATTATCAACAGTAAGACAGCAGCACTCTTCAAATTGATCAAAAGATTCAGCACCATTTTTTCTTCATGATCTCAATGGTTTTTTGTTGCAGAAATTGACAAGCTAATCCTAAAATTTGTATGAAAATGCAGGAAACTCAGAATAGCTAGAACATTTTTGAAAAGAAATTTGCAGAGCCCACACTTCCCCATTTCAAAAGTTAAATTAAAATGGTGTTGTACTTGCATACCACATACAGACAGACACATAGATCAATGAAATAGAACTTGTACAGCCCAGAAACAAATCCTCAAACTTATGGTCAATTGACTTTTGATAAGAGTGCCAAGGCAATTCATAGAAAAATAACAGACTTTTCACAAATTATTGCTGATACAACTGGATACCAAATGCAAAAGAATAAAACTAGATCTCTTCCTCACAATATAAACAAATATTAATCCCAAATGGATCATAGACTAAGTGTAATTGCTAAAACTATTAAATTCTCAGGAAAAACACATAGAAGTTAATCTTCTTGATTTGGATTAAAGCCTTCTTAGTTATAATACCAATAGTATAGCAATGAAAAAAATAGTTCCATTGGACTTCATCAAAATTAAAAACTTTTTTTTCTTCAAAAGAAAAGTGAAAACTTAACACACAGAATGGGGAAAAATATTTGTAAGTCACATATCTGATAAAGATCTGTTATCCAAAATATTTAAAGGAATTTTACCACTCAAAAATAATAATGAAAACAAAATAAGCTTATTAAAAATTGGCAAAAGAATCTGAATAGGCATTATTCAAAAAAGGTGCACAAATGGCCAATAACATAAATAACATTTTTAACATAATTAGCCACTAGGGAAATGGAAATAAAAATTACAAGATACTACTTCACACTTGCTGGAATAGCTATAATCAAAAAGAGAGGTAATGACAAGTATTAGCAAGAAATATGAAGACATCAGAAACCCAATACATTTCTATTGGGAATGTAAAATGGTGGAGCCATTTTGGAAATCAGTTTTGCAGTCTTCAAATTTTAAACCTAGAATTACCATATAGAGCAGTATTTTTACTACTAAGAATATAGACAAGTAGAAACATACATTCCTACAAAAACTAGTACACAATTTTTCATAGCATCATTATTAATAATAGTCATAAAATGTAAGCAACCCAAATATCCATTAATGCATGAGTAAATAAAATAACCATACAATAGAAGTTTTTGACAATAAAAATAATAAAATGCTGATACATACAACAACATGCATAAAATTTGTAAACATAGTGCCAAGTGAAAGAAGACAGTCACAAAAGATTAAACAACTTACATTGTATGTAAGAATGTTCGGCCGGGAGAGGTGGCTCACGCCTGTAATTCCAGCACTTCGGAGGCCGAGGTGGGCGGATCACGAGGTCAGGAGATCGAGACCATCTTCGCTAACACGGTGAAACCCCGTCTCTAATAAAAATACAAAAAAAAAAAAAAATTAGCCGGGCCTGGTGGCAGGCGCCTGTAGTCCCAGCTACTTGGGAGGCTGAGACAGGAGAATGGTGTGAACCCTGGAGGCAGAGCTTGCAGTGAGCCAAGATCGCGCCACTGCACTCCAGCCTGGGCAACAGAGCAAGACTGCGTCTCAAAAAAAAAAAAAAAAAAAAAAAAAAAAAAGTGTTCATAAGAGCACTATTCATAGTAGTCCCAAACTGGATGGAAACAATCAAAATGCCCATTGTCTGTAAAATGGGTAAATAAGTTTTAGTGTTTGCATACAATGGCAACTACAAAAAATATAAATGCATGTAATGTGAACAGAACACATAAATATTATGTTAAATGAAAAAACATAAAATCGTACATATTTTATGGTTCCTTTTACAGACGAGTGAAAACTAGGTATAATGAATCTGCTATATTTGACTTCAGGTGAATAGTTACCCTGTATTGGGTTACTCATGAGGTTTCTAGGTTCCTTGTAAGACTGTTTCTTGATCTGGATGGTGAATTCATTGGATGTGTTGATGTGAAAATGTATTGAGCTGAACTTTTCTGTAATTTGTTAAACTTCATTGAAAGTTTAGTAAGTTCTCTTTTAAAGAAATAATATCATTTAATAAAGAAATCTAGAACGGTTTTAGATAAATTTTCATCAAAAGTAATTGAAATAATATATTCAGCATAGATGAGTTCCAGTTGTGGACAAACTTTATTTCCTGAAAATGCTAAATTTATAATGTATCACAGTATAAAGCTTACAGAGGAAATTCTTCAGATGTATTTAGTTTGCAAGGGATATGACATCTTGCAATATATGTTGTATAGCTAAATACCTAGCTGCAGAGTAGCCAAATGGTCATTGAGTCAATCAGTAACTGATGGGTGCATTTCCCACCCAGTTAAACTGGGTAACTCTCAGAATGTAAAATAATTATATTCCTCTTCCTTAAGATTAACAGGTGGAAATATGACTGTATATAATATAAACTGAGACTATATAGTTCAGCATAGAGTGTTAATTATGTTTTGGGATTAAAAAATTTTTTTTGGACTGAGATTTGCAAAGAAAGATTTCATGATTCTAAGCTTGGCTTGATTTCTGCTTTCTTTGCTATTTTGTTTGGGGTACAGACCAAAGGAAGTGCAATATTCACTTAGGCAAAAAAAAGAAAAAGAGAAAGAAAATATTATTCTAAGAAATAATAATAGCACAGAATATGAAACCATATAGAACATGGGGCATAACAGCCATTTAACACAGAAGAGAATTAAAGAATGAAAAAATGAGGGTTGAGAAAAAGGTAATAATAGTACTAGATGTGGACTTTTAGAAATACCTTTAAAATAATTTATAACAACTAAGCTGAGGGAAAATATTCCTTAAATTAAGAATTATAAAATATTGTCTGGCCATGATTTAGTTTTCAGAGGTATGACAGAAGATAAAAGCAAGTGGATTATAGAATTAAAATGTTTATCATACAATACATACAAAATAAGGAAAGAATTAATAACAGTAACAAAGCCTTTATAAGTTATGAAAAGTATACTAGTGGATAATCACTATAGGACAATTACAAAAAATAGAAGAGTATAATGAAAAAGGAATGAAATCAAAGTCATCATCTTTCTAATTTTCTATTCACTTTTAAATTAATAGCCTTAACCTATAGAGAGTAATAAAGGAAAACAGGTCATTGATTTCTTCTCACTTTAAACCTTGTGTAAGCAATAGAAAGACTAAGCTATTTAACATAGAATATAAAGTATAATGAATAAATTAGGTGGTTTTCTGTGTTATCAAATTAAATTAGCCAGAGGTTCTCTATTCCAGCTGTAATTTGACTCACTCAGAGATCACTGTATTTTTCAAGTTCTGAAGCTCAGGTCCTGGATCAGATCAGTTAAATTACCTCTCTAGAGGTGGCAGTATACATTTTTCCATTTAATCCTCAAAGAAAGTGAACATCAGTGAAATAGGCTTTCGCATTACCCCTTTTTACAGATAAAGATAGTATGGCTCAGAGAAGTTAAGCAAGACTGAGAAAGCTAGTCAATGGCAGTATGGGACACAAATTTGATTTATCTGATTCCATGTATGATATTCTTTCCATTTGACTGTGAAACTTCACCATTGTTAGTGGAATTTGAAATAAGACCTCAGGGCCACTAGCAATTCTTTAGAAATTACTGTGGTATAAAAAAGGTCTCTGAGGGATGCAAATTGCTAAATGCAGTCTAATGGAGGATGTCAATTCATACACGGGGTATTATTGTGCCCTGTGATAAGACTAACAGGGGAATATATAAGGTTCTTAAGGAACACGAAGAAGAGTGTTTTAGCAAGTGATACATGGAGGAGAATCTCACCCTTTCACTAAGCTCCCTGTTTACAAAATTTGGCTTTAGTTAAAATGGGGGCTTATTTTA